>NC_000003.12:50313030-50616060 GCF_000001405.40 Homo sapiens
ACTGTGGTTTCTTTTTTTTTTTTTTTTGAGATGGAGTCTCGCTCTGTCACCCAGGCTGGAGTGCAGTGGCGCGATCTCAGCTCACTGCAACTTATGCCTCCCAGGTTCAAGCAATTCTCCTGCCTCAGCCTCCCGAGTAGCTGGGACTACAGGCGCTTGCTACCATGCCTGGCTAATTTTTGTATTTTTAGTAGAGACAGGGTTTCACCATATTGACCAGGCTGGTCTCGAACTCCTGACCTTGTGATCCGGCCGCCTCGGCCTCTCGAAGTGCTGGGATTACAGGCGTTAGTCACTGCGCCCGGCCCTAGCTGTGGTTTCTTAAAAGCGTGTCAACTAAAGTCAGACAACTTACACTTCAGAAGAAAGTAACAGTAACCTGTTTATGTACATACATAAGCCACTTTCATACCTGCCTACCAATGTATGGACTTCAGAGTAATGTGGCCTATATTTTCCCAGGATTTTTTTTTTTTTTTTTTTTGAGATGGAGTTTCACTCTTGTTGCCCAGGCTGGAGTGCAATGGCGCAATGTCAGGTTGCTGCAACCTCCGCCTCCTGGGTTCAAGTGATTCTCCTGTCTCAGCCTCCTGAGTAGCTGGGATTACAGGCATGAGCCACCATGCCTGGCTAGTTTTTTGTATTTTCAGTAGAGACAGAGTTTCTCCATGTTGGTCAGGCTGTTCTCGAACTCCCAACCGCAGGTGATCCACCCGCCTCAGCCTCCCAAATTGTTGGGATTACAGGCATGAGCCACCCCGCCAGGGCTGGGATTGTTCTTTTGCTGTTTTTTTTTTCTCTTCCTTCCTTCTCCCTATTTTCTCTTCACACTGCATGAGACTTTACAACCTGCTAAAAATGAGCTTTCCGGACCTACTTATCTAGCAATGAGAGATCAGATGAAACCTGAGACCAGATACTCATTTTCTTGCAAAATGCTTTCTCCAAAAGATTTTGAAAAAGAAAATGGGGTAAATGTGAAAGGAAAGTATCTTGGGCCTCTTCAAGCTGGGAACTGCTCAGGACAAATCTGCCTCCCATTCTATTCAAGTCATCCTTTTGCTCACAGAGATAGATGCATATTCTGATTGCCTCCTTTGGAAAGACTTACCAGAAACTCAAAAGAATGCAACCATCTGTCTCTCACCTATCTGTGACCTGGAAGCCCCCAGTGCTTTGAGCCTGGGAGCCTTGATTTGAGCAGTCTCCACCTTTCTTTCTGGAACTAATGTACTTCTTACATATTGATTAATGTCTCATGTCTCCCTAAAATCTATAAAACCAAGCTGTGCCCCAACCGCCCTGGGCACATGTCCTCAGGACTTCCTGAGGCTGTGTCACCAGCAAGTCCTCAACCTCGGCAAAATAAACTTTCTAAGTTAACTGAGACCTTTGTCAGATTTTCTGGGTTCACAGCTGATTCAGAAGCTGGTTATTGACACCTGCTAGGTGCTTGGGCCCAGCCTTGCCTGCCAGAGTAGGTTGAAGGAAACACCATGTCCCTGCCCAAGTGAAAGTGCTACCTGGATCTGAGTCAAGTCTGAGACTGAGCCACTGTAGCCAGGCCACCCCTGGCACGGTGGCCACTGAAGCAACGAAACTCACAGTTAACTACCATCTGGGTTGGGTCCTACAGGCTGCCTGGGATAGAAAAGCTGGCAGGGCTGAGGGAAAGAAGGGCCCAGGATGCTGGGGACAGCATGAGACTTGTACACAAGATCAAGCCCCAGAAGTGGTGACTGCTGATCCAGTTCAGGAAGCAGGGTCCCAGAGTGATGACCATGTAGGCCCAGAGAGCCTGGCACAACTCTTGAGGGCTGAGGGAACAGAACATCAAGGCAACCCCTGGCCCCCCTCCTCAAGGATTCATGCCACCTCCTGGTGCCCCCAGAAACCTAGTGCTGCAGTTGGCCCAATCCAGGTAACCACCAGGCCAGCATTCTCCAGCTGGCCTCAGTCCAAGGGAGAAGCTCTAATGGTGGAACCATAGGAAGAATCTGAGGGTGCCTGAAATCCTCCTCCACCCCAGGGCCCTGCCCACAGGCCTGCTCCTACTGGGCTGGTCCAGTAGGATTGGCTCAAATGGTGTGTGTGTGCGCATATGTCTGGGGTCCATCAGCTTGATGGTCCAGTCCCGCCTGCTGTCTCCGGTTGTTCAACACTTCAGATCTCTGAGCCGCATCACTCCCCATTACCTTATTCCTACCCACTCCCCGCTTTCCCCACAGGACAGTGCTGGCTCTCCCTGAGTTGCACTTTCCCTAGGACCATCTTTTAGGTCCTCCGGGGGAAGAAATGTGAGGTTCATAAAGGTTTATATGGAGGGGGTCACAGCTCGATGGGTACTGGTCACAGCTATGCAGGAGAGGTCACAGTTGCGGAGGAGTCAGTTATTTGGAGACGGTAACAGCTGTATGGGGTCACACATGGGAGGGGTTACAGGTATGTAGGGGTCATAGCTAGGTGGGAAAGGTCACAGTGGTGTGGTCTGGATCACCTCTGTGTGTTGGGTGTGGGTGGGGTAGCTCAGAGGTATGCATGGGTCACATCTGTGTGGGGGAGGTCACAGGTGCAGGAAGTCACAGGTATGGGGGACAGGCCACAGCTCCTTTCTCCTTTCCTGCTGTCCTTTTGCTAAGTGCCATCATCTTATTGTGGCAACTTTTTTTTTGAGACAGAGTCTTGCTCTGTCACCCAGGCTGGAGTTCAGTGGCCCATTCTCCGCTCACTGCAACCTCCTGGGGTCAAGTGATTCTTGTGTTTCAGCTGCCCAAGCAGCTAGGACTACAGGTGTGCACCAACAAACCCAGCTAATTTTTTTTTTTTTTTTTGAGACAGAGTCTCACTCTGTCGCCCAGGCTGGAGCGCAGTGGTGTGATCTTGGCTCACTGCAACCTCCACCTCCCGGGTTCAAGCGATTCTCCTGCCTCAGCCTTCTGAGTAGCTGGGATTACAAGCAGGCACCACCATACCCGGCTAATTTTTTATTTTCAGTAGAGATGGGGTTCACCACGTTGGTCAGGCTGGTCTCTAATTCCTGACCTTGTGATCTGTCCGCCTCGGCCTCCCAAAGTGCTGGGATTAGAGGCGTGAACCACCAGGCCCGGATGCCCAGCTAATTTTTGTATTTTTAGTAGAGACAGGGTTTCAGCATGTTGGCCAGGCTGGTCTCAAACTCCTGGCCTCAAGTGATCCACCTGCCTTGGCCTCCCAAAGTGCTGGGATTACAGGGGTGAGCCACCGCACCCGGCCCATCATTTTATTGACCAACACCTGAATCTTCTCTCCAGCCTGGCCTCCCCCCACCATGGCCATGAGCACCTGGGACCCCTCCACTTGTATGTGCACCTCCTCCTTCACTGTGTGAATTTACCACGTCACCTTTCCAGTGTTACCACCTCACTCTCTCCTCTCCATTCTCTACCCATCACCGGCGAAAGAGGTGAGGGAAGGATATCTTTACAGCCTGGGTTGGCACTGGCTTGGCCGGGCTTGTTTCTCCCATCTGGCATCTCGGTCTTTGCATCTAGTGTGCATCTACCTCTATTTTGTCACTCCCACAAGGACGGGGGTCTTTGTTGGTGTGGTTCATAGATGCATCATCGATGCATCCCCAGCACCTAGCCCAGCACAGGCACACTGTGTGCTCAGCGTTTACTGAATGAGTAAGTCAGTATTAGGTGAAGTCAGGCCTGGTGCTGCTCTAGGGCTGCCCCTCCTGCCTCTGCCCACAGCAGCCACTAAGCCACACCCCAGCCCTGAACTGTTCACCTTCACCACCTCCAACTTCCTCCAGCCTCTGCCCAGGATTTGTTCCTGAGCATCGAGCTGCCGCCCTCACCTTTTAGAACCCAATGTGGGAAGCATCTCCAAGGGCACCACCCCTGCTCCCCTGCTGCTGGCTGCCCTCACCACTCAACGGCTTCTTGAGTCTGTCTCCCCAGAGCCAGAGCCTCCTGAAGCAGGGCTGCGTGGTGAGTCATCACGGACATGGGCGGGACCCCAGGTGTGGGGTTGCTGGCTGAGGGGAGAGGCAGAATGCACTCCCGTCAGAGGCAGGGCTAGTGAAGCAGCTCAGAGCTGGTCTGACAACTCCAGCTGCTCCTTCTTTCCTCAGGGACAGCCAGAGACTAGCCATACTCTCCCACAGCCAGGACGGAGCAGACCTTAGAAGATGTTCCTGCTCCCAGGCCCAAGATGCCACCTCCCAGCCCCATCAGGCATCTCTAGAATGGGACAGGGACTGAACCTCACGATTCAGATCCCAATCCCCTGCCCACCTCCCACCACCAGATCCGAGGGAGGGCTGTGACCCTGATGAGAGGTGTATGTGGCTGGTGTCCACTGCCCTTGGGAGCAGGGACTGGAGGAGACACCCTTGCCTGTGGGAACAGCAGGGAAGATCAAACGTTTCTCCCTTGGGTTGGCAAGGAGGCTGGCACTGGTCCAGCTGGGAGGACAGGGGCAAGTGGCAGAAACACAATGAGCCCTGTCCCTCACACAAGGCGGGGCCTGACTCCCTTGCAACCAATACGGAGAAAGCAACGTCCTTGGTGTTGGGATGGAATGTGGGTCCCTCCACTCCCACTGGGGTGGCTCCTGCCCCAGCAGAACAGCTCCAGAGTGGGCAGCTCTGGGCCCCCAAGTCTTGGTGAATACATCTTACACGAGAAGTCCCCAGCAGAGGGTTTCATAGAGACAGAGCTGAGCTCAAACCCCATGGGAAATTCTGGAATCTCGCATACACTTTAGCCCAGGTACAAAATCCAAGCAGAGAAGCAATTGTTTTATGTTTAATTTACAAAAGAGACCCCAAAATAATAATAATAATAAACTATCTAGGGCAAGGGAGTAGGGTCAGGTCCTCCCCAGCCCAGCTGTACCCTCCTTCCCCTCTGGCAGGGAGAGAAGGGGCCTCCCAGGGACTTCCCCTCCCCCTTAGAACAGGGGGGTGCGAGCTGGTATGGATGCCCTCCTGGGCTTCCTGGGGGCTCTGCCCACTCCAGACTCCAGTTTGTCCACCCCCTGCAGGGTCCTACATGCCTAAGAGAGCCCTTGTGGTAGAGGCCAGCTTGCTAGGCAGCTAGGCAGGAGACCCCTACAAGGTCCAGGTAAAGGCCAGGGCTGCCAGAGCCAGCAGACTGGTGAGGTGGGACCCAGCCCAGGCCTCGCTGGCACCTCCAGCTGCCTGCCTATGGTCCCACTGGCATTGCTCACCACTCCAGCCCAAGTAGCACTGGCAGCGGAAGTGTGTCTGCAGGTGGTCAATGTCGGCCCAACTGAGCTCCCCCACAGGTCGCAGCTGGGGTTCACCAGGTGCATGGCCAGGCACTAGGCGGAAACTGTTGGTGCTGAGATGCAGGAAGGTACTGGCACTGGGGTTGCGGCGCACACAGCGCCCATGGCCATGGCACTGGGCCCGGCTGCAATATTGGGTGGCCCAGGACACATTGACCACGTAGGGGACCAGCAGCCGTGTCAGGTAATCTTTGAGGTACTGGCAGGTCTCCTGGAGGCAGAAGACAAGGACCACAGGTCAGGGTCAGCTGCCTCAGCCCACAGGCCCAGATGGAAACTGTGTCCACACTGTGATGACTATACCTTATTTTAACTGCACACATTCATACATTCAATCTGCACCTGAGCCACACAGTCCCTGCTCCTGCTGAGAAGTGGGTGGGGGTACAGACCGGAACCCAGTTGGGCAGATGGGGAAGGGCGGAACTCAACAGCTGTTCAGGACAGCATTTCCTCTTTCCTGAGAGCAGGGCCGGGGTGACCTCCTCCTGTTGCCACCAGGGATGCCTCGGGTGGGAGACAGACAAGGGGACCAGACTAGGATTGCCCACCTGAGGTTGGTAGCCAAAGGCCCTAACTCTCTGTCTGTCCCATAGACTGAGCTCTGGCAGGCTGGGTCTCGCTTACCGTGCTTGTGGTGTACCCCGCGTCACCCCAGAGGATGACACCAGCTGCGCCCAGGGCCGCACTCTCGCCAATGGTAGAGATGAGGTCCATCTATGCAGGAAAAGGGATGGTCACTGGGGAAGACTGAGACCACAGGGTGACAGGAACAGACAAGGAGGGCAGACCCCAGCCTGATTCAACCTGCTGAACTCCCAGCTCAACCCCCATTTCACGTCCAGGCAGAGGCTCATTTGTTTTGCTTCCTTTTTAAACATTTAAGTCCATTTCCACCCCACTTTTGGGGCTCAGTTTCCCAAGCCAAGGGCACACTTGAGCCTAGGTGCAGCTATCAGGATGGATTCCAAAGTTAGAAGGCCTGGGCCCCAGTCCCAGCTCTGCTCTGGATTTGCTGGGAAGCTTTGGGCAAACTTCTCAGCATCGCTGTGCCTCAATTGTTCTCATCTGAAAAATGGGGATAATGATGTCACCCTTTCAGGTTATAGACAGAATGATTTGAGGGGATGTGGAGCAGCCAATAAACTACAGGTATAGTCCTATAGTGGCCCCTGATAACCCAAATGTGCAGTGGATCCTCAAGGAAGGAGAAAAAAGGCAGGGCCCTGGAGACACATACCTCACTAAGCCCCGTGAGCCTGCGGCTGTAGGTGGGTCGTGTGAAGACGTAGACTGGGAGTGCATGGTTGGCATGGTGGGTGCGAGCCACACGAAGGGCCTCCTGAACACGGAAGCTCACAAAGTTGCGGCCATGGCGGGAGGAAGCAAGTGTCTCGTCCAGGTAGACAGACGGGAAGAGGGCCGTGCTCTCAGCCCACAGCCAGGCCAGCTGGTCATTGCGGGCCACCTCAACATCAGGGCAGCGGCCTGTGTAGCTCTCCCAGTTCTGCACATAATCATGATTGTAGCAGTCAGGAAAGAGGTAGAAGCCCCAGAGGTGCCGGGGCCGCACTGCCTTGACATAACGCAGTGTCTCCAGCATGAACTGCTGTGCTGCGAACTCAAACTCATATTGTGCCTGTTTGACTATGCGGTCTGGAGGCCAGTCAGGGTGACGACTGGCCACTAGCTGGCGTGATAACCGGCGATACACATCTTTGTCCTGCCAGTTGCGCACCCACACAGGTCGCCAGTCCTCCCAGTCGATGACCGCCAGCCCCGCAGACTCCTGTGTCCGAATGTAGTGCTCCACACGTTTCTGCAGCATCTTCCGGTGTGCCCAAAGGCTGACATTCTGTGGCACACCACCATGCACAGACCTTCCGGCAGAATCGAAGCGTGGATACAGGCCTAGACGGTCGCGGTAGAAGATGGTAATATTCTGGTTCACAAAACCCTCATTAGGTGAGGCCTGCACATCAAAGGCATTCAGGTCCAGTGGCACCTTGAGGCGTGGGCCACAGTCCTGTGTGGGCACGTCCCACGCTACCACAAAGGGCCGGCCAGTGAAGATGGGTGGTGCTGTGGGCTTGAGCTCCATGGCCCATGACACCGCCAGCACCAGGGCCAATGTAACGGTGGGGCCTGGGCCTGCCCGCATGCTGGGGGCTGCAGGAGGTGTCACCTGCCTGGCACCAGCTCAGGAACTGGAAGAAGGGTTGGGGAGAACAAGTCAGTCTAGGGAATACTGGAAGTGCCCACCTCAAGCCCATCTATGCTCCCAAAGCCCATGCTGTGTGGGGGCACTGTGCTCATGGCTGTAATAGGTTTGAGAGACCACAGGCCACTGCAGGGCAGACAAGGCACCCTGGGAACTCACTGCCAGAAGCACAGGGCTCTTTTCTGGAGCAGGTAGCCTGTGGCTCGGCACAAATCTCTATTAGGTCTGTGACCCTTCTAAGAACTAGATAATTTGGGCTCACCAGAGTCACATATATGCCTGCATACCATCCAGTACATGGTTTCAGAGAACCCTGAACAGCTGATGCCCACCCTGTACACCGTGAAGAACCCTTGATCCAGAGAAACGACAGCATTTGGGTAAAGCAGGGAACAGCTCGTCAAGAGGCTACGAAACTGGAAGGAACGCTGCCGGGAGGCTTCTATCCGTGTAACACTCGCCCGGCAGAAGAGTGAGGCTCTCCGGACTTTCTCTCGAGCGCTGACACTCTCCCGGCTTGGAGGAGGCCCCGTAGGGACAAAGGGGCAGCGGACCTCCCACGGCGGCGCCGGCCGCCCGGCCCTTCCCTCCACCGCCACCGGGAATGCGCGCGCTCGCCTCCCCCGCCCGGCCGCTCAGGGCTAGAGCGCGCTCCGCCGGGTCTTTGTGCGGGACCCCGCCCCCGCCCCACACGTGGGGCCTGCGCCCGGTCGGGTGGGGGTGGGGTTTCTGGGACGCCTCTCCGCGAGCACCCCCGGGGATTCAGACCCCAGCCCAAGGGGAGAGAGCCGCCAGGTTTGCACCGCCCGCCCTCACCTCGCGCGGGGCGCCACCGGGACCGGCGCCAGGGCCACCGCCATCCCGGGCCCAGCCCAGCCCGCTCCGGCCGTTCGCCCAGGCGCGGCCCGGCTCAGCGCCTCTGCTGGCTCCGCCCCCAGGCACGCTGGCCCTTTAAGACTCCAGTGCGGAGGTGGGCCCGGGATTGGACTTGCGGACGGGGCGGGAAGGTGTGGTCCACCTTTCTCGGTGCCGGTGCCTCGTTTCGGGCTCGAAGAGCCCCAGGTCCTCTGCAGAGGGACGTGGCCGCCCATTTAGGACCCTAATGCCCCTCTGAGCCGGGCT
This sequence comes from Homo sapiens, assembly GCF_000001405.40. Taxonomy (NCBI): domain Eukaryota; kingdom Metazoa; phylum Chordata; class Mammalia; order Primates; family Hominidae; genus Homo; species Homo sapiens. The sequence continues at coordinate 50,321,672 of NC_000003.12, forward strand.
TTCTATGGGAGTCTCAGCCACGAGCGCCAGTCAGCCTGAAATGTTTCCCCTGCAGCCCGAGGCCGGTGGTTCAGTCCTCCCAGCTCCGCGGCGCCGCCAGCCCTTTAAAGAGACAGTGTGAGGGACAAGGCAGGGGGACGGGAAGGGGGGGGGGGGGAATAGGAGGAGGCGTTGCCCCGTTCGGCCATCAGGAGGTGCTGTGGTACTCCGAGGTTGGCAGGGGGCAGCACCAGATCTGGCTCTGCACCCCCTAACGTAGACGCCAGCCGTGGGTCCCCTTTGTGTGGAAAAAGGGACTTTGACCTGAGGCGACCTCTGGTCTCCTGGAGAGTAGTGCCCCGCCTCCCACGAATCAGGGGCCCCCTTCTCTGGTCCGCCGTCTAAAGGGAGGCCCCGCCCCCTGCCAGACTGAGGGAAGGGGCCAAGCACCGCTTCTTAGCCGGCCCAGGAAGGGCCGAGGCAGTCGTTATCCTGGCAGCCCGGCTCTGGGTCGCGGCGTGGCCGCAGGGTTGGGGTCAGGGAAGCTCAGAGGGGTCTAGGAGGTTGGCCGCCCCTCTCCCTGACTCGCATCAGGGCGGGACAGTCATCCCTGAGATCCCGTCCTTTTCTGCCCAGTCTCTGAGGTCCTTTGGGAGCCCGGCTCCCTCTCAACCCCGAGGAGGCCTCCATTCCTTGCAGCAGTTTCTGGCTGGACCTCCGAGAAAGCCAGCAAGAGGGGTCTCCCAGGGCCTCCATCCCGTATCCAGCGCCCCCTACGCTCCACAGGCCTCTCCCGGTGGGGGGCAGGCTTAGACCCTGGCGAGCCCCGTGCGAAACCACCTCGGCTCTTCCTAGGTCCGCTCCCTTGTGCGAGACTCAACTCCCAAAAGGGCCCGCGTCTGCACCACCAGCCCCTAACCCTCCCGGGCGCCAGGAGAGGGAGGGAGTGCAACTGCGAGCGCATCTGTGGGGGTGCAGACCAGCCGTCTGCTCTGGGCTCACCTGTGTGGGAGTCCGTCGGCCCAGTAGGTCGGTGGCCTCCCTCCTTCCTGGGGTGAGCCTCTCCAGCTAGGCTACTTGCGCCAGCTGCTGCCCGTTGGGCAGCTCGCCGAGGACTTGATAAACCCCATTCCCTCCCATCCGCTCCCGCCTCCCATCCCAGCCCTTTCTCCTCACTTCCTGCTGCCCCCTGAGAGGAAAGGGCCAGGAACAGGCGTGGGGGAGGAGATCGCCTTGACCCTGTTTCCCTCCAGAATGCCCTGCTGGCTGGCTGCCCTCCCCACCCTTCCCGAGTAGGATCTGGCCCCGCCAGCTGCGCCAGGTGACAGGAAGGCTATGGGCTCAGGATCAGGTGCCAATCTCCCCCACACCCACAGCTTCCAACACTAGGGAACCTCTTCACTCCTTCCCTAGGATTGGGGCCCATCCTCAAATCCAGTAGGGTGTGAGAGGATGGGGTCAGGTGGTGGTGCTTTTGGGAGTCAAAATACTTGGGGGTCGTTCAGCTGATGGTCCCCCAGAGCAGGTGCCCAAGAAGGGAACTAGCCTTGGGGGGAGGGTCGGGGGGACTTCCAGTAGCTGAGTCCGTTTTTTTCCACTGAGAGCTTCCGCATCCTGTGTGACAGGACAATGTGTTAGTGAGTGTGACTGTGTGGGTTGGGGAGGAGGGGATGGACTGGGAGGGTTCTGCAGAGTGCTTTCCTGCTGGAGTTCATTCCTGGATGGATTTCAGAGTCCACTATACAGAGTAGGGGGCTCCTTACAACATGGATGAGGAAAGGGGTATACTCCTCTGGGAGGGGTGTTCCTGTGGCTGGCCCTAGGGAGGACTGCAGCAAGGTTCCAGCAGACCTCTCCAGGGGTGCAAATCTACCTACCCTCAAATCACCCAGAGCCAACCCCTCAACAACCCAATGGCCCAATGCCCAGGAGCCTCTCCCCCAACAGAAGGCTGTGTGAGGGGTAGGTGAATACCCAGGAGTCTGGCCCTGAGGACCAAGGAGTCCAAGACATGGTAGGGGAAGGTGCAGTGTCCCTGTACCACTGTGCTGGCTTCACAGGGGCCAGAAGCCTTGAAAGCTCCATGGGTGGGGACCCCCGGGGAAACAAAGGCTAGGCCAGACTGTCCCAGGGCAGGGACACTTCCTCAGGCAGCCAGCAGGAAGGAAGTGAGCACAGCCCGGCGGGAGAGAGTGGGGAAGTGTTGCCTGACCCCCATTGTTTCCAGCGATGGGGTCAGCTGGGTAGGCCCAGCACAGGGAGTTCCCTCAGGCTGGGACAGTGGTGGTAGGAGACAGGATGCTATCTGGCATGGGAGAGCCCTGGGCCTTGAACAGCCAGTAGAGGGGGACCATGGAGGATGACAGGGCCTCATGTTTGGCATCTTATGGGGGTATGGGGAGGCACCCCACAGAACTGCAAGTCCAGGCTGGATATGGTGATCCTGCCCTAGCCTTGACAAGTTCAAACCTCCGAAAGACTGGCAGACCAGCTCCCTACACTCAGAAGCCTGTCCCTGAAATCTCCCCTCTTTAACTGGGAGTTGGACTGATAGTCAAAGCCTAAGCCTAGTAGAGAATCTGCCTTATAGCAGCCCCTGAGAAGTGCAGGCAGAATGACCACAGTGGGCAGGCTGCAGGTGATGAGAAGATGGGGGCAACAGACAGCAGGGGCAATACTAGTGGGCCGAGCCTTGCTTGCTGAAACAGCAGCCTGAGCTCATTCTCCCATGGTGTCCGCAGGCAGGCCTCAGAGGAGGCACATGAGTTTGGGTTGCTGAGCCTGGCAGTAGGCCAAAGGCGTGGGGACACCTATCTGGCTGCTGTCCATTAAAGCTGGGCCTTTGAGGTCCATGGGGGTCAGGCCATGACCCCACTTAGGATCAGCTGGCGATGCTACAGCTAAGACAGATATTCCAGAACTATCTTGGGTCACACTCTCTCACCTTAGATCAGGCAGGTGGGGCCAATCCTTAGTGAAGTATCCCAGGGCCTTCTGATTCCAAGGGTCACCACCACATGGATCACAACAGATAAATGAGTGCCCTCCCACCCTGCAGGGGGCCTGCAGTGAGGTCTGTGTGAACACACAGCCACCTGCTGGCCACAGTTGGGATGGCCACAGGCTGGGCTCAGACTTACTCTTGGGCTTTGCTGGTCATAGGGGGCCTGCCAGAGTCCTGTGCCAGGCCTACCTATTGAACCCAGGTGGTAGTCTAGACACTGGGTGTCAGAGCCCCCACAGGATGCCACTCTCATGTGCAGGATCTACAAATCATTTTATTGAAATTGAACAAATAACACAACAGTCTTCCTAAGCTAGGGGCCATCCTCCCCAAGCCATTTCCCACATTATAGAAGCACAGAGCTTGCACAGTACTTAAAAAAAAAGTCACCTCTATATAGAAATCAGACTCTGCCACGACATCATCATGGACTATTTACAAACCTTCACATTATAAGTATTCCTTTTATGGTTTTTCCCTCCTTTCTTTCCCTACCCAGGGGTTCTAGTGCTTTCCCTTGACTGATCCTGAAGGGGTGGGGGTTACTGTAAGGGAGGGGGTGGTAGGCTACTCATAACTACTGGCACCAGCCTTAGGGTGTTGTCCCTTACCACAAGGTGGTGAACAGTCCCCTCCCAATTGGAGGGGTGGAGGATTTGGTGCAAAGCCATGGAGATTAGACAGAATAGGTGGGTTGGAGTAACTCCCCATAGGCACAAGCATCCGCAGCCTGTCCTGACCCCAGCCTGCACTCTCTCAACTCCTCAACTGGGGGTTCGGGGTTGGGGGGCAACAGTTAGTTGCAGTAGGGGGATCAGCCCAGCCCTGGGTAGAGGGAGAAGCCCCCACCCAGTCCCCACTCCTATCAATAGCCAGCAAACTGTCCATCCATCTGAAGGCGGGAACAAATGGCAGGTAGGTCGGAAGAATCAGGCTGGCACTGCCCCCAGCCTCTGTCCAACACAGGAGGAATCGAGGTAGCAAACGGCTGAAATGCTCTGACTAGGGGTTAAAAGGGAAGTGAAGGAAAGGAAGTTCCTACTTGTATACAGTGCCCACAGCCTAGGGGCTGGAAGAAAGCATACCTTGCTTGTAAAGTGCTGTAGCCTCTAGCAGGGCTAGGCCCCAGGCAAACTTGGAAGAAAGCAGACCAGGCAAGGAACCAGGTAACGGGCATTCCTGACTGGTATATGCCCTGCTGTGCTGCTTGCAGGGGTGGCTTGGGAGAGTGGGGTGCTAACTCTGCCATTAGCCTTCACCACCCACCAACCACCTCTTGTCCACACACAAACCAACACCCAACCAATACTGTGGGACCGACCCGCTCACAGCTGAAGGTTATGGGCCAACAGAGTTTATTCAGGGTTGTGGCCCCAGCCTGGGCTCCTCAATGGAAGCCACACCTTGATTGAGCCTGGGAGTTTCTTGCCGGGGCAGGGGGTGCTTCTGTCTGCCACCTCCCAGGGTCACACCTCATAGAGGATCACAGGGAAATCCACGTGGATGCGGGGGTGATCCAGCTTCACGATGCCCTGCCATGGAAACAGAGGCTAGTAAGGGTCAGCTCAGGGCCTCTACTTCAGGAAGCTTCCTTGTTCCTCCCAGATCCCCCCGCAAAAGCCCCCACCATGACAACAGATCCCATCTGGGTCCACCTCCACACGCTTAGTGTAGGCTCTGTGACCGCTGCCCAGCCCCTCACCTGAGGAATCAGATTCTTATGCACTCGCCTCAGCTTGGCCCGCTTCTGCCCGTTCTTGGTGACGATTGTCTCCTCATAGAACTCGTGAGCCAGATCCCCATCCTCATCATAGAACATAGAGCTGTGTAGAGGGAGAAGGAAACAGGCTGGGCTGGAGCCCCACACCTGGGCATGGCAAATGTCACAGGTCACGGGGAAGTCTGTGGTCTTCCCAACCCCAAGTGGGAAGAAAAGAGGATAATATGCCTGGAGAATCCTTTTTTTAAAAAAAATTTTTCGAGACAGAATCTCACTCTGTTGCCCAGGCTGGAGGTGCAGTGGCGCGATCTCAGCTTGCTGCAACCTCTGCCTCCTGGGTTCAAGCAATTCTCCTGCCTCAGCCTCCCAAGTAGCTGGGACTACAGACATGCACCACCACACCCTGCTAATTTTTTGTATTTTAGTAGAGACGGGGTTTTGCCATGTTGCTCTGGCTGGTCTCGAACTCCTGAACTCAGGCAATCCACTCGTCTTCATCTCCCAAAGTGTTAGGATTACAGGCGTGAGCCACGGTGCCTGGCCTGCCTGGAGAATCCTTTGCCTGGGGTTTGGGGTCTACTAGAAGAAAGTGGGAAGTGAGGTGATGGGTGGGCAGTGCTACTATGTCAGACCCCCAAGAAGAGAGCCCACACCAGAGCACACCATCCAGGCAGCCACCAAGGCCAGTTCTCATCCTTGATTTGTTCAGCAAGGGCAGCCATTCTAATATCAGGACTTTGCCTTCACCCAGGACTTCTAGAGTGGGCAGGGTGGTGGCCTGGGCATGTTGGTCTCACTCCAGAAGATGCTGCTGGCCCAGTGTCAAAGACTGAAATAGCAGAAGCCTAAGCTAGGAAGAAGCACAAAGGAATGAAGGCTGCGTCTCCCCTGACCCCACACCCCAGGTGGCTGGTGAATTGCCACTGTTGGGTCTTCCTGGTGTCTACAGCCAAATCTCTAGCACAGGGAGCGCCCATCTCCAGGAGCCCACTAGAGCCAAGCCAATCTGGTACTCTTGTGCGGGCCTCTGGGAGACTGGGCTGGGGGTTGGGTGGGTAGGTCAGCGCTCTGGATCTGGAGAACATAACTGGGTGAGGGTCTTTTTTCCTCAGCCTCACCCCCAATACTGAGGCCTATCCCTGCTTTCCCAGCCACTACGCTCAAAGGTTCAGCCCCACTACTGTCAGGAAAAGCAGCCTAAACAGAGGGTTATTATCCCCTTGGAATAACTGGGGGGGAAAGGGAGGCTAGGACCCTTCAGTATGCAGGCTGAGCCGGAAGGGATGAAAGGAAGAGATCTTATGGAGGTCTTATGGAGGCCCTAGCTTAGCTTTACCGTGCGGAAGGTCCGACCAGTGACAAGCCTCAGGCCCACTCTTCCCTAGGGAGACTTTCAGAGTGGCCAGGCCGCCAGGAGACCACTGCCCGGCTTTCTCCACCCCCAGCTCCAATGAGGCTCAAAATATGGGGGTCGTCCTGGCTTGGCTGTAGTGGGGTACAGCGGTGGAAGTTCCCCCGTGGCGCGGGACGCCTGGCCGCCCGCCTGTTCCCCCCGCCAGGGTGGAACCCATGCCCTTACCCGCGGCGCGTGAATACGAAGGGGGGCACAGCTCGGCCCCGAGGCCGCACCAAAGCTTGCTCAGCTCCTGCTGCCTCTGAGCCGCCGCCTCCGGCCGCCGAGGCGAAGGGCCACAGGCCCCGAGCTTTGGACCCGCTGGCGCCCATGTCAGGGCCGCCGGCGCATGGCGGGCCCCGTGGCCGCTCTGCTCACACCGCAGTCCGCACTACCATAACCTGCCCCAGCCGCTGATCGCAGGTGCCGCCGCCGCCGCCTTCCGCAGGCTCGGCTGTCTCCACGGAAACCTCACTTCCGCTTCCGCACGCTGCCACCTCTGATTGGCTGTTGCTCAAGTCGTGGGGGCGGGACCAATGGGCGCCCTTAGATGCTGGGCATCCCAGCATGCGTTGCGAGATCCCAGGTCCCAGCAAGCGCGATCTGACCAGCTGGGACAGCTCCCACCGAGGAAAGTGGTGGCCGTGAGTCCTCCCGGTCTTTTGGGTGTATTTGGCGGCTCTGACGTCCCCCAACACCTGAGTTCAGGCCTAGCAGGACTTCGCAAGCACCAATCCTCAAACCTGCACTTCAGGGCCTAAGGCCAGACCGCCGGGTGCCCATCTGGCTTCTATTTTCACAGCTGTATTTTTGCGATTGCCACGCTTATGTGAACTAACCAAGTTGAAAGAAAATTAAGGAACTGGCCAGATTCACATAGTTACATTCAGTTCTGAAGAACTTCGAATTCAGTGTTTTCAAACCCAGCAGAGTCCATGCTTAATGAAAGCAAGAATTGTTAACAGCTATACCCTCGGTATCACGAGCAGTGTCTGGTCCACGGTGGCAGCTCTGTATTTGGTGAAGGAGTTATGCCACACCTTCTCCCAGAGCGTGGTGTGTGTGTGTTGAAGGGATGGTTTTGTTTTTTTTTTTTTTTGAGATGGAGTTTCACTCTTGTCGCCCAGGATAATGTGCAGTGGCACGATCTCGGCTCACTGCAGCCTCTGCCTCCAGGGTTCAAGCGATTCTCCTGCCTCAGCCTCCCGAGTACTTGGGATTACAGGCATCTGCCACCATGCCGGCTAATTTTTTTGTATTTCTAGTAGAGACGGGGTTTCACCATGTTGGTCAGGCAGTCTTGAACTCCGGACCTCAGGTGATCCACCCGCCTTGGCCTCCCAAAGTGCTGGGATTACAGGCCTGAGCCACTGCGCCCGGCCGTTTTTTTTTTTTTTGAGTTGGAGTCTTGCTCTATCGGAGTGCAGTGGTGTGATCTCCACTCACTGCAACCTCTGCCTGCCGGGTTCAAGCGATTCTCCTGCCTCAGCCTTCTGAGTAGCTGGGACTACAAGCGCCCACCACCACGCCCAGCTAAATTTTTTTTGTATTTTTGGTAGAGATGGGGTTTCGCCATGCTGGCCAGGCTGGCCTCGAACTCCTGGCCTCAAGTGATCTGCCCACCTAGCCCAACCAAAGTGTTGGGATTACAGGTGTGAGCCACTATGCCCAGCCAGTTTCCCTAAGTTCTAACTGCAGTCCATTTTTGTCTCCACCACAACCTGAGCCCCAGGGAGCTGAGTGATGACCAAGTATGTATGCATACTACATCTTCACAAATTGGTCCATGGTGACTTTGCAAGACACCTGGGAGCCTGTCCATCACCCTTGGCAACTTCTGGCACCATGAGGGGCAACTGCAGCTCTGCGCCTATAATAATAAAGAGTCCAGGCTGGGCAGGGTGGCTCACACCTGTAATCCCAACACTTTGGGAGGCCAAGTTGGGAGGATCCTGGGCAACACAGAGAGACTCATGTCTCTACAAAAACTTTATATGTATAAAAGATTCCAACAGCAGGAGGATCTTGAAATCTTTATTGAGCCAATTCTCTCAGGCCCCAGGCCCTGATGATGACTGTCACCCCAACCCCTTTCCCCACAGGAGGCATTCAGCTGAGGCCACCACACATTACATACATTCACGCACTTCATAAAAAACACCTGAGGGAGAGACCCTGGCTTTGATTAGCAAATAAGGTATGAACCTGGGCCAGTGCCCACATTCACACAGACCCTGGCCCAGGGACATCCTCCTCATATGAAGCATTAAGGCACATGCTGTACTGTGAGCCAGCACTCCCTGACCTCAGGGTGTGTGAGGAGTTGGCACTGTAGAGAGAAACCAAGACTCTTCCTCAATGCCTGCCTTATTCTGAGCACCCACCCTTAGCTCTGATAAGGATATCCTGAGACCACATTCAAGATCCAAAACCTTTCCTCATAGATGAGGGCCGTCACCCCTGCAAACATGACCCTGTTCTGTTTGCAGGGTCTCCAAGATTTTCACTTCTGAGACAAAAATTGAGGAGACTTCTGTCTGCACCACTCCTGCTGCAGGCCTGGAGCAGCTTCTCAGGGCAGCCCTGGCCCACTAAGGCCCAGTAATGAGGGCAGAGGGGTGCAGAGCCATACCTGGCTACACCCACAGGTGGACACAGGGAGCAAGCTACTTCGCTGTTCTCTGGGCTCATTCCCCCAGCACAGGAGGGCCTCCATGCACACTCATTCCACAGGCCCCACTGGCCCTGTCACACTCACACGGCACGCACTTGGCGCTGCCTGCTGTCTGCCTTCCACCTGGGGGTACAAGAGGTCACCCAAGGGGGCAGGCGTGCAGGGCCTCTTGGATCTTCTGGCGGCAATAGGAGTACTTCTGCAGGATCTGGCGGAGGTGCTCCTCCTCCTCCCGCTGCAGGATACGTAGGAAGTTATGTAGTTCAGGCATGCTGAAGGCGTCCCACTGCAAGGGGCAAAAGGGGAGTGTACAGGCTGCAGAAGGGATGGCCAAGCCAGCAGACCCTCCCCAGAGAAGACTAGCACCTCATGTTCACACAAGCTAGGACTGGGCTTTCTGATGTCAGGCTCTTGGCTGAATGATCTCTGGTAGGATCCCTGACAGCAGTTTGTATGGAAGATGGGCCCTACAAAACGGTCACCTTACTGAGACAACCAAGTCAGATGTTCCCCAATTACCTGTGGACAGGTCAGGCATATTCTGAGTCTAATTTCACTCCACAGGCCTAATACCTTGGAGCCAGAAAGCTTCCAGGTAAAAAGTCTGAAGGGGGCCTCCTCATGTCATTAGATGGACTCCTGCATCTCCAGAAGATTTTCCACACCAGGAAAGATCAAAGCACCAAGGCAATTCTTCCTGGCTTCTTGGGACAACCCTAGGCTTTGGCATGAGTGGTCTGGAAGCCTTTGCTTTAGTTACAATGCCTATACACTCCTGGAACTGTTTTGCAGGGCTTGTCTTCCAGCACAATTCCTCCTCCAAGCCTTACTGTAGCTACAGCCCATCAGTCCTGTCTAGTGACAACCAAGAAACTAAGAACTATGTACTCACGTTCACCTCCCCAGAGTCATTTTCCTTCAGGACAAAGCTCAGGGCCTTGTCACTGGGCCCTGCCAGGAGCCGCAGCCGCAGGGGCTGCTCATCATCCAACAGCTTCCGCAAGTACACTGTGAAGGGGAAGTAATGATCAGAGACAGGGCCAGCTGCTCAGCCCCTGCATGCTCAGGTGCATGCGTATATACCCTCACATAGGGCAGGGTGGGGTGGGAAGCCCACCTTGGCCGTGACGCTCAGCGCGCTCAAAGAGTGCAAACTTGCGGGGGTCATCCACCACCAAGAACTTTCGCAGCAGGGCCTCAATGACTTCACGTGCCCTTGTGCGTGACAGCACATGCAGGTGCTTGACAGCATCCTTGGGCAGGTAAAAGGAAGTGCGGCGCCTGACACTTGTGCCCCGTCCTGGGCCCCGCCGGGCATCCTGCAAGGAGGGTGGCTTCTTGCTGGAGGGCACAGAGACAGGGCGCACCAGCTTCAGCTGAACCTTGATGAAGCCTGTGTAAGAACCGTCCTTGTTCTAAAGAAATAGAGAAACCAAACCTTGATAATAGGTTCCAGGTGAGATGTCAGTCTACTTGGGGCTAGGCTGGGTATGCACAAATTACTGCTTGCGCCCACCCAAGATAACCTCAGTTGTGACCCTCTGAGTATCAGGCACATAGCTGGGTACCTGCTCCTCCCCACGCCCCCTTCCTGAGCAGTCAACTCACCAAGCTCATGAAGAGGTTGCTGTTGATCTGGGCATTGTACTCCTTGATCTTCTGCTCAATCTCAGCTTGAGAAAGGTCAGGTGTCTCCCACTCCACAGGCTCGTCCTGCAAGATGGGCCAGCATGGACACAGGGCCCTTGAGGAACCCAGGGCTTCTCTGAAAAATGGCCTCTGGGGCAGTCTTTGGAAACTGACTGCCTTTGGCCCCCTGTCCCTGATGTACATATACATAGCTGGTGCCCACCCTGAACCCACCACTGCTCCTGGTTTTGCATGCTCTGGGTGGATAAGGGAAAGACAGAATCATTTGGCTTCTCTCTGCTGCCTGCCTAGGGCCTCAGCACTGAATGTAGCCTTAAGGATACCACAGAAGCAGGGGCAACTGAAGGCACATGGCCAGGGGCCAGGAACAGCTGAGGGACTCTGAAGAGGGACTCTCATTTAAAGTAAAATCAGGCTGGGTGTGGTGGCTCACATCTGCAATCCCAGCATTTTGGGAGGCTAAGGTAGGAGGATCACTTGATCCTCAGGAGTTTGAGACCAGCTTGGGCAACATAGCAAGACCTCATCTCTACTAAAAAAAGAAAAAAAAAAATTAGCCAGGTGTGGTGGTGTGCCTGTAGTCCCAACTGTTCAGGAGGCTGAGGTGGGAGGATCGTTTGAGCCCGGGAGATTGCAGCTACAGTAAGCTATTATCGTGTCACTGCACTCCAGCCTGGGGAACTGAGTGAGACCCTGCTTCAAAACACAAAAAACAAAAACAGGCTGGGCACGTTGGCTCACGCCTGTAATTCTAGCACTTTGGGAGGCCGAGGCGGGTGGATCACCTGAGGTCAGGAGTTTGAGACCAGCCTGACCAACATGGAGAAACCCCGTCTCTACTAAAAATACAAAATTAGCCAGGCGTGGTGGCACATGCCTGTAATCCCAGCTACTTAGGAGGCTGAGGCAGGAGAATTGCTCAAACTCGGGAGGTGGAGGTTGCAGTGAACTGAGATCGTGCCATCGCACTCCAGCCTGGGCAACAAGAGCGAAACTCGGTCTCAAAAAAAAAAAAAATCAGTAAAATCACACCTCAATTGCACATTCTGATCACAGCACCCTAGTTGAGTTGGAGTGAGGGTTTGTCCTGGAGAAGGCAGCCCATTTTTCTCCTCTGCCCCGGCACGGGGCCATGACCCACTGCAGGGTGAGAGGAGTGGAGAGTGGTGCACATCAGTAGTCCAGCCACCAGTGGACAGAGTAGTACTTGGAGCCAGTTCTCCATGTCTCACACATAGTGAGAAAAATCACTGTGACATGATGTTTAACCTTGACCCAAGCTGCATAAAAGGCAGCTTTAGGCCAGGCTCCAATCTGCCAGAGGTACACAGGCAGCTTCCTGGTGGGTTTCTGCACCTGCCTGTGCTGTCTGGAGATTTGGCCCAAAGATTTTTTTTTTTTTTGAGACGAAGCCTCACTCTGTCGCCCAGGCTGTAGTGCAGTGGCTGGATCTTGGCTCACTGCAAGTTCTGCCTCCTGGGTTCAAGCGATTCTCCTGCCTCAGACTCCCGAGTAGCTGGGACTACAGGCGCGTGCCACAACAACACCCGGCTAATTTTTGTATTTTTAGTAGAGATGGGATTTCACCACATTGGCCAGGTTGGTCTTGAACTCCTGACCTCAAGTGATCCGCCTGCCTTCACCTCCCAAAGTGCTGGGATTACAGGCGTGAACCATCGTACCCGACCCAGAGATTTTTAACTCGACCACTCACTCCCCACCTCATCTAGGGACTGGATTCTTGCCGGAAGGGTGGAGTGTGGGACAGGGCAGCCAGGGCTCTGAACCGACTTTCTTCTCCCAGACTCCCTTGGCCCCACTGCATCAGCCTTACTTCCTGTTGACGTCAGATAGGCCCTAGTTAGAATGCGAGTGTCACAGACACAGCTAAGCTCAGCGCTGACCAATACTTTGTCCCAGAAGAATTCCCACAAGGTTTCCTGTAGAATGATCTTGTGCCTAGCCCAGGAGAGCCAGGGTTCTCCCTGACTCCGCCCTGGAGTCCCCTTAAGCACTTAAACCATCTGATGGGGACAAATGGAGAGGACAGATGAGGGAGCAGGGTGGAGCGTTTTAGCAGAATGCTCCTTACCCAGAACCCGCTGCTATTCTGCAGCCAGCAAGGATGTGGGGCTAAGAACTAAGGCCAGGGCCTTACAGGAAAAAGGTAAAGGGGGAGGGGTGGGAATTTAAGCTCATTTTCTTCCCCAAGTATCCAAAGGTCTCCTGGATGGAGAAGAGCACTGGAGTAAAAACCCCAGTACAAACCTTACTGGGGACAGTGGGCAACCTTGTCGGGTTAGTAAAAACAAATGGTGTGGGCCCTGGAAAATGAGGGCTGGAGGCTGTGAATAAAGCAGTGGATGTGTTTGTTCAGTACACCAACGGGAAGAAGTACCCAGATGGGAGGAGTACTAGGGGCAGGAGAAATGCCAGACAGACTCTAGTGCCAGGGCAAGAAGGAAGATCATTTTGTTTGCAGAACAGGGAGGGCACAGGGATGGTGCTAACTTGTTCTTGTGATGGCTCTGAGCTCCTACCTAACAATGAGAAAGCTTGCTCCTTCTTCCCTTCCTGGATGACCCAGGAGCCCTGGGCTGGGATGCAGTGACCTCATTTCCAGCCCCTTCCCTTCTGGTGATGAACCTCCCTATCTTCACTCAGAAAACAGACTTGGATTAGAGGCACTGCACAGCCCTTCCAGGATTCTAAAGGAGGAAGAGTTTCTTTTTCTGTTTCCAAAGCTGCCTGCTGGAAGAGGATTTCAACAGCCATCCCAGTCGGATGCACAGCAGGACCATGGAATTTCCCTTCTGCACCATAGGGACCCACCCTCCACTCTACCACTGTCCATAAAAACTGATGGTTTTTTTTTTGAGACAGAGTCTCGCTCTGTTTTCCAGGCTGGAGTGCAGTGGTGCGATCTTGGCTCATTGCAATCTCTGCCTCCTGGGTTCAAGCAATTCTCTGCTTCAGCCTCCCAAGTAGCTGGGATTACAGGTGCCTGCCACCACAACTGGCTAATTTTTTGTATTTTTAGTCGAGACGGGGTTTCACCATTTTGGCCAGGCTGGTCTTGAACTCCTGACCTCATGATCCACCCACCTCGGCTTTCCAAAGTGCTGGGATTAAAGGTGTGAGCCACTGCACCTGGCCTAAAACTGATGTTTTTTTCTTTTTTTTTAACATATAACTTGGGACTTCTCAGCCTCCTATTCTTTCTTTTTTTTTTTTTTTTTTTTTGAGACAGAGTCTTGCTCTCTCATCCAGGCTGGAATGCAGTGGCCCAGTCTCGACTCACTGCAACCTCTGTCTTCTGGGTTCAAGTGATACTCCTGCCTCAGCCTCCCCAGTAGCTGGGATTACAGGCACACACCACCATGGCCAGATAATTTTTTTGTATTTTCAGTACAGACGGGGTTTTGCTATGTTGGCCTGGCAGGTCTCGAACTCTTGGCCTCAAGTGATCTGCCTGCCTTGGCCTCCCAAAATGCTGAGATTACAGGCATGAGTCACCAAGCCCAGCCTTCTTTCTTTTTTTTGAGACAGAGCCTCACCCTGTCACCCAGGTTGGAGTGCAGTGGCACGATCTTGGCTCACTGCAACCTTTGCCTCCCGGTTGAAGTGATTCAGTCTCCCAAGTAGCTGGGACTACAGTCACACACCACCATGCCCGGCTAATTTTTGTATGTTTAGTAGAGATAGGGTTTCACCATGTTGGCCAGGCTGACCTCGAATTCCTGATTGCAAATGATCCACCTGCCTTGGCCTCCCAAAGCATTGGCATTAGAGGTGTGAGCCACCGTACTTGGCTTCCTTTTCTATTTTTGAGACAGAGTCTCACTCTGTCACTCAGGCTGGAGTGCAGTGGCACGATCTTGGCTCACTGCAACCTCTGCCTCCCAGGTTCAAGTGATCCTTCTGCCTCACCCTCCCAAGTAGCTGGGATTACAGGTGTGCACCTCCGTGGCTAGCCCTCCTTTTCAATTGGTTAGTGTCTTGTGGTTTTCCCACCTTTCCACAGTGGAAAATGGCTCAGGACTGACTGACATGAAGACAAGCCCAGGGGTCTACACTCAACTCAACCCTTGCACCCAAGCTCTGGGCTAAGATTTTGGCGTGCTGAGCACCACCCATTTTGTAAGGAATTTTGTAAAATTTTATCTGAAGCATCACTCACAACTCCACTTTCTTTACTTAAATAAGGATTTCCGCCCCATTTCTGCCAGGCATACTGAGCTTCACAGTCCCTGTTTCTTTTTCCTGGTGCCTAGGCCTGGTTCTCTGAGCCTGGTGGTCACACCAATGGCATCTGGCACACAGTTCTCCGATAATGGGGATACCTAGGAGGTTCCGAGACACCTTACAGTCCTGGGTTAGTAACCTGGATCTCTTTTTCCACCTCTTTAGGCATTTTATAATCTAGCTTTCCCCCTTCCTGTGGGTAAAGTGCTCCTGAATGCTTATGGTCCAAAACAAGACTTCTTTCCTATCTATTCCCAAATCTTTCTCCAGATCCACCCTAGAGGAAGGGAACAGAATCTTCCACATTCCAGCAGCTGGTGACAGGCCAGAACAGGGAAGAGGTGAGGGCTCAGCTGGCTCCATACAGGAGTGCAGATGGAGGAGCAGGATCTCTCTCTGCCTCTCAAGTTTTCCTAAACATACTTCTCAATTCCTGGCGAGGACTCTTCCCTCTCCACATCCTCCCCTAGTCTCCCCAAGGAGGGAGCAGGAGCATTCGAACGCGGAAATCGAGGTGCTAGTCCAAACTGCTCGGTCGGCTTTAGTCATAGCTGGATAATGCCCGGCTCAGGTCTACCACAAGCCATACAGCTGCTTTTTCCGTGTTCAACCTGTCTGTGACAGAAACCAAGGGGGCCCCGGCACCCAGCATCTAGGCGGTGGAATCGGGGTCTTACGCACGGTTCCGCGGGCAGGTCCCCGGCCAGGACCCGCGGGGAGCCACGTAGCCAGGAGGGTGGGGCTGCCCACCGACCCAGGACGCGGCAACGGACCGGGGAGGGCGGAGCTCCAGCGACCGCTTCCCCTCCCGCCCGCCGGCACCCCCTGGCTCCCACCTGGTCCCGGCGCGGCCTGCGAGCTAGCGAGGTTCGCGCGGTGAAGTACTGCTCGAGCTCCGAGTCCGAGTCCTCTTGGCTGCAGTAGCCACTGCTCGTCGTGCTGCTCCAGGTCATTTCGAAAGAAGGCGCCTCCGCCTCGCCCATAGCCGTACCCGCCCGTCCCCCAGTCCTGCGCGTCCGTAGCCGCCAACCACCGCCCCGGTCGCGTGCGTGCGTGTACGCGTGTCAGTGTGCGCGTGCGCCCGGGCCAGAGCCGCGCCGCAACCGTTAAGACTGAAACGTAGATCGCCGGGATCTAGCTCTTGTCTCATTGGGGCAGGAACGCCGGGGCGGGGACACGCACGCTTCGCCCCCAGGAATGACCTCATCGCTCCGGAGCTCCACTCACAGACCCCACCTACCACAGGGAACGGGGGCGGGTGCCAGCGTCCGGGCAAGCGCACAAGAGTGGCCTCTGGCCGGAGGCGAGGGCGGGAAGGTGCGGGAAGTGCGCGTGCGCGGAGCCTGGGTCAGCCTGGGCCCGGGTCCGCTTGCAGCGGGTGGAGTACTTGCGGAGCCGGCAATCCAGGCTCCCCTCCCAGCCCCCGCGCAGAATTAGCCTCTCTGTGCCGCCGGGAAATCGGCAATTAGAACGCTCCTTGCGCGCGGCACCCAGGCAGCCCTCGAGAATGCCTGCACTGTGGCCTGCCCATCCTCGCCCTTCCCATACGCCCTCGGCCCCGCGCTCACCACGTTCGTGTCCCGCTCCACCGCGGGTTCCCAGCCCAGGTCCCGGGGCCCGCAACAGTCCAGGCAGACGAGCGCGCGGCAGCGGTAGTGGCAGGTGAACTTGCAATCTGCAGAGAGGCCTGGCGGTGAGGCGGAGGAGCTCCAGGTCGGGGAAATGTCCCGGAGATTGAAGGGAAGCCCCAGGGAGAGGGCCGCTGCTCGCCAGGCTCCGCAGGCCCGACCTATCTCAGTGGGTTACCTCACACTGCTACGCGGACTCTAATGTTGGCCACCTGGGCGTCTGGAAACCGGCCGGAAGGCCACAGGCAGAGAGGCCTGCTCAACAGTTGGATCTCTATCGCCTAGCACAGAACTTCCCCTTTCCTCATTGGCAATTAAAAAAACAACAACAAAAAACTGCGTCTTGCTTTTGTCACCCAGGCTGGAGTGCAATGGCGCGATTTCGGCTCACCGCAACCTCCGCCTCCTGGGTTCAAGCGATTCTTCTGCCTCAGCCTCCTGAGTACCTAGGATTACAGGCGCCCGCCACCATGCCCAGCTAATTTTTGTATTTTTAGTAGAGACGGGGTTTCACCATGTTAGCCAGGCTGGTCTCAAACTCCTGATCTCAGGTGATCCACCCGCCTCGGCCTTCCAAAGTGCTGGGACTACAGGCTTGAGCCACCGCACCCGGCCCTTCACTGGGAACGTATATGGAATACATCTGCCCATTTACTTGAAGGAAAAACTAAACACCTTTAACCTACGTCTGCCCTGTGGTTGTCACCTGTCTCTACTCCCCTCAGACCAAGACACTGGTCTCTATACACTCTAATCCTTCGCCTTCACTCTCCCCTCTACCCACTCCAGCCAGGCTTGCCTCTTCCTCCAGGAAACTGCCCGGGACAGGGTCCTCAGCGATCTGTGTACTACCAAATGGAATCCAGTGTTCCATTCTCCATTCTCACCCCCTCAGCATCATTTGAAGCTTGCTCCCTTTGACTCCCAGGGGCTACACTCTCCCAGTTTTCCTCCTACCCCCTGCAGCTCCTGCTCAGCTCCTTTGCAGATTCTGACTCAACTTCCATATCTCACGATGAAGTCTGGGCTCAGTCCTGATCACTGGCCTGGTCTGTCTACATTCATCTGCCCCAGATCCACGGCTGAAACACTGACCTAAACCCTCAGACTAGATCCTCCGTGCCAGTACCTTCACTAGGATGTCTAAAAGACGTTTCAAGTGAACATGGCCAAAATTTAATTCCCTTTTCTTCAGCCTCACTGCTACACTTGCCCAGCTTCCTCTTTGCAGCAAAAATGGCCACTAGGCTCCCAGTTACTGGAGACAAAAGCCCAAACTTATCTTTGATTTCTCCCTTGTCTCTACCTCTGATAAACATGCCCAAATCATCCTGCTTCTTATCTCCATGGCTACTTTATTTCTCTTTGAGAACGCTGCAATGTCCCAGCCTTGTTCTTTTTTTTTTTTTTTTTTTTTTTGAGACAGAGTCTCACTCTGTCGCCAAGGCTGGAGGGCAGTGGCACGATCTCGGCTCACTGCAACCTCCGCCTCCTGTGTTCAAGCAATTCTCCCACCTCAGCCTCCCGAGTAGCTGGGATTACAGGCACCCGCCACTACGCCTGGCTCATTTTTTTTTATTTTTTAGTAGACATGAGGTTTCACCATGTTGGCCAGGCTGGTCTTGAACTCCTGACCTCAGGTGATCCACCCGCCTCCGCCTTCCGAAGTGCTGGGATTACAGGCATGAGCCACCGCGCTCGGCCCCTTGTTCATTCTTTGCATTCTGTCACAACTTTGTGCTCCCCCCAGCTGAATTTGTGATGTCCTCTTGTACCGGATGAGAGGGTCTCCATGCACACACAGACCTGGGACACTATCCATCCACAAGTTCCTAAATAGGCCAGAGCAGTGATGCTCAACCCAGACTCCATGTTACAATAATTTGGGGAGTTTTTAAAATTTACTGATGCCTAGGGTCCACTCCCAGCAGTTGATTCAACAGGTCTGCGGTGGGATCCAGGCTAGCGGGGAGGACTGTAAAAGCACCCCTGGTGATTCCAGCTGGTGTCTACCCAGGGGAGAGCAACCTTTGCTTGCTGGCGATTCCCAGGGGTGCAGAAGGACTGCTGGGTGTGTGGCTGCGTGCATATTTTAGCATCTGATTCACTGGGTCAGAAAAGGGTGTTTGCTAAATAAAGACTCAACAAAACTCCTGCTTGCAGGGGGCCCACCAAAGGTTCTAAATTTTTCCAGGCTCCCTCCCATAGGTGGTAATTTCCCTTCACCCTAAAGGTTCTGGAGGGGGTCATGAGTGTTTGAGAAGAGGCAAGCCTGGGAAGATGGACTCCGAGGACAGTAGGCACAAACCCTTTCTCAAGAAGGGCCAAGGCATTTTAAAGATAAGAAACTTAAAATCAGCGTATTTTTACATATAAGCAGCCACCTCTGCTCATCTGTGGCCCAGATACGAGTGGAGTGCGACAAGGGATAAACCATTTTCGCGCACTCTTCAGCGATGGGGCGAAAGTAACGGACCTAGTCCTCGGGAGCTGTCCCCGCCGACCCCCTCTGCCGCGACTTGACCCGCGGCGACTGCGCTGCCCCTTGGCTGCCCCTTCCGCTCTCGTAGGCGCGCGGGGCCACTACTCACGCGCGCACTGCAGGCCTTTGCGCACGACGCCCCAGATGAAGTCGCCACAGAGGTCGCACCACGTGTGCGTGGCGGGCCCCGCGGGCTGGAAGCGGTGGCCACGGCCAGGGACCAGCTGCCGTGTGGGGTTGCACGCGGTGCCCCGCGCGATGCGCAGCGCGTTGGCACGCTCCAGCCGGGTGCGGCCCTTCCCAGCGCGCCCAGCGGGTGCCAGCTCCCGCAGCTCAATGAGCTCAGGCTCCCCCGACATGGCCCGGTTGGGCCCGTGCTTCGCTGGCTTTGGGCGCTAGCAAGCGCGGGCCGGGCGGGGCCACAGGGCGGGCCCCGACTTCAGCGCCTCCCCCAGGATCCAGACTGGGCGGCGGGAAGGAGCTGAGGAGAGCCGCGCAATGGAAACCTGGGTGCAGGGACTGTGGGGCCCGAAGGCGGGGCTGGGCGCGCTCTCGCAGAGCCCCCCCCGCCTTGCCCTTCCTTCCCTCCTTCGTCCCCTCCTCACACCCCACCCCGGACGGCCACAACGACGGCGACCGCAAAGCACCACGCGGAGATACCCGTGTTTCTGGAGGCCAGCTTTACTGTGCTAGAGGAAGAGGGTCCCCACATCCGGCCCTGGCCCTCCTGGTCCGGTTTGCTGAAGCAACACACTTGGCCTACCCACTGGGTGGGGCAGGAAGTCTCGAGCCTTCACTTGGGGTGAGGAGGAGGGAGATCGGTCAGCAGCTTTACCGCCCGCTCTGCTCTCCACTGCGGAGACTGGGGCTCCGGCAGAGGCTGGACCGTGATCTTGAGGTTCAGGGGTGCATTCTGGGTGGATTCCCTTGGCATGGGTGGTCGGCCCTCAGCAACTGCAGCCCTCATTTGGCTCTGTCACCCTGGGCTGCCAGGACACAAGTCTTTCCATGCTTTTCCCAGTGCTTGACTTGGCACTCCCTGCAGGCAGGTGGGTATTGAGGATGGCAATGCATGTGGGGGATGTGGGAGTAGGGCTTAGAGGTCCAAGGTTCTAGGATACCCTCACCTGCAGCAATACCACTCATTCTGGCATCGTGAGCAGCGCTTAGAAGCCTCTGCACTGCAGTAAGCACAGCGGGGCCGCTCTGGAGCCACTGCCTCTAGCACATCCAGCCTGTAGGTCTCAGCCCACCTGGGGGAAAGTCAGGAAGGTCTGACTGGCCCTGGAAGGTGGGGGCACCCCACCCACATCCATGCCTCCTGCATCCCCTCCACCCTCCCTGCCATTTCCACAGGCCTTACCTTCGCGCCTGCAGCCGCAGGTCCTGCTCTGAGGGGCTGAACACATGCTGGAGCTGGTGCTTGGCAATTGCCTGCCACTTGCCTCTGTTTTCTCGCTCCAGCCGCTCCCAGATTTCTGGGATCTAGGAGAGAGAAGTGGAGAGTGGCAGGAAGGTGCTGGTAAAGTGGGACAGTGGTCCTGAGCAGCTAACTTTCCAGTGCCTACCTGTTCCAACACCAGGTCCTTCTTAGGAGGCTGGGTTTCAGTTAGGGTCAGATGGGCCAGGAAACTCTGCAAGTGGGCCAGGTTGGGCAGCTGGTCCAGCAGTGTGTCTGTGAGGAAGGCCCGAAGCTGCAAGGGTGTCCAGTGGAGGCCAGTGTGATGCAGGTGCTGGCCAGGGGGCCAAGGAAAAGGAAGGGGCTGGGTTGGGCTGAGAATGCCTGTGGGGGCCCATGTCCCACTAGCTGGTGTGTCACCTGAGGCCCAAGGACTGAAAAGAGCACTGGGGTTGAGGTGGGTGGGCAAAGATAAACAGCAGGGACGCAGTCGGGGTAGGATGGGGAGGGCGGTACTGGGGCTGTGGGGGCTGGTGCGGAGGGAGTCTGACCTTGAGTAGCCGTCCCTTGGCAAAACTTGTGAGGCAGTAGCGCGCCTGAGCCTCAGGGCTTAGCAGCAGGTTGTACAGGGCGATCCACACTTGCCCGTCCAACTTGCTCAGCTTTTGCTGCTCTGAGGGGGCCACAGTATGCCAACGGCTGCCCTCGAACTGCTGCAGCTTGCCTGGGGAGAGGAACCAGCACACTGGGTGCAGACGTTGAATTCTCTTCAAGTGAGCCAGCTGTGGGGGCTGGGAGACTGACCACTGCCTGGGAATGGGAGAACCTGGGCTGCAGGACTTGCCCAGGCTATAGGGCTGCTGACCCCAGAGCAGGGTGAGCCTCAGTAGTGGACACATGGGCCTGGCCTGCTGCAGAGCTCAGGTCTAGGCCAACCTTGGCTGAGGCATCCTGGTATCCTCAGTGGGCTTGGGGACAGGGTTTGTCTTCGTGTGTGCAAGCTGCCCCCCTCTATCAAAAAGATACCCTGAAGCAGTAGCCTGGGGCTTAGGCTGGTGGGGGAGGACCCTACCTCCTTCCCGCCGGCTCCAGGGACTATGCTCCAGCAGTTCCACCAGGAGGCAGGGCAGGTTGTGTGTGCTAAGCATACGGCTCAAGGTGCTGAGAGAGAGGCTAGGGGCAGGGACGTTGTGAAGGAGGTGAGTAGAGGCAGGCTACAGGCCCGGTCTTCCAGCCCTCCACAGTAGGCCCAGGCCCAGTCGGACTGCTCACCTGTCCACACAGTCTGTGATGTAGCGTAGTACTGAGAGGGCCTTCAGTGCAATCTCAAATTCCATCAGCTCTGCCTGCTTCTGCAGCTCCTGGGAGGTCACACAGTGTTCACGCTGGGCCACCCTCACCTGCGCAGGCCTTGGGGAACCCAGACCTAGGCTTTCACAACCCTAGGTAACCTCAACCCACCTGCATGGGGTTGCTGTCCTGGGATCCCTCCCCCTCAGGGGGGCCACCACAGCCACTCTGGGCCACCAGCAGGGTCAGTTTGCGGTGGCAATAGTCTACCAAGTCCAAGACAGTGTCTTCTGCTGACTCACACACCTCCTGGGAAAAGGAGGAGGGAAACTTTCTGTGTCTGATGCCTTCCCCACACAGACACAATCTCCCTTCCTGCCAGGCCCTGACCCGGAACTGTGGCCCATGGGCAGAGATAGTCCCTCACCTTGTGGAAGAACACTGTCTCCAAGAGGTTGATGATGGAGGCCTCGTGGTGCACCTGTCAGATAAAGAGAAGGACAGGGCCTGAGGAAGGGATAGGGGCTACCAGCTCTCCTCCCCGGTCCAGAGCCCTCTGAAGGAGTGAGAAGAGGTATGAACCAGGGGCCCAGCTCACCACCATGTAGATGGGGAAGGTGTTCTGGGGCTTGAAGTCCTCCACCCTGCAGAACACAGGGAACACCTTCTGCTTCCACATCTCCACTGCGATCAGCTCCTCCACCAGTGTTGGGACCTTTGAAGGGTAGGGTAAAGGACAGGGATGAGATGGGCCTACCTTTGCCTGGCAACCCTCCCATCCCCGGCTCAGCTCAACCCTGATATCCCCAAACACTGCTGGGCCCCTAAACTATTCCAGACCCATGAGTATCCTTCCTGACTTCTCTCTTGCACCTTGGACCTTCATTACCAGCTGCTCCCAACACCTCTGTGGATGTCCCTCATGCTTATGTGACTGGCTCCTGCCCAGTTCCCAGACTGCCTTGCCCTGCCTGCACCTGCACCCTTATCCTCTGCCCGCCCATTCAGGCATCCCTTTCAAGCCAGCCCTTCTCCTCATGCCCTCCCTCTAGTCCCTGTCTGTGGTCCTCCAAAGCTCTTGTGTGCCTTGGCCTCACTCCTACTCAGGACCCTTCACAGTGCCCTGTTCCTATCCTATCCCCTAGTATGAGTTCCATCTTTCTTTTGCAAAGGACCTTTCTTTTTTTTTTTTTTTTTTTTGAGACGGAGTTTCACTCTTGTCACCCAGGCTGGAGTGCAGTGGCATGATCTTGGCTCTCTGTAACCTCTGCCTCCCAGGTTCAAGCGATTCTCCTGCCTCAGCCTCCCGAGTAGCTGGGATTACAGGTGTGCACCACCATGCTCTGCAAATTTTTGTATTTTTAGTAGAGGTGGGGTTTCACCATGTTGGCCAGGCTGGCCTTGAACTCCTGACCTCAGATGATCCACCCGTCTTGGCCTCCCAAAATGCTGGGATAACAGGCATGAGCTACCATGCCCGGCTTTTTTTTTTTTTTTTTTGGTCAATTGATATCTCAGGTCATCTGCTGGTGACACTCCCTGGTCCATGTTCCAGCCAGGCATCTCCCTGGTTTCTAACTTCCCCCTTTCATGTTGGGAAGGCTGCTTCCTTCCATGCCGAAGTTCCACCTCCAGTTAGGTTATCTCCCCTCCCTCCCGCCCTCCCCAACCCCTCCCCACCCCTTCCCCACCACCAGCCTTACAGTCAATTCACAGATGCCTTTAGCATTTGGGCCTTCCCCTTGAAGCCTAAGCTGTTCTAGGACCTACAGCTTTCTCCCTAATCAACTCATGCCCTGCACCCAGCCTGGTGTGCCAGAGTCCTGTCCAATAGGGATACAAAATGAAACATGTAACACATTCCTCTTTGTCCTTCAGGGAGAACAGGTGTACCAGGCCAGAGGGGAAGGGCACACAGGGGACTCCGGAGGGGTAGAGTAGGTGAGGTATGGGGGAAGGCAGGAACCCTGCCTGTGACCTCGGGGTACCTTCCCATGGGTGACCAGCAGCTCCTGAATGGGCTCGCCCTGGCTGACTGTGGCATCGAGGATGGCTTGCATGTTCAGCTTCTCCAGGTTCTCATGCTGCTGGTTCCACCTGCCTCAGAGGGTAAGTGCATGTGCGTCCACGTGTGTGCATTAGGAGTGGGGATGGGGGCTGGATCCTACTGAAGCCTAACCTGATCCTGAGGGGACACAGGGGGCTCAGGAGCAGTAATACTCCTGTCTCGGAACGCTCTGCTCCCCCATTTGGGAGCCCCTCCACACTGGGCAGCCCCTCCCCCGAGTCAGGCCCCAGCTCCCCGACTCAAGGACAATGACTCCGGGACTCCGCCTGACCCGGGTGCCTCACCCTTCGGAGCCCATCTCGCGTAGCGGGAAGCTGCGCAGACCCCGCACCAGCACTTCAGCTTCCCCGGGCAGCAGCAGTTCCAGGTCTCCCATATCGAGGCCGGGGTCCGGCGGATCCTGGGCAGCAGCCGGGGTGGGGATGCTGTCACATTCGGGGACGACGGACCCCGACGGTGCCAAAGTCTGGGACAGGACAGTTGCGGGACGGTTGGGGAGCGTCAGTTCTCGCAGCCATGGAAACGGGTTAGCCGCGCCTGCGCAGTGCGGCCTGGGCCCCGCCCCTGGAGGTGGCTCGCGCCTAAATCCGGGCGGGTCTCTAGCCCGCCTCGCCTACGCGACTGCCAATCGCCATAGTATTTGGATTCCCAGCGCTTTCTCGGGCTGTGGCCCACGAGTCTCTCCTGAGCTCCAGATCCTTGTGGTCTGGACTCTGTCCTCAGACGCCAAGTCCGCCTGCACAGGGATGGGGGTAACCCCGACCCCAACAGCCCCTCCTGCGGCTGTGGCATCTTGACCTACCCGCTGCTCTTCCTCCTCCTTATGGCTTCTTGGTTCCTCTATTTCTCGCGTCCCGGCTCCACTAGTTGGCTCCTGAAATACTGCCAGGGCGCACGACTTCTCTCCATCCTCCCTATGTCCAGACTGTCATCACCTGTCATGGGTGAACTGCGGCAGCCTTTTCTGTAGACCTACTTCCACGCTTGATCCTCATGGACAGCCCGGAGCCTTAAAAGTGTATATCAGGCCGGGCGCGGTGGCTGACACCTGTAATCTCAGCACTTTGGGAGGCCGAGGCAGGCGGATCACTTGAGGTCAGGAGTTTGAGACCAGCCTGGGCAACATGGTGAAACCCTGTCTCTACTAAAAGTACAAAAATTAGACAGGTGTGGTAGCACACACCTGTAGTCCCAGCTACATGGGAGACTGAGGCAGGAGAATCGCTTGAGCACAGGAGGTGGAGTTTGCAGTGAGGCAAGATTGCACCACCGCACTCCAGCCTGGACAACAAAGGGAGACCGTCTCAAAAAAAAAAAAAAAGCATATAGACATTACTCCCTTGCGTGAGAGGGGCTCTGTGGCTACTTCTGGCCCTCAAAATGTTAGGTGGGATGCCGCTTACTAGCAGCTCTGCAAGATCTACTTCTTGTCCTCTCCTGTACCTCGGGACTTGGATTCTTTCCTCTCCTCCTTGCTTCCCTGAACCTCCCTCATACATTCCAAAGAGGTTTTTGCCTCAGAGTTTTGCACTTTGCCTGGAATACTTTTCCTTCAGGGCTCAGTTTACACCTCAGCATGGCCTTTCTTGGCCATTTAATCCAGAGCAGTCCCTGCCTCCAACCCAACTCACTCTTGATCACATCTTTTTTTGAAATTGAGTCTCCTGTCACCTAGGCTGGAGTGCAGTGGCATGATCTTGGCTCACTGCAACCTCTGCCTCCCAGGTTCAAGTGATTCTCCTGCCTCAGCTTCCTGAGTAGCTGGGATTACAGGTGTGCACCACCACACCTGGCTAATTTTTTGTATTTTTTTTTAGTGGAGATGGGGTTTCACTATGTTGGCCAGGCTGTTTTTGAACATCTGACCTCAGGTGATCTGCCCGCTTCAGCCTCCCAAAGTGCTGGGATTATAGGCATGAGCCACCGCGCCTGGCTACATCTGCTTCTTTCTAGGTTTATTTATTATTATTATTATTATTGAGATGGGGTCTTGCTCTGTCACCCAGGCTGGGGTGCAGTGATGGGATCACAGCTAAATGTAGCCTCCAACTCGTGGCCTCAAATGATCCCCCCACTTCAGCCTCCTGAGTAGCTGGGGCTACAGGTGAGTCACCGCATCAGGACGATTTTTTTTTTTTTTTTTTTTTTTTTTTGTAATTAACCGGCACTTTTATTTGTCGATTGTCGGTCCTGCCCACCAGATGGCGATCTAGCCCACGGCTCGTGGCTATTTCATTCACTGCTGGGTCTCCCACGGCTGGCCCAGAAACAGCACTCAATAAAGGCTGTTTGAAATGGATGTCTTTATTTACAGAACTAAGAGTCAACCTCTAGACAGTATGACAAGCCTCCTAGTAGGAGGGACTACCCACAGCAATGTGTCCATCCAGTCACTACCAGCCTCACTTCCAGCAGATGATGATGTTGGGGTCATTTTCAAGCCGCTCATCCAGCTCATGGTAGCTCATGCCTGGGTGGGGTGGTGGAGGAGAGGTCAGTGGCCTTGGCCTGGCCACCCTGCCCTGAACCCACCCTGACTGCCCGCCTGCCTCCACCTGTCTTGCAGCAGATCTCGTCATAGCTGTGGCAGCCTGTATAAAGCCGGGCAGGGTGGCTCTGCTCTTCCCGAGTCACCCGCACAGGATACTTCTGTAGTCGCCTGATGAGGTTCTTCATAAGCCCGAACTGGATCAGCTTCCTAGGGTGAGGATCAGAGGACGGGGTGACGCCCTGGCCAGGCCTTCTTTCAGGCAGGCCAACCCTTTCCTGTAGTCTCCCTTCAATTTTGTCTCTGTAGCCCATCATCTCCAGGAAGCCTGCTTGGATTGGCAGTGCCCCATGATCCAGGGCTCCTGAGAGACATAAAGGGTCTAGCTTCCCTCAGGTAACTCCCAAATGCCCCAGCAAATTCTCCTCTGACCGTTCATCAACATGCTGCAGCTGCTGGGGGTGGCGGCCAATGAGGTCTCGCACGGTAGTGCCAGGGCTCAGGCTGCAGTATAGCTGGAACACATCCCGGAGACTGGCCCTCTTGTGCCCTGTGGGTGCCAGGGATCAGCTCATCATGTGGCCCTGCCCTCCCCAAGATGGCTTCCCCCAGAACCCACCACTACCTTGCTTGGTCACGTAGGATAGACATGCCTCTTGCAGGGACTTGTCATCTACCAGGTCCTGGACCTTGGGCGTTGGGCAGTATACATTGGAGTACTAGAGGGTAGCAGAAGGCATAGGGGCCTGAGTGAGGGGCTTGGGAAGCTGACACAGCCCTGGTCTGGTCCAGCCACATGATCCACTCTCCACTTAACCAAACCCAACTCACCTACCTGGAGGATGGACACCAGTGTCACAACGCCGTAGTACCTGAGAGAGAGAGCTGTGCTCAGCTTCTGAGGACCATGCCTTCCCAACCCTCACACCCAGGGCCCCTGAGGTCTTCCCTGGCTGGTGACCTTGTCCCAGGTATGACTGTAGGCCCACTCACAGCAGGTTCTGGATAGCAATGCGCACCAGGTTGAGCTCCACATCTGCCTCTGCTGAAATCTTCTGGATGTGGCGGAACCCATCAATGTAGGGCAGGATCTGGGCAGAGTGGGACAAGGTCAGAAGAAACAGGATGAGGCCAGGGCTGTGGCCAGCCCCAGGTGATGATACCCAGGGAGGGATGGCATACTTGTTGTGTAGTGAGGTCCCACTGTGAGTTGAAGAAATCCTCCTTGTCTTTGGTAAAGACAGGTACATCATACTCCTGGGCCACCGGAGGGTCTGGCCGCTGCTCAATCACCTTCAAGTGGATGGTGTTGGACTCATCTGCAGGGGGCCCCATCCATATCCTCAGTGCCACTTCTTCCAAGAGGTCCTCAATTACCATCCAGGCCTCCCAGCATCCCTTGGGGCAAGCAGGTGCCTCTGGGTAGGGCTAATCTTTCTCTTTTTATGGAGTGAGAAACGGAGGCCCACAAAGGGGAAGGAATTGCCCAAGGGGCAGAGCTGGAGAGCTCTGCTTTCCCCCTACCCCCAGTCCCAGCTCCATCATGCATTGGACCCTGGACATGGGCACCTCAGCCCATGGCTATTTCCTGCCCACCAATGTGTTCATGAGTCTTGCCCTTCTCCCTGACTAGCTGGGTTCACTTTCCCATCTCTCCTCTACCCCTCTGCTGTCCTTGCAGAGGCTGGCCATACCAATGGGCAGAGTGCACCGGCCTGAGGCATTTAGCTCCTCCAGCAAGATGGTCATGATGGGCACCAACTTCTGCTTGCTCTCCTCCATGGACACGAAGCTGCTCTCTAGCTAGACAGAGCATGGAAAGCATGGTGGGCACATCCCAGGACCCCTGGCTGGTTGGCTGCCCTGAGTCCTGAGCTGGTTTGCAGGGTCCCAGGTTTGGGGGACTTTGGAGACATGGGAACACCTTCCCCAACTCTGCCTGTCGGTAAACCCAAGCCCATCTCATTGCAGACCTCTAGTGTGGTCAGATAGCCAGCCAGCTTTTTAACAATGGGCTCGAGGGCGCAGGTCTTGGCCTGGGCATCACACACGAAGCCCAGGTTGAAGAGGAGAGCATTGCGGCTGTACTTCTTGTGTTCGATGCACACAGGACAGCCGATCAGCTTCTTTTCCATAGCTGTGCTGGATAATTGGAACACAGTCAGGCCCCCAAGCCTGTCCCTTCCTCCTCCTGGGACAACCCCTGCCACCCACCGCTCACCCCGAGCTAGGGTCTCACACAGTGATAAGCTTGTTCTGCAGCTCTGGCTTGGTGATGATGTACACTTGGACTGTGTCAAACAGCTCTCGGGAGATGAAGTCTTCAGGGACCTGGGGAGGGGAGTGGCAATGGGCCCCTCAGTGGACATCTGTACTGGGTGTAGTACAAATGGTGACCTCCTCATGCCCCCCAAGCCCAAGTCCTCTTCTCCAGCGTTCCCCTCTCTCCCATCCACTCAGGCCTATTACTTCTTTCTGTTTCCAAACATACGCTATGATCTCACCTCCTTCCTGGCTTCTGCATATGCTGTTCCCTCTACCTGGAACACTTTCTCCTGCCTTACCTAAACTTCCTATGCATCATTTACTCTTCACTCAGTTCAGGGATACTCATGGGTCACCCAACTCACCTTCTGTGGGACCTGGAACCCCCCAACCGGATCCCTACAGCCCGATATCCTACAAACACTGCCAATGTGACGTATGTCTTCCCTGCCACATTGGGAGCCGGGGGCCTGGGTCTGACTATCCTCTAGCCTCACAGTTGTCTGCGAATGAAGCAGCATGCCTGCGTGCAGCACGGGAAACTACTGCCTTCAGGCAGCCAGTTGAGCTCTCGAGAACGTCCCTCTTCCCGCCCAGTCCCGCGAGCCCGGGTGGCACCTGATAGGTGATCTTGGGTCCCAGCGTGGGGTGGAACTCGCTGAAGAATATGCATTCGATGCGGCAGCCGCTGCCCATGGCAATAACCGGGCCCAGGCCCGTAGCTCCTCGTTCCTCGCGCAGAGGCGTCCCCACCTCCTGTGAACACTTGTCAGAGACAGCCTCGAGGCCTGTGTCGCTGGGGCACGCAAGCTTGCCAATCCCTCTGCCCAATGGCGCCTGCGCAGCGCGACTCAGAGGCGTGGCTGGGGCGGGGGACGGCTCGTCCCAGGAAGTCCTGGGTGGGTAGACGTCGCACCCGGAAGTAAAGCGGCTCCGTGACGGAGCGGCGGTGCGCGCGGCAGGGCCCGGAGTATCCCGCTTTCTTTGGAGGAAACCACCGCATCAGATCTGCGCTGCGGCAGAGGCAGGCAAGTCCCTAGCGTGGAGGGGCAGCATGCTGGCAGCACTTGGGGAGGCGGTGCGCTAAGGGATTCACGCTGTAACTGGGACCGCAGCAGGGAACTACAATTTCCATAGTGCTCCGCGCCCTCCCAGCTGGCTCTACTGCCGGCGACGGCGTGGTACACGCTGGGATTTGTAGTCTTACATGGCTTTGCGCCTCCTACCTGGAAGGCGGGCCAGCGATTGGTACCAGTTCAGACATGGGTACACGTTGACAGGCCGCCGGCCGTCGACTGGCATGTTGTGACCATTCCTGGTGCTGGTCTTGGTACTGTTCTTTCCTACCATAACTTATTGGAAGAGGGTGGCATTCCTGCCTTGCAGCCTTTTCTCCAGTGAGGAGTGAACAGTGGGCACCTGAGATCCTGGCCCACGCTACTATGCTTTCAGGCTACAACCACTAGCACGGCTGACGATGGCCCTTTCTGCGGAGACCGAGTCACACATCTACCGAGCTCTGCGTACTGCTTCTGGCGCTGCCGCCCACCTTGTGGCCCTGGGCTTTACCATCTTTGTGGCTGTGCTTGCCAGGCCTGGCTCCAGTAAGTAGAATTCATAGCTGACTTCTGGGAAGGGAAGGGCCACTGTTCCTGGGGAGGAAGGGCAGTGGGACTTCCGGGAACAGGCCTGGCTGGTTGAGGGAATTCTGTGCTGGAGCGATGAGTGAGGTGGAGCAGGTAGGTATGGCCAGGGCACACAGAATTCCTGGTTTGTCTTTCCTTCTCTGGGTGCTCCATTTGGCTGCCTCTCAGGAGGTGTAAGGGAAGGAGGGAGGACTGCCAGAGGAGTGGCAAAGCATGGCCTCTGATCCAGGAAGAGGCCAGGAAGAGAGGATAGGTGTGGGGTCAGCTTGTTGCAGAGCAAGAAGGGGCTCACAGTTTGGCAGCACCTCCTTGGGTGATGGGCTGCTGGTATTCCTCAACCCTTAAGGATTGGTATGGCTGGTTTCTTCTTGCCTCAGCCCCATGAGGCCTCCTCTTCTCATTCCAGGCCTGTTCTCCTGGCACCCGGTGCTTATGTCTTTGGCTGTAAGTAGTGGGCCTGGGCAGTTCTTAGGGGTGGGAGCATGGGCATGGTTGGTGGCCCTGGCAGCCTCTGAATCTTTGTCCACATTTAATATCTGTTTGGAAGAGTTGCATGCTCCAACTACTCCTGCCCATGGTATATATTTCAGACTTGAGGCTGGGCACGGTGGCTCATGCCTGTAATCCCAGCACTTAGAGGCCGAGGCGGGCACATCACCTGAGGTCAGGAGATCGAGACCATCTTGGCCAACATGGTGAAACCCCGTCTCTACTAAAAATACAAAAAATTAGCCGGGCATGGTGGCACGCGCCTGTAGTCCCAGCTACTCGGGAGGCTGAGGCAGGAGAATCGCATGAACCCAGGAGACGGAGGTTGCAGTGAGCCAAGATTGCGCCACTGCACTCTAACCTCTAACCTAGGCGACAGAGCGAGGCTCTGTCCCAAAAAAAAAAAAAAACCCAAAAACAAAAAAACCCCCCAAAAAACCAAAAATTAGCTGGGTGTGGTGGCAGGTGCCTGTAATCCCAGTTACTCAGGAGCCTGAGGCAGGAGAATTGCTTGAACCCGGAAGGCGGAGATTGCAGTGAGCCGAGATCAGGCCACTGCACTCCAGCCTGGGTGACAGAGAGAGACTATCTCCAAAAAAAAAAAAAAAAAAAAAAAGAGACTTGAATCAGAGTAATGAAGACCCAGGACCCAGGTCAAATGGGTAAGATTTGTCTAAGCACAATGAGGCTTCACCCACCTCTAGGCAGAAAGCTGAGACATTGCATTTGGATGTACCTCTGTCCCTTTTTACTTTAATTTCTGGTGATGCACCTAACTTTCCCTGAAACAGTGCACCCATGTGGCCAGCTCTTGCCAAGAAATTGTATCCAGCCCCACGTTAGGGAAACAAAGCTTGTGAATCATTTATAACTGCCACATCTCAAACCCTGTGTTTGCTTGGTAACATACGACAGATGACATTTCAGACTGGCACCTAGGAGGAAGTGTGGAGATTATTCAGGGCACATATATCATCCCAGATGGGGTTTTCCACTCTTGCCCCACCAAATGGATAGTCTTGTCAGTGGGGAGAGAAAGAAAAAGGGGAATCAGCCCAGACTCACTGGCAGCTAAGGGTTACATAAAGCCCTCTTCTCCTCTTCTGGGGCAGCACCCTCACTTGAGCTTCCCATCCCCTGTTTCCTCAGTTCTCCTTCCTGATGACCGAGGCACTACTGGTGTTTTCTCCTGAGAGTTCGCTGCTGCACTCCCTCTCACGGAAAGGCCGAGCACGCTGCCACTGGGTGCTGCAGCTGCTGGCCCTGCTGTGTGCACTGCTGGGCCTCGGCCTTGTCATCCTCCACAAAGAGCAGCTTGGCAAAGCCCACCTGGTTACGCGGCATGGGCAGGCAGGGCTGCTGGCTGTGCTGTGGGCAGGGCTGCAGTGCTCAGGTGGGGTGGGGCTGCTCTACCCCAAGCTGCTGCCCCGATGGCCCCTGGCGAAGCTCAAGCTATACCATGCTACTTCTGGGCTGGTGGGCTACCTGCTGGGTAGTGCCAGCCTCTTGCTGGGCATGTGCTCACTCTGGTTCACTGCCTCTGTCACTGGTGCAGCCTGGTACCTGGCTGTATTATGCCCTGTCCTCACCAGCTTGGTCATTATGAACCAGGTGAGCAATGCCTACCTATACCGCAAGAGGATCCAACCATGAGCTCTTCCCAGCCTAGGGGAAGCCTGGATTTGCCCCTCCATGTAGGAGCTGGGCCTAGGGACCTGTTGAACTCTCTCAGCTGAGTCAGGGGACACCTCAGGCACTGGGACAGTTGGGCATTTGGAGGCCCGTGTGTGAATTCCTGCTCCTCATGCTGGAGTGCCTCCCATTTCCTTCCCCTTTCTCTGTCATCCCAGAGGAACATAGGCATCATGTGTCTGGATGAAGCTGGGGCTGCAAGACTGCCTCTCCTGCAAGGCAGCTCATACTTGTACTGTATGTTCAGAAATTTTAGGAGAGAAAAAAGTAAAAAATTTGTAAAAAATGACTGAAAAGATTGATGGGAGAAGCAGCCCAGAGTTGGGGATGGTTCTTGTTAATGCCATCAGCACAGGAAAATGGGCAGCTGGGCAAGATGGGGACCCCCCACCCCCGACCCCTGGCTGCTCCCTGAGGGGCTGAAGCTCTCCTAGCACACAAATCCCCAGGGTCTAGCTGCTGAGCCTCCCAGGCCACTCCGGGCCCTGGCAGGCCCTAGAGCTGTAGCTGTGAATGGTACAGCTGTGTGTCCTTTCTGTCCCCCCAACTGTCTACTGTGCTGGAGTCTCCAGACTGTGGGGGTTAGATACATACAATAACTGGGAGCTGGGGGTGAGTTGTCTCCAGGGGTGGCAAGAACTGAGCATTCTGTCTTAGAGATAAACCATGGGTAAGAACAGCGCCTTATGATGGAGAGGCCCTTATCATCAGATCTAGGCAGGGACAGAAGGCCTCCCAGATTGGGGTTTGGAGGGAAAGAAAAAAGGAGTAAGAGTCTGAGGCAATAGCTCTTGGAAGGCTGCTTGGCAGTGCGCATGTGGTGGTGGTGGTGGCGGTGGTGGGGAGCTGGGGCAATGGGCTTCTTATCCAGCTGGAGTTACCATGGAGACAATCAAGTCCCTGTCTAACATTGCAGTTGAACGTGATGAGGGGGCTGCACAAGGTGGCCTGACAAGAGCCCAGGAGTCATTCCTCAGAGAACTGCTTTATTGATACTGCGAGCCTGGGCTTGGCTGCCCACTCAAGTGGTCCTGTAGAAAATACCTGGGAGCTGGAGCTGTTCTGGTCCAGAAGCAGTCACCGCCACAGCAGAGGGAAACAAATCCTGACAGGAACAGTCTTTCTGGGGATGGGCAGGGATGTGCAGCCCCAGGTCGGCTCCTGCATTTGCTGGGCCCCCAGAACATTTTTGGCAAATCCTTGCCTTGGCTCAGGGCTCTCGGCAACCAGTTTCAGATGTGAGGGCCGGCCCAGGAGCTGTGGCATCAGTGTCCCTGCAGCCACTTGCTTGGGGCTGCCAGCTGATGTACATTCTTACCTCAGATGAGGGCCTGGACTGGCCGATGCCTCAGAGGCTCCGGGCCTGGCATAGTGGTTGTCTGGAGTTGGAACCAGGTAGCAAGAGTCCTGGGTAGTGTTGGCGAGAAACAGCAGAAGGCCATGGAAAGCCCCAGCAGGCCTTCTTCCCTCTCCTCAGAGCAGTCAGGTGCCCTGGAGTAGCTGAGAGGATGTCAAGGGGGGCTTGGGAGGGGAGGTGCCACACTCAAGGTGGTCTGGAGTTACAGCGTCGGGGGAGCTGCCTCGAAGGTGATTAGACTGGATTCTGGGGCAGCCCCCTTCCCTGGGGGTGTGGGAGCTTTGTCTGAGGGCAGGGGGCTGTCCACCTTGGCCCCAGACTCCTCTTCATCATCATCCATGCTGGGCCAGATGGACTGGTCTTCCACTCTCTTCAGCCGCTCATTGAGTGCCTTCAGGGCCAGTTGCCTGGGGCCAGAGGAGAGAGGAAAGGTCACTCTGGGTTTGGCCTTGGCTCATGCCCTCTACCCTTCCGCAGCAGGCTGACTCCTCACCGTACCACCTAGACTCCTCCCCCAGAATCCTATGTTTCCCC
Organism: Homo sapiens; assembly: GCF_000001405.40. NCBI lineage: Eukaryota > Metazoa > Chordata > Mammalia > Primates > Hominidae > Homo > Homo sapiens. The sequence goes on from NC_000003.12 coordinate 50,355,675, forward strand.
TTCACCATGCAGAGCCTGGGACTCCCCAGAGATTGGTTTAGGACCCACTCTGCCATCAGAATGATAACCCAAAGGCTCTAAGAATCTTCCCTCCATAGCTGAGGCACCTCCGGGATGGGAAGGTCAGCTGGGTGTCTGCCAGACTGCCCACGAGGCCAGCCACCAGGAATGGTTCTGAGGGTGGTATCTAAGGGTCAGTGGAACTAGTGCCCTAGGGCAGATGGGTGGAACGGCAAGTTCTGGAGTTTCCAGGAGTTTCTGCCTGGGTGCTGGCATCACATCCAAGGGAAGGGTTATTAATTCTCCCCCTCTCCTGGTTAGGGGTATCTTGAGCCTCCTGGCAAGGGTCAATGGGGAAGGCTGGAATTCAACACCTCCCTTGGCTCTCAGCCCAGGAAGCAGGGCCAACTTGGGTGAGTCTACCCCTCCTAACTGATGCTAATATTCTCCCTCTCAGAAGAACCCCCAAAGCCACCAAGGCCCTTGTTAGAGCAGGGACTTAGCGGAGCCCTTGCAAGAGGAGAAGAAGGAGAAACAGCTCACATGGGTAGGCACAGGCCAGAGCCTACTGCTTCCACAGGGTGGACCCTTAGAGGCCCCACTTTGAGGGCAGGTGGGAAAGTCCAACAGAAGAAGGTTTACACATGTGCTTGGGACCCTGACCCACCAGAAGGTGGAGTGCTGCAGCTGCCAGGGAACCGTTTCAACAGTGACCACTGTGGACTCCTATACCTCAGCCTCTCTGTGCCACCAATGTGGGGACAGCCTGTGTAGCCTTTCAGGTTCCAGCTGAGAACCAAAATCTCCACCATGTCAGGGAACACGACAAGAGAGGCAACAAGGGCACAGGTGTAGAAAGCCCTAGCACGCTTCCCCCCTGCCCGTCAGTCTCACACATGACAAGTTGGTATAGACAGGACAGTCTTTCCCTGCTGCTACCCAGGCTGCCATCCTGATGATGCCCTTGCCAGTTCCATCTAAAGCCTGCCAAGGCAGAGAGCTAGTGTTACGCTAGTCACTTCCTCACAAGGACCAGAGAGACAGATAGGAAACCCTGCCTCCCTCTCCTGGTAGCCCTTTGGAGTTGGGCGTGGCCATGCAGTCAGATGTCAAACTGGCTGGAGGAATAACCGCCACCCCCATGTAAGCTAACAACCATAAGGCTATGCCAAGAACCCGCCTCTTGACCCTCCCTTCCTCCCCACCAACCTGCTTCCCCCCTGTCCATTTTCTTGGGCCTAGGCAGAGGTTTTTGAATGTCCAGCCAACCCTAACATTCCAACACCTCTCAGTGGAGGAGGGGTCCCCACTGGCCTGGCCCCACCTGAATGGCTCTGAGGGACAGCTCAATTCCTACCAGGCCCAGCTCACCTGGCCCCATCTTTAATACCAGCTAAGGTTAAGAGAGACTTCTGTCCTTAGGGCTTATCACCTATAAAGACCCAAGCTCTAGGGCCCAGAATTATGCCCTGCAGCATGCTGTATATACTTTTCAACACCTACCATACCTTGGGCCATAGTGATCTGTGGCCCTTCCCCAGCTGGAACTCCTTCAAGAAAGGAGTGTGTCCCACACTCAATTCCATAGCCCAGTGGAGAGTAAATACAGGGATAACTGCAGCTAAATTCATAGAGCTTCCTGCCACAACCCCATTCACAGGTGAGCAAAAGCAGGAGCCTTGGCAATGCAAAAGACAAAGCCCGTCCCAGATTTTACTACTCGAGTAATTGCCTCAAAACAGTGAGGAATAATGTTGGAAATGGAGCTGTGGATCTTATGAAGGCTGGGACCACTCTGCTGGCTCCACAGATCTGGGAGAGAGAGTAAGCTGAATTTAAAAAGATCCCTCCTGCCCTGGCCAAAGTGCATTCAGTGAATAATTCAGCTGGGACTCCTGATGCTGTGGATAGCTTGGTTTACAGATAATGAAAGGGTCATCGCCACTCCCTGGTGTCAGCAGGCTCCCTCAGTGGGTCATGTAGCCTGTCCCTGGTTTTGGTGACACATGCTTGCTGGAGACAGAGGTAAATGTGGTAATACCCCAAGCTTCCCTCTCAATAAGTAAGTGGCAGAGAAGCACAGCATCTGAGTTAAAGCCCAGGAAGAGGACACAGCATTTGGAAATTGGAGTGGCCCAGATCACCTTTTGAGGACCCCAGGCCTCCTTCCCTGTCCCTTCCTCACAGGGGAAAGTACCAGCAGGTTGCTTCTGGCTCCCACAGGCCCAATGTCTAGGATTCTGAGATTCTGAGGCAAGGCCAGGGTTCTGTGTCCCTCCACTGGGACTTCACAGCACCAAAGGAAACTGCATTTCTTGAGACTTATTAAGTGGCCCGAGTGGTGAGAAAAGTGCCTCGTGGACCCCAGACACCTAACTGCTGAGTTCCTTAAGGCCAAAGACTGATTTTGTCTTTCCGGATGTGCCCCAATACCTGACTGTAGGTCTCCACCTATGTACAGCGAACACCTCAACAGATGGCATGTGACTCGACCAGTATGCTCCTAGCTTGACAAGATTTTGGAAAATTTCACAGTACCTTCTCCGCTCGGCGTCTTGAGGGTCTGTGCCTGGCAGGCTGATGGTGATGGAGGATGGGGCACCCACATCGTAGCGCTTCACCGTCTTCTGGCATATCTTTACCTTCACCAGGAGGCTGTGCACCAAGTTCGCCAGCAAACCCACCACAGGCTGCAGGATCTCAGGGAAGAAAGTGGCGAAAGCAAAGTGGTCAGCCATGTCCCCTCGGCCCCGGCTATGGCGCTGGTAGAAGCGAAGATATACCCAACTGGAGAGCAGCCCGAAGCCATAGGAAGCCAGCGCCGGGCTCTGGAGCAGCGTGGCGAGCCGCAGCAGGAGCAGCAGCGCCAGCAGCAGCATGGGCATCACACTGACGCGCACCTGGGGCACTCGCAGGACCACACAGTCCCCCATGGTTTGCTTGAGTGCCACCAGGACGCCACCTAGGAAGCCCAAGGCGCCGTGGATACGGACAGTGAACAGGTAGACCAGGTTGAAGGAAGCCATGTAGGTGAGGAGGTAGGCGAAGGCCCCCAGCAGCCCTACAGACACATTCACCACTGAGAAGAAGATGAGCAGCTCCAAGGCCCCCCAGAGGGGCTCCAGCAAACGCCCGGCCACCACCACCGTTGTCAGGCTGATGGCCACGTCCCACACATGCTGCTCCATCAGCCCATGGGTGGCCAGGGTCCAGATCCAGAAGTTGGGAGGAAAGAGGTAGCCCGGGGTGACCGCCAGGCAGCCTGTGTCCACGGCGAAGGAGAGCAGGTAGAGGAATAGTACCGCCGCACACAGAGCCTTCACCACCACGCTGGCGCTGGCCAGAATGGCCCCCAAGTGCTGGCGGGCGCCTGGCAGGGCACGTTGCATCTTCCTGGCGGCTGTCGGCCTGAGAAAAGGGTCTGGTAGGCCAGGGGCCTCCCCGGGGCCTCGTCCTAGTCCGGCCCCGATGGGAGGCCCAGGCCCGGCCTAGTCACTGGCCTATGGCCCTGGTAAAGGATCCGCTTCCGATCGGGTGGGGCTCTGGTCCCGAGGGGCCGAGTCGGGCCTTGTTGCCGGGCCGCAGCGTAGGCCCCTCGCCCGGGACCTGAGGGAAGGCCCTGGACGGCTGCGGCACGCCCGCCTACCCACCCTGTAGGCCCCGTGCCAGGCTAGCCTGGTTGGCGTTGACCTCAGGGCTGGGCCTCCTCCATCCACTGCGAGGCCCTTCGGTTCGCAAGGGGACTGGTGCCTCGTTCTGTACCCGAGTCAAGCCTGGTCAGCTCCCGCTCGGCCTGGCTCCTGGCTTCGACCGTACCTCTTCTCTCGGGGGGCCGACAAACAGGGGTGCTGCGCCTGCGCGTCCCCGGCGGCAGCGGGCTGTCCTCTAAGCGCCTGTCTTCCGGCTCCTCTGCATGCTGGGATACGGAGTCCTTGGTTGCAGCCGGGGAAGAGTTGAACAGGGTTCTGGCTAGAACTACAAGTCCCAGGAGGCCATGAGCACGGACCGGTCCCGTTGTGGTGAGCGCGGGGTGTGCTGGGAGTTGTAGTTCTCAGGGACCGTTTCCGTCGGTTCTCAGGAGGTGGGAAGGGATGAATTAGCATCTCTAACCCCTGAAAGCGGCGGTGAGGGTTCGGGAAGCAACACAGCTCTAGCCCCCACACTTGCTGAATTCCCTAGGAAGAGTAGCTCTATTTGTGCGTGTACCTCTGAGCGAGTGTGTCCTTGTTGGCTGGCGTGTGGGTAGGTGTCACTGTGTGAGAAACAGAACCTCCGTGGTCTGGTGAATGGGACCTGACCCAGGCTGGAACCCTTGCTCTGCCTCGGAGGCTGTGTGGCATTGGTTGGTTAAGTTCCTGAACCTTTTTGAAACTCAGTTTCATGGGCCATAAAATGTAGCTGATGACATGATCTTCCTGTCCTAATAATCAAAGGGGAAAGGGGTGTAAAATGCCAGTCCACCCTGGGTGCTCAGCGAGTGCTGCACATGTTGCCTTTTTTTGTTTGTTTTCTCCCACTTGGAAAAGTTTTTTGTTTGTTATTTCACGTTGCCCTTTTTCCAAGTGAGGTGGACCTGGAGCACGAACCTAGGGCTCCCTCCCGCATAGGGACGAGGCTGGGCAGCCCTCAGTGACCCTCCTCCCCACCAGGGACTTCTGATAACTGCGGAGGATGAGAGGTCTCTCTACAAGCCAGGTCTCTCCACAAGCCTGGGCTAGGCCTGTTCTGGTCCCACTTCACGCCACAGTGACTTCTGACAGGTTGTGTTCTGTGTCTTTTTTTTTTTTTTGTATATGGAGTTACTTTTAAAAAACTGTACATATAGGCTGGGCACGGTGGCTCACGCCTGTAATCCCAGCACTTTGGGAGGCTGAGGCGGGCAGATCACCTGAGGTCGGGAGTTTGAGACCAGCCTGACCAACATGGATAAACCTCATCTCTACTAAAAATACAAAATTAGCCAGGTGTGGTGGCACATGCCTGTAATCCCATCTACTCGGGATGCTGAGGCAGGAGAATCGCTTGAACCCGGGAGGCGGAGGTTGCGGTGAGCCAAGATCATGCCATTGCACTACAGCCTGGGCAACAAGAGCGAAACTTTGTCTCAAAACAAAACAAAAAGCTGTCCATATAATTAAAATAATTCTATGACAAAGTGCTTTTATAAAACACAGGATCCCTTCCTTTCAGCCACTGATTTCAGTGTGTGCTGATGTGTGCATGGCCTACAGGTTAAAAAGGGTGCTGATGCTTTTTTTCTGGGGTCTGGGTTCCCACTGGTTGCCACATCTGGGTAAGGTTGCCAGTTTTAGCAAATCAAAATAAGGATGCTCAGTCAAATTTGAATTCCAGATAAACAATGAGTAATCTTCGAGTATAATCATGTCCCCCTGCCCCCTTTTTTTTTTTTTTTTTTTTTTGAGACAGGGTCTAGCTTTGTCCAAGGCTGGAGTGCAGTGGCACAATCATAGCTCACTGCCACCTCTAACTCCTGGGCTGAAGGGATCCTCCAGCCTCAGCCTCCTGATTAGCTGCGACTACAGGCACACACTACTGTGCCCAGCTAATTTTTAAAATTTTTTTATTTTGTAGAGACATGGGCAGGGGCGGGGTGGCCATCCTACCCAGGCTGATCTCGAACTCGTGAGCTCAAGCGATCCTCCTGCATCAGCCTCCCAAAGTGTTGGGATTACAGGCGTTAGCCACTGTGCCCAGCCCCCAGTTTTTCAGTATAGGTATGTCCCACACAATAGTTGAAACACTTCCATACTAAAAACTCGTTCATGATCTGAAATTCAAAATAGGGTGTTCTGTATTTTATCTTACAACCCTATCCAAGATTGCACGGTCTCTTGCAGGCCATGGGAGCTGTCTTGGGGGTTGTGGATTAGGCATTGCTCTGCAGCCGAACCCTGCAGAGGAGACAGAAAAAGTCTCCATCTTGGCTGAGGCCTCGAAGCCCCTTCATCTATTTAGCATCCAAGCTCCCCAACCCTTGGTGGCCACCTCTTCTCTAAAATCTTTGCTGGTTTTTAGCCTTCTCACCTGGGGGGAAAGGCTTTCTCCTCTTAGTTTGCTCATCTGTGGTATGGGGATACACTAGTACCCACCCCAGAGACTGTGGCGAGGACTCAGCCAGGTCAGTGCGCAGAGAGCAGAGTGTTGGGAGGAGAGAGAGGACTGTGGTGGGAAGGCAGGGACACCTGTGCTCTGGTGGTTACAGGTTATAATTCTCTCCACATGAGAAGATCGCAAAGGTCACACCTTCTAGGGTGAAAATGAACTAGGGCCTAAGCTTGAGAGGATTCACAAAAATGAAGTTTGGCCTATGGCTCCAGTTTAAGCAGCTGCGGCCTCAAGCTCCTGTGGGCCAGGAGGGAGCCGTTGCTGCACTTGTGGTCAGGGCTTCCTGGGCCGTAGGGACACTGGCCAGGTGCTCACTCATAGCTCCCGGCAGAGGCCCTGTCAGGCCCTGGTGGTCTGACCAGACTGCCAGATCCACCTCCCCACTAAACCAGCATCTCTGATCTGTCTTCTTCCCTCCAGGGTCCTGGCTTTCAGGCTCTGGGAGGGTGTTTGTTTTGCTTGTATTTTTTTTTTTTCTGAGACAAGAGTCTCGCTCGGTCATCCAGGCTGGGGTGCGGTGGCGCAATCTTGGCTCACTGCAACCTCCGTCTCCTGGGGTCAAGCAATTATCCTGCCTCAGCCTCCTAAGTAGCTGGGATTACAGGCGCATGCCACCATGCCTGGCTAATTTTTTTGTATTTTTAGTAGAGACGGGGTTTCACCATGTTGGCCAGGCTGGTCTCAAACTCCTGACCTCAAGTGATCTGCCCGCCTCGGCCTCCCAAAATGCTAGATTACAGGCATGAGCCACCGCACCCAGCCTGTCTTGCTTGTTTTTAAAAGACAGCTTTTTGAGATGTTATGAGACAATGTATGTCAAGGGCCTGGCACCTATTATAACTGGTGGAAGCAAGTGCCATGCCCTGTGGTTGACAGGGACCTGGGCTACCATGGTCTTCACCCCCTGCAGAGCACTAAGTGGGACTCTGAGGTCTTGGCCAACTGTCTTCATAGCTACCCAGTCCTCACCCCCAAGCTGATACAGTGGATGGGAACCATTTGAAGTGAAAATATGAACATTATTTAATAACTGATCTTCTGTAATAAACCATTTGAAAATATTTTACAAGGAATCACACACACGATATTTTACAAAGTTTCTTGACTTTTTTGTCGCTGTTGTTTTTCCAACTTGTCTGTACAAAATAGAACAACAAAAAAAGGGCAGAGAAAAGGAAATGGCCCCCCAGTCCCCCAGCCCAAGGTGAGGGGCAGCCAGGTCGGGTGGGTAATGAGAAGGATTAGACCCAGCTGGGGGTTAGACAGCTACCTGATGGGGATTGTTTTGTCTGTTTTTCTGTTTTTTAAACTTAAAATATATATTTTTCTGTATATGTTTATATTCTCCATTGAGCACCTGACTACACTACAGTTACACGCACGCCCCCGAAGGACACAGCTGGCATCCAGGCCGGGTGCACATGGACACCCACCCTGGCACCAGCAGTGGGCATGGACCACACACACACACTGAGAAAGCGACAAGCAACATGACATTAATTAACGAAGCCATTAATTAATGCATCACCCTCCCCCTCCTCCCAGTCCATCTGAGCCCCATCACTATATCCCCTTGCCCTCAGTTCCCCACTGGCCCCCAGGCTGGGATGCCTTTGGGGGAAATGACCAGAATGAATGGTGTGAAGAGCTGTGCCCAGTCCCCACCTGTGTGTGTGTGTGTGTGTGTGTGTTCAGCAAGGGAGGGACAGTTTGGCCTCCTGCAAGCAGGGAGTGTGTGTGTAGGGGTGGGAAGGAGATAGGGAGTGGGCACAGGCCTGAGTGTGTAAGGGCCAGATTGGCGGAAGGATGGCCCAGCCAGGAGAGACAAAGTCACCCCTGCTAAGGCAAAGGGTGATGTCTGGTGGGGGTTCCTCTGCCGAAAGGTGCAGGCAGTGGCATGTGGTCCCACTGGGGGCCTGACACTAGTGAGAAATGGTTACAATGAGCACCTGGAGAGGTGAGGGGGCACTTGGAGGACACTGGTGGCTAGGGGTGGGACAGAGGGTTCTTCACCCCCTGCCCCAGCATTTGGCACTGTTTGACATTCAGCTTTAGAAATGGGAGGACCAGCCAGGCTGCAGCTCAGATTAGAGGCAGGTGGTGAGCAGGAGATGGAGTGTGCAGGTGCCAACCCTCCCACCAACCCCTCGCCCTGTGTAAGGCTTTGTAAGCCCCTACACCCACCCCACCCCATAGTGTGTGTGTTTGTGCGTGTGCCCAGTGGGGTATGTCGAATGTGAGTCCAGTTTCCATCCTCAATGTTCCAGGTGTATATGGGGTAGTGTCTGAACTGGTATCACTGTGACTATCCTGACACCTGGTGGGCTTGGGGATGTGGCTGTAGGCCTGAAAGGGGCAGGAGCCCATGGGGGCTGCCCCAGAGCCTCTCTCCTGCTAGGATTTAAGCTGGGAGGCACAGGCTTCAAACTGGCCATCTCACCTTCCTCCACTATTCTCACAGAAACCAAGTTTGGGCTTGGGTGGGGCAGAGAGGCCGGGTCAGCTGAGGCAGGGTCCCCCCCAACATAGGCAGCCTCCAGGAAGGGCGGCAGCAGAGGCCTGGTTTTGGCACCAGTGCGTGTGGCCTCCCTGTCCCATCCCACTGGGGGGAGCCCAGCAGGCAAGAAGGGTCTGGGGACACTTGAACAGTTCGGAGGTGAGATGTGATTTGGGTGCCAAACACCTGCGGCGTCCCGCTTTGGGACTCCCCATCCCAAGGCGCAGACCAGACTCTCAGGGCCTGGCCAGCTCAGGTCCTTCAGTGAGGGAGGGACGAGGCTCTAAGGCGGGGAGTGTGGGGCAGGAGGGTGGGAAAGGCGAAGAGGCCGGGTGAGGTGGGAGTGGAGGTGGGGTGGGGCAGGGTGCTCAGAGGCGGCGAGAGGCGTGGACGAGGACTTGAGGCTGCGGCCGGGGCGGCAGGCCCAGGAGGAGCAGCAGTTGCAGGGAGACCAGGACGCCCAGCGACGGCGGGAAGGAGGCCCCGCGGCCACAGTCTGAGGTATCTTCCTGCGGGGAGAGACAAGGAGCTGGTCGGCCTGGGCGGGCGCAAGGCCGCGGGATTTCGGGTCCACCGCCCCCTCTCCTCACTGTCGCGTTGTAGTCGAAGCAGATGTGCGGGCCTCTCCGGTATCGCGGTCTCTGCACTAGCTCACACTGCTCCGGGCCGTCCGCTGGGCATGGGTGGGGAGTCAAGGAGGCGGACGGCGGCGGCGGCACGGAGGGGGCGCGCGGGGCAGAGGGGGAGCGGGCGGCGGGGAGGGCGGGGGCAGGATACAGTGCGTCTCCTTCTGCAGCAGCCGGCCAGCCTCGCACTGGCTGCACAGCGGCTTCTCGGCCACCACAAAGAGAAGATTGGTGTTGGTCAGTCTCTGCGCGTGGAACAGCCTGCGGGCAGCCCGGAAAGGCGGGGCGTTGAGTTTGCCCCGCCCTGACCCACCCCCATCCTGCGGCCCCGCCCCCGGCCGCTCGGAGGCCCCGCCCCTTCCATCCTCCCGAGCGTCTCGCCCCGCTCACAGGTTCCGCCCTTGGCCTCTGGTCCCGCCCCACTGCCAGCACCTGGAGCAGTTTCCGCAGTCGATGATGGCGTTGTAGGAGGCGTTTACCGAGCCGAAGTAGTACTGGGTCTGTTTCATGACGCAGCTGCTCTCGCGCGTCTCGGGGCTCCCCTCGGCCTCCGCGGGGTCTGCGAGGGCCCAGAGCGCCTCAGCTCCGCCCACAGACCCTGGCAAGGTCTCCGGCCTCCCTCAGTCGTAGACCCCACCCTCCCCATGGAGTCGTCTTAGCTCAGATTGGGGACCCGGACTTGAGGAGGCGCCTCCAAAGCCCTACCTACCTGCTTGGAACCAGCTGTGGTAGATGAGGCCGTAGAGAAGCTGCTGGAACAGGGACCTGCAGCGCACGGGGAGCCGAGTGCAGGTGGTCAGCAGAGGACGATGCCATGCCCTACTTCTCTTCTGAGCCCTCCCGGCCAGGGAGCACCTTCTCTACCCACCTCCCGCTCAGGACTCACCAGGCGGCAGCAGAGGTCCACCAGGCCAGGTTAAGGAAATCTGCAACGGTGGGCTGCAGTGGAGAGAGGGGCGTGGACTGCCACTGCTGCCCCTCGCCCTAGGTCACCCCCAGCTTTATCAAATGTCAGAGGTAGGGGGTCATCTGTGGGCAGGTCTCCCAGTCCCCCCCATCTCCAGTCCAGGCATCTCTGGGGACTCACCACAAAGACACCCCGGGGTGCAGCACCCAGGTTGCCAGGGGGCTGAGGGGCACAGGCTGCCTGATAGTCATAGGACTCCTTGCGGGTGTAGAAGGAGTTATTGTAGAGTGCCAGCATCAGGTTGGCATCCACCTCACTGAAGAACCTGCCCACCTGAGGATGTCAGGAGAAAGCCATGGTCACAGGGCTGGCAGTGCTACACCCCTAGAAGGCTCAAATCCCTACTCTCTTCTTTCACTCTCTTCCTGATCCTCACCTGGTCCCACTGATGGTTCTGGTTTGACAGCACCAGGAATCCTCCATCATCAATGAGGACACAGAGTAAGTCCTAGGAGGAAGGGAATGGGGAGGAAAATGGAGAGGGGCTGGGCCCCGGACCTTCCACCGCAGGCAGTCCAGTGGTTCAGAGTTGGGGGGCATCACTCCCCCAGTCCTGGGAAGGCTGTGAAGTCAGGGTGGGGATGTTGAGACCCACAGGCCAAGGGATGTGCTGGGAGTCGCGGCTGGGACTAGGAAGTCTGGAAGTGGGGTAAGCTAGGGTCCAGGGTAGGTTCAGGGCACACACACCTCATTGTTAACCTCGCAGTCCATCTCACAGTGGCTGTTGGGGCCGCACTGCTGGGCAGAGAGTGAGGACCGTAAGCCACCCACCAGTTTTCCTCCCTCCCATCACCTTTCATACATCCGGTTCCCCAGGCCATCTGCAGCTGGCCCTGCCTCCATGTAGGTGTTGGAGCCACTGAGTGGAGGGTTGGTGGGGGTTCCAGGGGACTCCAGGAAGGGCACTGCTGGGTTACTGCCCCCGCCCCTGCCCAAATACCTTCTGAGGCTGGTCTTGGTGGGTACGGTTGCTGGCTAGCACCTTGAACTTCTCAGCCCAAGCCTCTAGGTCCAGCTTGACGCCCACCACTTTGGGGGAGAGCAAGGGACCATCAGTGCTACCTGCCCAGGCAGTACCCTGTCCATTGCCTGTTTCCCCACCTCTGTCCCAAACATTCACCTGCTGGCCTCAGTGTGCGCCTGCCTAGGCTGAGCTCCACAGCTGTGCTGACGAGGATGCCCACAGTGTCATTCTCCAGCTCCAGCGGCCTTAACAGGGCTGGGGGTTGGGTGGGGAAGTCAGGAGTGGGGTCTGGCGGCCACACTGACCACTCTATGCTGGGTCCTACAAACCCAGCAGTCCAATCCCGGGATGACTCCAGCCCAAGCACCCAGCACTCAGGACAGTGTTTGGCACAGTCTATCCCTCTTTTCACGTCTGCCCTGGCCTCAGCCAGCCTTGTGTTGGAGAGGGGCCTCAGACAGCAGAGCCCAGTTCTGGCTGAGCAGACAGGGAAGCTGAGGCTCCCTGCCTGCTGCTGGGCACACTGCGGGGACACTCACCATCCTGGTGTGGGGGCTTGAAGACATAACCGTGGTTATCCAGGCTGCGGCGGTAGAAGCTGGCATTGAAGGGCTCAGGGTTCTCTGTCCAGTCCTCAGCTGCCCTGGAGCACCCAAGAGGCAGACTGGTAGGTAAGGGGTGGCTTGTCGGGGACAGTGGTCTCCACAGATGCAAGGAGGCCTCTGGGCAGAACAGATGCAGGTTCCCTGGCAGGGGCAGGGTTTGGGTAGTGGGATAGGTCACTTACTTGTTGGGGAAGACTCGGGTGATGCCACCGTCTGTGGCAGCGAACACGGCCAGTAGGCTGTACCTGGGGGTAGCAGGGGGGTGGGGTCACAGGCCTGCCTTCTGCTGGGCAGGTCCAGGGCCTCTGGGCCCATCCTAGCCTTCTGCCCCCACAGGCTGGGTGATGCCTACGTGTTGAGATCCTGGTCCCTCCACACACGCTCTACCAGCTGCTGCGTGATGCCCGTGTCCAAGATCAGGTTGTGCAGAAGGAAGTTGTTGCCTGGAACAGGAGGGGAGGGGTGGGGGTGGGGGCATCTTCTTGCAGCTCCTTGCCCACCCTCACCCCCACCCTTAAGGCTCCACCAGGAGCCTCCTCCATGACCTGGCCCTGGCCCAGGCCCAGCCCTTAGCTTGTGCCTGCTTATTTCCACACCTGCCCGGCCTCTGGGTTCCTCTGGGCTGGCCCCATGCTGCCTGGGCACTGCCCAGAGCCAGCTGCCCTGCCAGGCACTCACACTGCTTGGAGTCTGGAGTCACTTTCTCCATGAGCTCAATAAAGTTTTTCAGGAACTCGGTGTTGTTGTCTGAGGCATTCAGGTCCTTGCAGTACTCTCTAGGGATGGGGAGGGGCAAGAAGAGTGGGCTTGGGGGGCTGGACAGGGCAATGGGGTCAAGGCTTCCCAACAGGCCCACTTGGCCATTCACTGAGAAGCCTGGGCCTCAGGGAGGGGCACATGGGTTCTTCCTGGCTGCAGCTGCTACATGCCTGGCAGGCTGCTCGGGTCTGAGTCGGGGCAGAGCTGACACAAGAATGAGGGTCTACTTTCTCCATTCGGGCAGCTGCTTTCTCCTGGGCATGGCTCCGCAGAGCCTCCCGTCTCTCCGGTGTAGCTGGACCCAGATAGTGCACCTGAAAGGCCCCAGGAAATGCCTGGCGGCCTGCTCATCCACGTGTATGCCCTAGAGCATTCCCATGGGCACCAGATGGGACCCAAGTACAAGCACTGGCTTTTTGTCAGCCTAAGACCTCACCCTGCCTCTTCCTGGCTGTGTGCCGTTAGGTAACTCACTCACGCTCTCTGACCCTCGCTTTTTTCATCATAGCACAGAGGGTGTCAGAAAGTCAGTGGGAACATGTGGGTCCTCCGACTGGCTGTTCCCTCTGCCTGGAATGCTCCTCCCCTCAAGACCCTCACTGCATTCAGGCTCTGGGTCCAGAGAACATGGGGCTGTGGGGCGTGAGGGGGTCTGCTTGGGGCTTGCTGCCTAGGAAGTCTTGGGAGCAATCCCTCTACCCTGATAGGTGGAGCTCTCTCTCGCTCGACCCCTCATTCATACCTCTGCCACCAGGGACCGCTTCATTGTCCCATATGGCACTAACTGTGGGGCTTTTGAACGTGTGCCACTTCCCCAAGCTGTGGTAGGGCTCATGGCTTGGTAAGGGCACATGGAACTGGGTCTCAGGCCCCACTCTCTCCTTGGCCCCCAGGGCCTTTGTGCAGTGTACAGCCTGCACCTCTGTGCCTAGAGGCCACATTGGACACACCCAGGGTGACACCCACACGACTGTGCTTGAGATACACCAAGTCACTTGCAGTCTCTCCTGTATACACAGTATGCACGTGCACATTTGTGAGGTACTTCATTCACTCACCCTCCACGTATTTATTGAGCTCTTCTGAGCCACAGACACAGAGATGACAAAAACGAATAGGGTCCCTGCCTTCAAGAGAGCTTCCTCAGGGTCATGTGGGCCACATAGGTCTTTTCACACCTTCCCACATTCACTAACACACAGAGCCACCCCCACATTTATGCTCAGACTCTTACATATGTACATGGTGACTCACAAATACACACATCTACAGAGAGAGTCACAGAGAAACTGGGTGCATGCACATACGTGCACACACGAAGGTGAGGCATGTCCAGAGCCCCCGTGTGCTGCCTTCCAGTGCCCCTGGGTCTCTTGTCAGCTGCATCCACCCACCTGCCCTCATCCCAAGCCTGGGTCATGGAAGGGCTTCAGCACCCAGGGGACCCGGCCTCCCCAGACATGGGCCAAAGGCAGACGGTGTGTACATGAGAACGTGTGTGTGCACACTGAGCGTGCACTCCGGGATGGTCCAGGCCTGGGCTTGCTCGGGGCCCCGTCTCCTCATCTGATGGAGCAGCTCCTCAAAGCCCCCACTCTCCTCCCCCAACCCCCCAAGTGAAGTACCACGCCTAGACCCGGCACTGCCGACAGGGGCTCTGGCTGGCTCGGCCCCCAGACCCACACGAACACCGACTGACACAGGACAACGATGGGGTGCGGGGTTGGGGGGATGGGCAGGACACCACAAACCAGAGCAGCAGCTGCCTGGCGAGGGGTGGGCATGCCACAGACAGCCACCCCAGGGCGGAAAGGGCTCCTGCCTGGTTGCCTGGGAGGGCAGGGAAAGTCAGCAGATGAGTCTGGAGCCCTCCTGCCCCGGCCTGGTGGGAGCTAGGGCCGTGAGGCAGCTGGCCACTGCTGCCTGGTGCGGTACATGGCCTGGGTATGCACACAGCCGCGCATACCGGGCGATGTATGGGGGCCGGGGGATGACACTGCACAGGACACAGACACACAGAGCTCCAGGCAGCAGTGCAGGAGGTGGGGCCGGGGCGGTCAGGGTAGGGGAGGACACCTCAGCAAGGCCACACGCAAGCTACCTGGGAGCAATGAAAACGTGTCCTTCAGACTCAAAGCTGCTGGGGAGCAGGAACTCAAAATCTGCAACAGAAACGGGGGGTTATCCGGCGGGGGCTGGGGAGGCTGGAGGCCGGGGGGCTCAGAGCTGACGGGGCTGGAAGGACAGGGGAGAGGGGGGCTGGAGGGAGGGGGAGACACCAGCAAAGAGGAAACCCGCCATTTCCACGTCCAGGAGCCAGAGAGAAGGGACGGGCAGGGAGGGTGGAGGGCCTGTGGAGACTACAGCATCGCAGGAGGAGGGCAGTTATAGCCAATATGTTGCCCGGGCCTGGTCCTCTGTCGGCAGTGAGTCCCTTGGCGTGGCTGTATATGCTTCCATACGGCTGTATAGCACATATACACGGACACACACACACACATATATATACACACACTGCTATATATATGCATGGTCTGGGGGAGGCGCCAGTCTCGCTCTTATCACATCCATAATGGAAAAAACCGCATGCTGAGCTTCCTTTGCCTCCAAAGAGACTTTGAGGAAGGGAATTGGCTTTTGGCTGCGGATTTTTCTCTCTCTTTCTTTGCCGCAGCTGTTTGCGTTTTGGTAGGTCTTGCTTTTGTTCTGTGTCAGGCATCAACATGGCCAAACCGAGGGGGTTTCTCACGGGCACAAACAGTCCAACCAGAGACGGGTCGGGGCAGCTGAGGGTTCACTGCAGTGCATTGTCGGGGCTGGTGGTCCTCCCTGGGCTAGGAGGTGAAGGGAGACCCTCAAAGTGCCAAGGAGTGTTCCCACAGTGTGGGAAGAAAGTCTGAGGAGCTGGAAGGAGGACAGGGGTGCTGCTGGAAACTGTACCTGCTTCCCTTGGCTAAGGGCGTGGAGACGGGCTGGGTCTCCACCCTTCCTAAAACCTGTCTGGGCTCCAGGCAGCCATGGGGGATGCTAGGGCTCCAGAGAGGGCATAGGGCTGCTGTTGAGGCATCCCCAGTTGGGCCTGTGCCCTGGGCTTATGAGCTGTGCATGTGTGGGTGAGTGAGCATGCATGTGTGTGTGTGTGTGTGTGTGTGCCTAAGTGTGAGTATCTCTGTATGGGTTTGAGAGTGAACCTGAGGATGTGGCCGCTGGGGCTCCTCTGTGGCCTCTCCCTGCCCAGCTGGACTGGCCACCTTGCTGGTCTGCACCTGGGAGGGGTCCCTCTGCTCTTGGCCTGTCTCACTGTGGGTGGTCCACCTTCTTAGCCTGTCTCCACTTCTGAGCTCTCTTTTGCTCCCAGGGCTTTAATTGTATAGAAGACAGATTGTCCCTGATACCAAATACTCCCACAATGCACTGCAAGATTCTGGGGAAGGGGGCACTTGGGGTGCTTGGAGGGGCTGGGCAGTCACTGGTTGGACTGTTCCTTTCTGATAGGACTGTGAGGCAGGGTTTGGACACAAGCCGATGGGGAAGGGGTTGGGGGGAAGAGGAGAAGGAGGAAAAAGAAAAAGGAGGGCGAAGGAGCAGGGAAGGAGACTATGCTATGTTGTCATTGTTACTAGGGCCCTGCATTTCTGGGGTCACTGGGTGGGATGTGCGGGGGTGGGGAGAAAAAGACAACTCAAGCCAGTGGGAGTAGGGCACATCCCCCACCCCCGCCCTGGCCACTGGAGGTGGCTCTGATCCCTTTATCCCCTTTGCTGGACTAGGCTGGACAGGGCCCCTAGGGCTTCTTGGGTGCCCCTGCTTCCAGGTCATGGGGACATCCTCTTGTGGCTCTCCATGCCCCATCTGCCCAGGGATTCCCTGGGAGAGGTGGCTCTCTGAGACCTTTGTAATGCTGTCCTCTCTCACTCCCCTTACTCTCTGCCAGGGTCTAGGGGTTCACTACCCACTCTTCCAGAAGTCTCCTTGGCTTAGGCACCCCAGTGTGCCAGAACCCTTCCTTTCATACCCAGCCTGATTTCCTCCAAACACCTTTGCTGGCTCTTGGGGTCTAAACAGATCCCATTCCATCCCTGTCCAGGCCCCTGGTCCCCAAATCTGGTTTTATTTCCCCAGGGAAACACCTTTTCCATACTGCCAAGCCACCCCGGGGCTCAGCAAAGCCTCTGGAAGCAGCGGGCCGGCAGGACACGGGGACATCAGCACCTGTGTCAGTGCCCAGGAGGCGCGGGTCAGCCCTGCTCTTCAATGGCTGGGGCCTGCCCTATGCTGCCCTTTGGCCCCAGCATCAGGGCGTGAGGCTTCTGAGCCTTCTGCCTCCCTTCTTGGAGGGCTGCCAGCTTCTGAAGCTACTGCCAGAGATCAGAGGAGGGAGAGCTACCTCAGAGTAGGCCTTGTGGGCTGGCCCCTTCCCACAGCTTCACATGAGCCCCACTAGGGGCTGATCTACCCCCTGCATCTCAGGCCTCCAGCCCTGCTGAGTGGGAGGTGGTGGAGAAGCGTCCAGACTGTCCCTACTGTTGAGTTGTCTTAGAGGGACAGAGAAGGTGGGGGAGGCAGGGGCCTCCCCAGAGAGAGTGAGGGGTCCAAGGAAAGGGTTGTGGGCCCTGAGAACACGCCGGAGAACACCCTGCAGGCAGGGCCAGGGGCACAGGCCACTGGCTCTCATAGGGGCTTAGGAATCAGAGGAAAGGCAAGAACTAGAGGAGCCAAGGGGAAGCTGGGAGGGGGCCCTGGAGAGCAGGGGTTTGGCTGGTCCTGGGCAGGGAGGGGGGCAAGCAGGGGCGTGAGGATGGGAGGGGTGGGAAGAGGAGGGTGCACTGGTTCTGAATATACTTGCCCTTCAGTTTGCTGATTGGCACTGGGACAGTCCACCAAGAGAGAAAGCGAGGAAAACAAAAACAACACAAACACAAAAACAAACGAAAAGGGGGAGGGAAAGGGGAGGGGCACAAACAATATTTTATTCAATGGCTGTTTGAATGAAAATATTGTGTCTCATCATCATACCGAAAGGAAACTTCTTGCAAAAAACGACATGAGAGAGAAAGAGAGAGCAAGAAAACTCAAAGGAGATGAGCCCCCAGTCGGCCAGGCAGGTGGGGGGCGCCCGGTGGGGCCGGAGCCCCAGCCTCCCTCCCAGTGACCTCGGGCGTGGTGGGCAGGCAGGGCCACAGGCTCTAGAGACTCTCTCAGGAGAGGCCCAGGATGAGCAGGGCATGCAGGGGTGAGCCACAGGCAGAGGAGTGGGAGAGGCAGGGGAGGAAGGAGGGGGGCCAGGGAGAAAGCAGGGAGGGGGAGGGAGGAGGGGGATGGGGAATGAAGGAGGGAAGAAAGAAGGTGAGGAGGGAGCCAGGGGGCAGAGCGGAGGGAGTGTGGGGAGTGGGACTGAAGGGGGGGGGGTGCTGGGGTGGGGAGAGCGGGAGGGAGGGAGAGTGAGAGAGAGAGATGGAGGAGGTGAGCAGGAGAAAGAGGGAGATAGAGGAGATGCAGGGAGAAGAGGAGGGAGAGAGGGAAGAAGAGAGGACAGTGCGTAAGGGAGGGAGGTTGGATGCAGAGGGGAGAGAGGTAGGAAGTGAGAGGAGAAGGATGAGAGGGTAAGTGGGAACTGAGTGAGGATGGATGAGGAAAGAATGGAGAGGAGGGGGCAGAGAGAGAGAGAGGCACCATGGGAAGGGGGCACCACAGGGGTAGAGAGCTGAACAGGAAGAGAGAGGAAAGAGGGGAGGGGAGGGAGAAAGAGGGGAGGGGAAGGGAAAAGGGGGGAGGGGAGGGGGGAGGAGGGGAGGGGAAGGACTGGAGGGAGAGGAGGGGAGGGGAAAGAGGGGGAGGAGAAGGGGAGGAAGGGAGAGGGAGGAGGGGAGGGGGAGGAGGAGAGGGGAGGTGGGATTGGGGAGGAGGTAAGGGGAAGGAGGAAGGAATTGAAGGGAGGGGGAATAGGTGAAGGGAAGGGAGAGGAGGTGGAGGGAGGAAAGGGGAGGGGGGAAGGTGAGGGGAGGGGGGATGGTGAGGGTGGGGGGAAGGGGAGGGGGAAGGAAAAGGGGAAAGGGAAGGGGAGGGGAAAGGGGAGAGGAGAGGGACAGGAGGAGGGGGAGGAGAAAGGGGAGGGTAGGGGGAGGAGGAGGGGGAAGGGGAGGGGAGGGGAAGGGGAGTGGAGGTGGGTGGGGAGGGGAGGGGGAAGGTAAGGGGAGGGGGTGTCTTCCAAGAATGCAGCCCCCAGGAGTGTGTGGGGCAGGCAGGCTAAGGAGGGAAGACACGGAGTAGGAGAAACCAAAAACAGCAACCTCAACAGAAACCATGAAAGAATGGTCTGGAACCGAATCTGAGAAAAGGCAAGCATGCAGATTTCCACAGACTTTCGAGGTGCCCCAGCCTGCGGGCACCTGAGGGTGGGCAGACTGGGCAGGAGGGACTGCCTCGCCGGCAAGCGGCGCTGGCTATGCTGCCTGGGGCCGGCCAGGGTGCGGGGCAGAGGCAGGGTGCAGGGCGCAGGCAGGGGCCGGGCCACTTACACTTGACCTGCAGGATCTGGTCACTGAGATTGGCTTGGAGGTAGAAGGTGCTGTAGGGTGGGAGCACCAGCCCCAGGCTGAGGGGGGAGAAGCTCGGGTCACGGCTGGGGGGAGGCGGGCCACACTGGCACCCCCTCCCCATGGCCTTGGAGCTGGGCAGAGGCCCCAGCTGCAGCATCCCCTCCTCCCACCACCAGGGACCCCTCTCCCCGCTTAGCTGCAGGAGGTTCATGGTCTAGGGGCCGGCACCCTGGAGGCTCTCCACTTCTCAAACTCTCCTGGGGGCCACCGGGCAACCAGCCCCAAAGCAAATCCCCACACCATCTCCCCTCCCAGCAGCCTCTCACAACAGCCCCCTGCCCAGCCAACCTCCCTCTGACCCACAAGGGGCAGACGCTGCCGTGAGCTGGCTGCAATGCCAGTGTTGCCGTGGGAGTGGGGTCACCAGCCCCCAGATACTCAAAGCCAGCAGAAAGCAGGGCTGGCGCAGATATGGTGGGGGCAGGGGGTGGCAGTTGTGGGCTGGCATGGGCTGTGAGGATGCCCCGGCATTTCAGGATGGACTAGCTGTGTGGGGCAGGCAGAGGTCAGCCTGCACTGACCCAGCCTGACACACAAGGGACCTCCTCTGCCCTGAGACTGTGAGGCAGGCTGACAGCATGCCAAGGGCAGTATCCTGGGATGAGGAGACTTTGGATGACTGTGCTGTGCTCTCAGACCTGCTGCTTGTTCCTTAAAAGCCAGGGAGTCTCTTGGCAGACTAAGCATCTCAGGGTGAGTAGTGAGCAGCCCTGGCCACTGGTGCCCCACTGGGATGGTGGTCACAGTGGGAGAGGGAGGGGACAGCTGGGCTCAGATTCTGGGGCCACCCCACCCTCTCTGCCCGCCCAGCCCTGGCCTCACTTACCTGTAGTTAGTGCTCCTTATAGGCACCCAGGTGTAGTTCCGTGTCACCTCATCTATGTACCTCTGGGAGAGGAGGCTGGGTCAGGTACTTGGGCTAGCAGGCAGGGGGCGCTGGGGTAGAAGGGTGCCCACCCTGACTCCCTGGCCCCCAGCCCTGCCTCCTTACCTCATCCAGGGACTTGACCAACGTTCTGATCTGCTTGTGGCCCTTGTTGCCATCAATCATGCTCCGACGGATCTGGAAGGGCCAGAGATGTGAGGGGCAGGGCCCCTACACTCCTCTGCTCTGTCCCCCACCCCTGTTCTCCTCCTCTCCTTACCTCTTCCTTGTTCTCATCCTCTAGCTCCGCATCCAGGAAGTCCAGAGTCACAGGCTCCCGGAAGTTGGTGGTCTGTTGGAGGCAGGGTGGGAAGTCAGAAGTCCCCATTGTGGAAGGTTTGCCCACCCTCCAGGCCACCCGTCTGGCTCACCTGGGGCTTGAGATTGGGGTGCAGCAACACGTAGCCGTTCAGGTCAATGGCAAACACATAGCCGTTGGCTCCAAGCTGGAGGCACAGATTGGGGGCTCAGGGTCTGGAGGGATGGGCTGGGGTTCCCTGGGCTCCGGAGTTCTTCCCTATTTGGCCTCCCACCGCACCGAGAGATTCTGTTTGCCTGCCTTGGGCTAAGGGCCCCCCCATGCCACGTGGCCCTAAGCCTGTCTCTCCAGCCAGGCCCGCAGGCGGGTTGCCCCTTGTGCACCAGCCCTTGCCAAGGCTAACCGGCGTGTGGGCTGCTGCTCTGCAGTCCTCATCCTCTCCCCCTGGTTCTCATGAGCTGTCAGTTGTCCTGACCTCTCTGCCACCACCGGCCCCACAGGTCTGCTGCTTCTGTACCCCTGTGGCCCTCCTCTAGCCACTACTGCCCCTGATTTGTGCCTCCTCCTTGTCCCCACGTCAAGAGAGAGCAGCGGGACGAGTGGACCCTTCGGAATCCTACCTGGGGCTTCCCTTCCAGGTGGAAGGGAAGTAGGAGTAAGTGGGACCTGGACCTAGCCCTTACCTCCCCCAGTCAGTTTCTTACTGTACCTGGAGGCCAACTGCCACAGCCCCTGCCCACTCAGGGCCAAGCAGAGGCTTCAGGGGGGCTCAGGCTTAATGATGCTGTTGTACATACCACACCTCTCCCCCTTCCACAGGCCAAGATGCAGACTCCCTGACCGCAGGCGCTGGGCCAGCCACAATGCCATCTTGCCCCTACCCTGGTTTATGATTGTTTTTCACCTTTGGGCCCTTGGCCAGAGAATTCCCTCTGCCTCCAATGTACGCCATCCCCTCCTTTCCTTTCTGCCTGGGACACTCCTGCCTATGTGCATGGGCCAGGTCTGGCCTGCTGCCCATTACTATGTGGCCATGAGCTAAGAATGGTTTTATGTTTTTAAATGGCTGGAAAAAACATCAAAGGAAGAATTCTATTTTGTGACATGTGAAAATTATCTGAAATTCAAATATCAGTATCCACAAATAAAATTAAATTGGAACATAGCCATGCCCATTGTTTATGTTTTGTTTGTGGCTGCTTTCACAATACAACAGTGCAACCGAGTAAGAGATGGGTATGTAGGTCTGCAAAGCCTAAAATATTCAGTCTGGCCCTTTACAGAAAGTTTGCCAACCCAAGGTCACCTTGTTCTAGACCCAAGGTCACCTCCTGGGGAAGCCTTCCCCGACCCCTGAACTCAGAGGTCTCCATGGAGGCGCTGTAATACCCATCAGTCTTCTCTGCTGAGCCTGCCTGTGTCCACATGGGAGGCAGGGTACGCGGATGGGCAGGGGGATGCTCACCGTGTAGTTGGGGGTCAGCCTCTTGATGTCATTCAGAGCCACGTCAATGCCCATCACGCCCAGGATCAGCTGGTTCTGGGAGCAGAAGCATGGGGGGCTCCTCAGTGAGCTCAATTCCATGGGGAACCACCCTCCACAAGGCCTCAAGCTGCTCTCACAGGCAGTGTGCAGGCCTGCCCTGCCCCTCTTCCACCCTCAGACCTGCTGTGGGCATGCCCATTCCTCCCCAGGCACACCCATAGCCCCAACCCTCCCCTTTCCTCACCTTCTTTTCCCCAGGGCCATCCTGTGTCAGGTTGAAAACAGGGAGGGTCCCTGTTACCACCAACCCCAGTCCCTGAAGGGAGAGGAAGATGATGGAGTCACCTGTGGCCAGCACTGACCCCACCCTGAGTGTTCAGAGCAGGGACTGAGGTGCAGGCCACCTCTTTCTCCTGTGCTTGGTTTACCCCATAAGGGGGCCCTCCAGGGTCTTGACCCTGTGGGCACATCTCCGGGGGAAGGGTGCCAGCCCCACCCCTTCCTTGTCCAGAGGCCTTACCAGTGCATCCTCATACACGTTGGTCCACTGCACCTGCTTGGCCTCCTTGCCTGCCAGCACCATGGGCCTGCCCAACACATCTAGATATTCCTGGGGAGGGGGCAGTGGTGGGGGTAATGAGTGCCTTTCCCAGGCACTGCCTGTTCTGTCTCGCCAGGCATTGGGATTGTGCCCCAGCCACTGTGAGGGGGCGCCCTTGGCCCACAGCAGCCCATGGCACACAGCGTCCCTGCAGGGAAGCCAGGGGCTGGGAGGAGGGGCCTCCCCAAGTCTCACCTGTGTGTTGATGCGGATGGCTCCGATGGAAGGGATCTCAAAATAGTAGCCTGTGAAGGAAGGAGAGGCAGAGGTGGGCCTGGCTGGCACTGCAGGATCCATGTGCAGAGGGCCCTGCCCCTGGGGTGTGTCTGCAGCCCTGCCTCGCCTCTTGGGCTCCTCTCTTTTTGGGGTCCTCTCCCTCTAGTGCTCCCGGCCTCTGCCCTGCCAAGGGCGGTGCTATGGAGAGGGAGTGAGTGCAGCAGTATCAGGAAGCAGAGCAGGGGGCAGAGATGGGGAGGGAGGAGCCTGAGGTCTGAGGTCCCTCATTTTAGGGTGCAATGCCATTCAAAGTCCACCCGGCAGCCAGGCCCAAGTGCACAGAGAGATGGACGGATCAGCAAACAGACGCAGGAGTAGACAAGCTGGGGGACGGTTGGACAATGGACAGACAGACGGGCAAAAAGAGGCTCAGTTAGGTGGACCCGTTAGCCCCCAGATAGAGTGAGGGACAGCCTCGTGGATGGGAGGAGGCACACTGTCTTGCAGCGGGTGAACACACAGCTGGACATATGGATGGCCAGTTGAACATACGCAATCGACAAAAAGAAATGGCAGGCAGGCCCCTGACAGTGATGCGCAGGGGAGGTACCTTTGTTGGCACAGGCCATCCACTGCAGCGGTGTGACGTCATAGTTATGCTGCCCCACGGAGAAAGTAAACACGCGCACCTGTGGGGGGTTTGAGGTTACTGCTGTGGCCACCAGGGGACAGCCCTCTTCTGTACTGGGCCCAGGTCAGGGTAGCCCCTGCCTCGGTTGAGCCTCACCGTCCGGTTTGGCCAATTGTACTTCTCAAAGACGTCCTGCACGCGGTCCTCACCACCATCCGTGAACATCATGATCATCTTGTTGCAGTTGGCCCGAGTGATGTTGGACTGAGGGGAGTGAGGCGGAGGCAGGCAGCTCTCAGCCCTCCCTGGTCCAGGGGCAGGGCCTCCCTCCCGCAGTGGGCCTGGACCTCTGGCCCTCCTCCCCCACAGCAGATGGAGCTATCTGTCCAAGCTGCCTGTTTGGTGCTAACGAGGCCATCCGTCTTGATTTCCTGGGTACACCAAGCCAGGGCCCTCTACTCCCCCAGCCGCCCACTTGCCCACCCATGGGGCTCACGTTCTGCAGCTGGTCAAAGGCATACTCAAAGCCGGCCTTGTAGCCTGTGGTGCCCTTGGCCACCATGCCCTGCACAGCTTCCTTGAACACCTTCTTGTTGCGCACATTGGCCTGCACCAGGTGTGTGAAGCATGACACAGGCTGTGCCTTCTCGTTGAACTGCAGGAACAGTAGGGTGGTGAGTGGCCTCAGGCTGGCCGGGGTAGGCAGCTATTGCATGGGGCTGGTGATGGTCACAGGAGCAGGGCAGATGGGGTGACCCATTTCACCCCGTCTGCCACCTTGGCACTCACCGAGGCCACATTCACATAGTCATCATCAGACAGCGTGTCCAGCATCTCGCAGACAGATGTCTTCATCAGCTTCAGGGTCAGGCCGCTCACACTGCCACTCCTGGAGAGGTCAGGCAGGGGACGTGGAGGAGCCAGGGGAACCTCACGTGTTCTCCTGCCCATCCCCCAAGATGTTCAGGGCAGCAGAGTCTAGCCCATTGCCCGTCCCTGCCCCAGCCCCACTTGCCAGCACTGCTCACTCACACATCCACGATGATGACCATGTCTTTGGGTGACGAGGCCCCCTGGATATACCTGCCCAGGAGATGCCTCTGTTAGGGTAAGGCCCACTGGGACCTTGTGGGTCCTTCCTTCCTTCACATACATATTGATTCAATACATTTCTCTTGAGCATGCACTGTGTGGGCCAGGCAGGGTTCTATGCACCGATGATACCACATTTAACGAAACAGACACAGTCCTTGCCCATGACATGAATGGTCTGGTTCCTCAGCAAGGAAAAAGTACCAGGGGGTATATGAGCAGGTGATCCCCAGAGGGGGCAGGAGCCACATTCCCTGGCTTCAGTGGCTTGTTGTGTCCTCTGCCTCAGGTTGGGGCCCCGAGGGCACAGTCTAGCTGTGTATGGGATGGTGCAGGTGGCAGGGAAGGAGAGTCACAGGGAGCTGCCGGAGGGGCAGAACAGAGGGGAGGGATATCTGGGGCTCAGACGGGTGGGGCAGGGACTGGCCAACCCTACAGAGGCTACATCTGCCTTTGGGGACCCCTTCTGGTCCAATCTCCCTTCCAATCTCTCAGTCCTGAGTGGGTGGGGGTGCTGGGCAGTGGACGGGGGGCATGGCAGCTGGGAGGCCTGCCTGGGTGATGGGATCCATTTTCCAGTGGCAACCATGTGTGAAATGAAAATTGGATACAGCTGGCTGCGCCCTGCTAGGAGGCTTGGAAATGGGGAGGGAGGGGAGCAGGCAGGAAAGGTGGGGAACTGAGGGGGTGTCCCTCCCCAGCCCCTTCTTGCTCGCTCACCAGGGTCTCCTTCGGACATCGTACAGGTCGATCTTCTTGGGGGCTCGCCACGGGGTGGCTGAGGGAGGAGAGAAGGTGAGGGGGACTGGCAGGAAAGGGCTGGCCTGGGTAGGCAGACCTTGCAGAGGCGACTGGGCTGCCACAGACTACAGAGAAGCCACCCCGCCCCATGCCCCCAGGATGGGTGGGCTGGTAGATGGAGAAAGGCGAGGTGCTGGGTAGACAGGGGACAGGGGCTGGTACCTACCCGGGTAGTAGCGAGTGACTCCTGTGGCGCTGCCGAAGACCTGCCACAGCAGTGTGGGGTCTTGTCTGCGGTTTTCCATGAACACATTCTCCAGGGCCTCTGTCCAGTTGAGCTCATTGAGGATGACAGTGGCTGGGGGGAAGCGGGGAGCTGGGGTGGGGAGCACCTGGGCTGTGTCCTGTCGAACCCACCACCACGACACTCATGCCTGTGCCCCCATTTAGAATCCCCCAACTGTTCTCGGCCTATCCAGGCCCTCCCTATTTCCTAGGGCCCAGCTGGGGCTGCCCCAGCTCCTCCAGGAAGACTTTCTGATCCTCACCCCTCCCAAGCTGTGAAAGGAACAGTTCAGCCTACTCTTCCTCCAGGTCCCACATGAGCAGGCAGGGCAGCTGTGGCTGGTAGCCTCTGGAGAGGGGCTGCCCAGGTGGCTGGGTGCTGGGAACTCGGAGCCCTCAGTCCAGCATGCTGCCTGGAGCTAGCACTGGTCCCCCAGGAGCTCACCCATTCAGCATGCACTCCAGGCTTCAGCCACAAGAAAGCAATTAAGGGCCTGCTGATGGGGCTGGAATTATTCAGCTATTAAGTTACCTGATAAGCTGGAAGCCACTCAGCTCCATGATTAATCAACTGGGGCCAGAAGCAAGCAGGGGTGGGGGCGGGGGCTCTTGGAGGGGCAGGGGCATGCCAGATCCTGCTTCAACACAGGCAAGTGTACTTGTACACGCATGCGCACACTGCACACCCCCCAACAGGTATACCTGTGTCTAACCTGTGTGTTTCCAGCCAGATGGAACCCACCTGCCTAGCACCCCAGCTGCCACCATGGGCACAAGGGCACACACGTTCATGCCTACACACCACTCTGCACCTACAGGGGACACTCATGGGTCCTGCTCACAACCCCCTACCATCAGTTACCCCATTCTCCCTTCCCCCCAACCCTTGTAGTTGCACGTGTGTGATCCCCTGTCCAGATCTATCCCTACACACACACACACACACACACACACACACACACACACACAAACAAGGCTCCTCTCAGAGAATGGACTCCAATCCTGCGGACCCTTCAACCTGGGCAGAGATCCAGGATGGTTTGAGCAGTACCCTCGACCCCCAACTCGGGGCGGCCTGATGTGTGTGTGTGACACATGTTCTCATGTGTGCAGTGACCCTGTCCCTGGACACTAGGACAAAACGGCAGGAGTGGGACACAGCTGCTTCTGCCAGGCCTCTGTGCCTCCTTCCTCCTTCAGGGACCCCCACCCTCTTTCTTCCCATGTGGAGCCCAGCCACCGTCACCCCGTACAGGGATCCCCATCAAAAATCTACCTCAAGTGAGCACCAGAGACCACCTGCAGCAGGCAGACAAAGGTAGAAAGCATGATTTACAGTTCTCTAGCCTCTGCTCCGGCCCTGGGGCACTGACACACTCTGGGGCACTCTCCCTCGGGCGGCCCCTCTGGAGCGTGGAGCCTCTGCTGCGTCCGCTGCCTGATCCCTGCCCCCTGCTCCCACTCCCTTCGCTGTCTGTTCCTGTGGCTTCCCGTAACTGACCATAATGTGAAAACAAAACACATTTCAAGCATTGGCTCTGCTTATTGAACAGTATGTTATGGTCCTGTTCCTAATTTAGAAACTTAGTGAGTTGAACAATTTCTATTTTTCTCTCTAAGGAAAAAATAAAGCCAGGCCCTCCAGAGTTTCACACAGTACTGTTTGCCCTGAGAGAGTCTGCCTGGCAGGTCCCACCCCTCACTGTGTCTCGGTTTTCCCATCTGCATAATGACAGGCTTAGAGCAGAGGGGTGTCCCTGGTCCAGGTCAAGGGCCAAGAGGAGACCCCTGCTCTGCGTGGGCTGTCCATGCAGGTACCTGTGACCCCACACGCGCTTACCCATACACGGCAAGGCACACTCGCGCAAACACCCCTGCGCCCGCCTGGAAAGGGCCTGCTACTCAGCCCCATGCGCACAGACCCGTACCCACCTGCACATACTCTCAGATCATGCTGAGTTGGGAAAGGGGACCATGCCCCCTTAGGCAGGTGATTACAGATTTAATTAAAAGTGACACAGTAAATAAAAAACATATAAAATGCAATTTATGTGGGTAGCGAGGGGTGACTGGAGAGGGCGGTGTGGCTCCTGTTTTAATTAGTGTGCCTGCCTGTGATAGTGCCCCTCGACTGGCTCGGGCAGGTGGCCTGCGGGCAGCCTGTGGGGAGCAGGGGGGAGCATCCTTCCCCACCCTGGCCTGAGGCTGCCCAGAGGGCCTAGCTGACCCCGAGATGGAGAGGGCCTCCCTGAGGACCCTGGGAATTCCCTGCATTATGGAGCTGAGGCAGTGGCTCTGGGGCTTTTGAGTCCCAGCCCAGTGGGCTCCTTGGATTCCAAGGCTACTCTGTAGGTGCCCATAGAACTGTGTCAGAAACAACAGGCCTCAGTGCCTTCAATCCTGCTGCTGGAGCTCCCCATCCAGTGTTTGACTCTTGGTTTCCTCCTCCTTTACCTCCCAGGAGCTTCAGGAAGTTCCTCCTCATGTCTGACTCAAATCCTTCTAGCTATAGTGACCTCGTTTCCCCATTGTGTAAAGCTGCCTTGTCCCTGAAGCTTGGACTGTCAACCACCCTCTTCCACATCCCCCTTCCTTATATCCCCAGCTCCTGGCTGCTCTGGGCAGGAAAACTCCCTACCTCCTTGGTTCTATGCCCAGGAGAAGGAGGGTAGTGTCATAGGGTTGGTATCTGTGAGGGGTGGTTCCCTGTCCCCCTACCCTCCGTGTCCACCTGATGTGTTGCAGCTTGTCAACCACTCCTACTTGGGGGCAGGGAATGGGGAAGGGTGGTGAGGAGTTGCTTCAGGGGCAGGCGGGCACTCAGTCCAACATGTGGGGAACGGTCTCTGTGTGCGTGCATTTGTGTGGGTGCCTGTGGACACGTGGGCAGGAGACCATGCATGCACAGGGATAGAGGCTCAGTGTTTTGCAACTTGCTGAGTGTTAGGGTGAGGCTCTGCCTGTAAGTGCTTGATGCCCACATGTGGGTGAATCTGAGAGGTGCGCAGGAGTAATCTCAGGTGTAGGAGGCTGGAGGTAGATGGCACTGGCCTTCTGTCCCCAGGGACTCTGGAATGCCCTGGCAGTGGGCCTGCCCCCACAGCAGGTGGGATGGGCTGTCCCGATTGCTCTGCACACTCACAGCCTTTGTAGATGTCCGTAGGGATCTGTACAGCCGCGTATGAATAGTTGACCTTGTTCTTGAAGTTTGGGTCCTCGATGAAGTCCAGCCTTAGGGTGCTGGCCTTAGACCCCCTTTCCACATCCTCACTCTCAGGGTCGTCCTGCAGAAAGGGCACCCCCGAGCAATGTCAGGGCTGGAAAATGGTGAATTGGGTTGTAGAGGCCTGCAAGTAGGGGCAGGGAGGGCCAGAGTCCAGGAGATAGGGGCATCTCAAAAAGAGAGACTATTGCAGTAGGAGACACAGATGGAGAGACTCAGGGACAGATGGACACGGGGTTGGACCCCTCACCCAAGGGGCCTGTGACTCCCATCTCCCCCTGCCCACCCCACCCATCATCCCCACATTTGCTAAACCCAAATTTTAAAACCGAAAGGAAACCAACCTCTTCTCCACATTCTTGAAAACCAATTAGGAAAGGAGGCAAATCATGGAGCCAATCAGAAGGAGCAGGCTCCAGAATTCTGCTTACAAGGATGTGCTTGTGCAATCACAGGGAGGCCTCAGCAGTCCCTCCTAGGAGCTCAGGGCCCCCACAGCCATCACTGGGTCCTGCCCAGCCCCTTCATGGAGTTCCTCTGGGACCAGGGAGAGGGCCCTAGCCCCATCTAAGGCAGGGCACTATCCCCTGCAGCCGGATGGCTCTAGGGTCTGAGCTGGGGAGGCTAACCTGGGAGAGCTGGGCTGGGGGCTACCATTCAGATCTGCTGACCTCCAGAGGGAGGGTCTGCGGTGCCTGGTAGCAGTAGGACTGAAAGGGCCCCTGTTGATTTTCTAAAATGAGCCACAGCAGCCTGACAGGTGCCAATTATGGCATCTCACGGCCGGGCAGGCTGGGCATGCACCGTGCGCCCCCGCCCACCATCACAGGCTGGCAGGAGTGGGTCTGTGACTAGTGTTGATGCTGCAGCCGATGGGAGGGGGGCAGGCTTGGGTGCAGGTGTGCAAGGGGGAGGGGAGGGAAGATGGTGGTAGAGAGTGAAGGTGAAGAGGAAAAAGCCAGACTGGGGAGGCAAGGGAAAGAAGGAGGCTAAGGGTGGAGAGCAAAGCTCGGGGGCTTCCTAGGCTGATAGGAGAGATCATAAGCAGCTGAACACCCCATACGCTCCCTCACTGCCCCTCAAAGCCTCTGTGACCACCCTCAGCCCAGGCTTAGCTCATTCATTCTCCCCCATGGGTCCACGTGGGCTGACCCCCGCTGCCCACTATGACCTGGGCATGCCCCTCCCCTGTGTTTCTGCCTCTAGGCATTTGACCAAGCTGTGTCTTGTCTGGGGAAAGGGTGACCGTGCCTCTCCACCCAGCCAGATGCGCTCTCCACACCACAGGGGTACGGCTCTGAAGGGCCTGTGGCAGACACTCTTTTCATCTCTTTGAAGGTGGATTTTGTACAGCAGAATCCAAGCTGTCTGCTGTCCTCCCACTGCCCTTCCGCAGTGTGCCACCCATCTGCCCACCCCTGGCACACCCTAGAAGCCCTCGGGTGCTGGGTAGAGCCAGGGCAGGCAGCCTCGGAGCATGGAGGCCAGAGTGGAAGCGGCCGACTGTGAGGCGTGCGCCACTCACGTTCCGCTCAGAGGAGGGGGAGGCGCGGGAGAAGAAAGCCCCCGAAATGTCAGCGGCAGATGAAGGGCACTAGAAAATTTAATCTCCCAACTTTCTCAACTAATGTGACATTTGGATTCTGTTCTGATAAGCTATCAGCTGGCGAACTTCTTCCTTCCTTTTCTTTCCCCCACCCCCACCTTCTGGCTGGTAATTTAAAAGTAAATGGTCTAGAAAGATATCTAACTGTACCTCTGGCAAAGATTAAAAAAACAAAACAACACAACAAGCAGGGGAGTTGGAAAATGTGTGCGTGCTGTCATTTATACCAGGCGTTTGGCCTAGCTGACCCTAGTCTAGCCAGGCCCCAGAGTGAAAAGCTCTCTTTTCGGGCAATCTCTAGCCCCCCAACAGAAGTCCAAGGGGCTACGGGCAAGGAGTCAATGATTTAGAGTGAGGGGTTGGGGCCCTGGATACAGTTGAGGCTGCTGGAGGTAGGTTCAGAGCATCCTAGTAGGGGTTGGGCACCAGGCTGTCCAAGGAGCCCCTCAGTGCCAACCCCCAGCCCAGGGGCTTTGTATGGTGGGCAACTGCAGTCTCCTGGTTTATATTTAATGCACTGATTGCTAAAATTACAGCCCGCTGCTGAGGGGGGTAAGGAATTAGATTCAGGGTCTAATTAAAGGTTCGCTCTTCATTTGAATTTCAGATTCCAGCTTTAATTTTAGCAACTTCTCTGGGAGCCACGGAGCTCAGCCAAGGGGAAGCACACCTGCTTGAGCCCACCCCGCTCCGTCTCGGGCCCTGTGCCCTCCTGCGGCTCTCCCAGGCCAGCCTGGCACTGTGGATCCTGCACAGGGATCCTTTCCAGCCTTCTCACCTCCTGGTGTCATTGGGTACCTCTCACTTGCCCCAGGAAACCCACCAAGCCCGCAGGCCTAAGAGAGGAAGACTGAATCTTGGGTCCTCTGAATCAGCCAGCAGTCTAGACACTGTGCTGCTGTGACACCTCTGTTTACAGAGGGGACTGTTGGGTCCAACTACTTTTGCCTTAAAGTCAGGCAGAGGGTCTTGGGCCTTGACAAGCTCAGCAAACACCGTCTACTCCAAGTGCCCTACACCCTCAGACACTCGTCTTCTCTACAGCCACCTCCCCTGCAAATAGTCATACAGCTTTCACACGAGTCTTCTGGTGATGGGGACCTCACTACCTCAGAGGGCAGCCCGGGCGGACTTGAGCCAGTGAGTGACATGGAGGCAGAAGGGTGGTGTGGCTTTGGGCTCTCTGGTCAGTCCCAGTGCCACCACTTCTGAGGTGGGTGACCCTAGGTGAGCTCAGGGTTAGGGTCTGATGATGGGCCAGGCTGTGGGGTGCTCAGCACAGGGAAGGGAGCTGGCCTGACCTGGAAATGCACCTGGACGTTCCTGCATCCTGCTCACACCTGCCCACCTCCAGGAAGCCTTCCCAGCTGCTCCCTGTCTCCCTCCTCTCACTGCACTTAGAGAGGCTCTCTCCATCTGGGACCTAAACTGCCCCGTGCGGGAAGGGCCAAGCGCCTCACCACCTGCCTCACACTGCAGTCAAGCTCAGCCCACTAGTGCACAGAGATGCAGCCCTGGAGGGGTCCGGACTTCTAGGGAGTTGTGGGAGGTGGAAGGTGGGGCCTGTGTCACCACGGCTCTGCAGGGTTGAGCTCAGAATGTGTGGCGCTGAGTCCTAACATCCATTTTACAGCCAAGGCCACCAAGGCCCAGCAAGGAGGTGTGGCTCAGGAGGGGGTGCTCACCAGCTCAGCGTCAGCCTTGGCGTCATAGTACACGATGTCTTCCTCCTGGTGAGGGGAGAGAGGCCTCAGCACTAGCTGCTCAGGGTCCCGAGACAGACAGGACTCCTAGCCCCAAGGCCTGCATGGCACCCTTAGATTCCTCTGGGGCAGAGACTGTCCCTTTCCCCCACCCAGAGCCCCCCTCCTGGAAGGGCCGGATAGGTCAGGGCTGAGAATGCAGCCAGGCCTATCTTCAGGGGCCCTGCACAGGCTCCAGGAGCATGCAGTACCCCTCGACTGAGAATTCCCTGGGCCTTCCTAACTCAGGGGCCAAGTGTCCTGGGCTGCAGCCTTCTAGGTTCTGTCTGCAGAGAGGCTGGCTGAGGCAGCACCAGGGAGTGAGGAAGACGGAGAACAGAGCCGAGTTTGGGCAGGAGGGAAATAATGACTCGACGCCGCATCTTCCAATTTCTTCTATTAAAAAGCCTGCTCATTACGGGCATGTACTTATTAATTATCTGTGATTTGTTGTGAAATGCGAGGGGGTTTCCACAACAGGAGTGGGAGAAAACAAAGCCCAGCCCTGGCGCCTGCCTCCCAGCCCTCACCCGCCTGCGTCTGCCCCGCCTGTCCCTGGCCCATGTCTGCTTGCCAGTCGCCTGGGTTCTTGGCCATCTGTGCGTCATAATCACCGGCCGCCCCGGGGACCCGTAACACAAACGGGCTAATTTCATGTGTAATGATCTTTAATCAGAACCGAGCGCGGCTGACAGAGGCCGCCAGAAGGTGAGCCCGGTGTCAGCCAAGTGCCATTGGCTCAGGAGGGTCTGCCACACTCTGCCCCCATGGGCTTCAGGGCCACGACTCAGGACAGAGCTGCTGTCCAAGTCACCCTCTCCAGGTGCTCCTCAGCCCTGTTCTGTACGGCAAAAACCTGCAGCGTGGCCCCAGTGGCCCCTCACTCACTCAGGGCTTGTTTCTTTGAGGTCTGCAGATGGGAGTGGTGACCAAGTCTGCCACCCAGGGGCTGGCTGTGAAGTGGCAGGCAGAGCCAGCACTCACACCACCAGCGCAGATGTCGCCCGGACACCCGCTTCCCAAGGCCCAGCTGGGGCTCACTCAGTGTGTGACCCCAGGGCTAGACCACTCCCTCTCTGAGCCCCAGGCTCCCCCAGGCAGGACTCTGGAAAGGGGCCTGGCTGTGGTGACTGCCCACGGGCTCCGTCAGTACCTGGGACTGTTTCAGTGAACAGTCCTAGTCTGTCTCTCACCAGGGGTCTAGGGGCTGCAGGCCACTGGCCAAATGTGCAGGCTTAGTCCCAGCATTCTGCAACACTGACTGCATGCCTGGCACCACGCATGGGTAAGACCACAACTTCCTGAGGAATGTAAGGCCAAAGGCAGCCCGAGAGTTCCAGCATCCCAGGGCGCCTGCCGTGTCTGGCGCTTTCTTACAGCAGCCTTATGACCCCATCGGTCAGACGTTTCGAGAGCAGGGAGAAGAAAGCCTTCGCACCCTGGCTCCAACCTGCCCTTCCAGCCTGTTGTCAACCTTGCCCACACCCACCACCCACCCACCAGTGCAAGAAGGCTGCAGCCCCGGTGGGCCTGGGGCGGGGGCGGAGGCCGGGCCCAAGCTGCAGGGTGCTCGGCCTTTCCCTGCGCCCGGCTCCGACCGAAGCGCATAATGAAAGCTGACATTACATCAAACACAATAAGGAGTTTCAGTTGACGAAGATCATTCCTGAACACACAAACCTATTAAACTGAGGGGGAAAAAATATCAATTCAACACACTTGCTGTGAAAAGAAAATGTGATTTGTTATCTAAAAGGGGGTTATAAACACAGCTCTGATGCTCTTTCCCTCCGTAATGAAAGCGGGCGGGTGCGGTGGGAGGACTGCAGATTACAACCTGGGGCCTCACTCACCCACTTTTTAGGCAAACCTTCCACAAGCATGGGAAAGGACACAGGTGGGGGCTGGTCACTTGCAGCCCTCAGGAGCCCTAGGCTCCCCTCACAGGCTGTGGCTGGGTCCTGCCTGCACCTGGGTCAACACTAGGCACCTCAGCGTTCACTGGGGCCACCTCTCCAGCTGCTCCAGGGGCTCTGCTTCTCTATTTGTTCTGCTGTTTCACAGTCTTAGTGGAACATCAGATATTGGTGGCGTCAGGGACATGGGGGGACATGTCACCCAGGAGGATTCTTAGTCCCCTGCAGATGACAGATGAGGCTCAGGATTCTGTATGGTCTCCCTGCCCCCCAGGGCTTGATGCATGTGGGAATGACCGCTCCCGGCCTCTCCTGCCTCTAGGAGGGCGAGACCATGCCCCTTCCTTGGTAAGAAGTACATGGATGGTGGCACACAAGGTCATACATGTGAAAATATATCATAAATACAGCTGTGACTGCTATGCATGATGTGGTGTGGAGCTGGGGGTGTGGCGGGAGGGGGCTGTCAGGGTCAGGGTGGGAGGGTCCCTGAGAAGGCCTCTGTCTGCTTGGGCCAACACAGTACCTGAATGTCTATCAGCAGTGACCACCTCCTGGGTTGAGCAACAAGGAGGCAGTATTCTCTAGTGACTGAGTGCAGGACCTCAGCAAAGAGTCCTGGCCTCAAATTCTGACCTGGACACGTGAGCTCTGGAATCCTGGGCAGTGAGTGAAGACTGAGGCTGAGCCAAAAAGGACCCAGCCTACTGGCTTGTCCCAGTGGCCTGCTGAGGAATTCCAGGGGTCACCCGCGAGGAGGCAAGGCTGCCCAGTTAAATCATGCAGCCTCCATGAGGCTTCATCTCTGGGTCTCTACTTCCCCACTCGTAATATCAGGATGAGGAGGCCTCCTCTGAGGGTATGAAGAGAACAGGGAGCTGGGCCTCCCCAGGGGTAGGGCCAACTCTGCCCATGAGTGGCCACCTTCTGTCTTTGCAACTCCACAGCCCAGAGGAGAGGCTGAGTGTGGAAGAGTCCCGGGTGGAGTGAAACGGGTGTCCTTAATGTCTGGGGACCACTCCCCTGACATACCCTGTGTTATCTGATATTTTAGGGGCCATTTTGCCCAACTGGGTAGGAGTTGGGGGAGTCACCCACTCTGAGCTCACACACATGCCCTCCCATGTGGACTTGGGCACACAGATAACAGGCGAGGGGCGGGGCAGGAGGGTCCACGTGACCCTTGTGTTGGTGACATACATTCTCCTTAGCAGGAGCCAAGCCCAAGAGAGGTGTGAGGAGGGTGGGTCTCAGGGAACAAGCTGAGGAAATGAGCACGGGGTGAGCGGGGGAAGGACAGTTGCCATCCAAGTTCAGTGCTTGGAAGGTGGCTGCCAAGGCCTGGCCAGACATGACTGCCGCCTGCCCACCAGCTGCCTGTGCAGGCCTAGGCCAGCCACCCGCTGCACCAGTGAGGACGCTTGGCCTTCCTGCCCTGGCCTAGTGCCAGCTCAGCCTGGCCAAGAGGACTGTTTTCTGAGAGAGCCGTCTGTCGCTGGCTTGGCAGAGGCAGGCAGGGGCCCTATGGCTGGGTCAGACCCTCAGGTCAGGAAGGCCACCTGTCCTGTCCAGCTGGCTCTTCTAGCCTGGCCCAGCCCCCTCACAGCCCTCCCTCTAGTCCCTAGGCAGAGCTCCATCCACTCCCACCATCACATTCCCCAGGGCAGGGCTGTGTCCTTCCCTTACACTTCCCAGGGGAGGGCTGTCTCTTCCATTCCACTCCCAGCTCATGGCTTTGTTTCCTGTAGGCCCTGGTGTTGGCACTGAGGCCCTGGGGCCAATGGCCACTCCCCCCTCCCCTTCCCACGCCCTGGCCCAGCTCCTCCCTGGTGGTGGTTTTGGTGGCACACAGTGTTGGCATAGTGTGGTGCTGGCACCAAGTGTGGTCCGGCAGGTGGCCCCTCTTCATCTATCCTAAGTGTTATGGGCACCAGGGCACCTGCTGCCCACCTGTGGGGGCATGGGAGGCACTGCCTGCTAATCAGGGCCATCGTTTCCCTGGTGTCCAAGGGTCTGGGTTGGCCAGGGACGAGGAAGGGGGATAGGAGCTTTACATCCAGGCATTGCCCTCTTGATCTCTTGTCCCAGCTCTGACCCTGCAGACTCCAGGATCCCCAACCCCCCAGGCTGAGGTCAGTGGAGTTGTGGGCATGTGGATGTGGGTTATACCATTGATACCATTGTCTGTTCCTCAGAGGTTTGCATCTGGACCTGCTGTGTGCTGTCAATACAGGGAGGGCCACACCCGGCTGATGGTGCAGTGGATTCCAGTCTGGCCACATGGGCCAAGCATCTCCTCTGTGGCCAGAACAGCTGGGCGCCATCCTCCCCATCTCAGAGGTAAGAAGACTGCTGCTGGTCACGCTGTCACTGCTGTGGGCTGTGGGGGCCGATCTTAGGGTTGGGGCTAGAAAAGGGAGTCCTGGGCAGACATCTGGAGAGAGAGGCTTTGCACTGAAGGAGGGGTGGATAAGGGCATTCCTAGGAAGAGGGCCTGAGTTTGAGGCTAGAATTGTGGCACAGGCCAGGTGCCTCTCCTGAGTTCTGGGAGGGAACATGGCTCCTTGTCTGTCATCTCCTGAAGGTCATTGGAAGGATGTGGTTTCAGGGGTGGGTGGTGTGCCTGCAAGGGACAAAACAGCATCCCTTCCCAGCCTCAAGTCCCTGCACCCTCCCCTGGCATGGACAGTCCCTCCTGCAGCCACTGCTGCCAGCAATCCCTGGCAGCCCGAGCATAGCTGGCTGGTGTTGGGCTCTTGGATACACCATTAGCATTGATGCCTTTCAGCCTGGCAGCTGTGGTAGCAGCAGTGCTTCCTGGGAAGAACAGTGACCCAGCAGCTGGGAAGGAGGGAGGTGACTACAGCCCCACCCACCCTACCTGGGACACCAGTGGGACAGGCCGGCAGGCACCCGGTGGGATGTGGCAGGGAGGCAGATGAACAAGGCCGGGCCCAGGTGGCCCTGTGGTCAGGGCTGCCTGTGGTCACACCCACAGCTGGGGGCACCTCAGGTCAAGCCAGGGGGAGGGGAGCAGCCAGAGCCCTTTACTGCCTCATCTCAGGACAGAAGTACTCAGGGCCCAAGGGCTGGTGTGGCCAGATATGCACCCATGCCATCAGCGGCTTGGCACCCACATAGCCTGATGTGTGCAGTGATTCCTTCACACCCCATAGCTGAGCTCACAGGCAGCACTGGCACCAGTCAGTCCTTTGCCAAATGGGGAAACTGAAGCCCTTGCCTGGGTCCCACAGGGACTGTGAGCAAGTAGCACTGGAGTAGGAGAGAGGGAGAGAAGGGTCAGTCCTGTCTCCTGGGGAAGGGGGACTGGTTTGGGGAGTAACTAGCTCATTCATTTGTTCACCTTAGAAAATAATCTTTCATTTCCAATCTCATGTGAACTCCCTGAGGGCAGCACCCAGCACCTGCCAGGGGTAAAGGAAGAGTGCCATGGTGTGGGCAAGGTGAGGCAGCCTCAGCATGGCCTGGGGGATGGGGACTGGGGAGGAGGAACAGATTTAGGGCTTGGAGCATAGGCATGAGCCCCTGACACCCGACAGCCAGCTGTGAATCTCTGCCACCAACAGGTAACCTCGGGTAGGTCTATCCACTCTGTGCTTCTGTTTTCTTGTCAAATAGGGACAATAACCCCACTGCTTCCTAGAGCAGATGTGCCTGGCCCAGAGCTGGAGTGAGTCAGGTCTGCCACCCCCACCCTGCTCCTCCCTGTGTTTAGCACAAGAGTACTAGGAGGCATGGCCCAGACACCCCAGCAGCTGTGGAGGACACAGGAGCCCTGCCAACTAGTCTGGTTCTCAAGGGTTCCATCATCCTTGGCACTGGGGCTTCCTTGAATCCAGGAGGAGCCCTGCCTCCGTCTGATGCTGGCCCGAGGGCCGGTATCCAGCCCCAGGCAAAATCAAACACAGCAAGGAATTGGTGAGGGCAACTCAGGCCTAGGCTGGGATGGGTGAGGCTCCCCTTCCCTCCCTCACACACTAGATCCTCTGCGCTCAGCTTCTTGCACCTCTGCTCCAAGGAGCGAGCCTGAGCTCCTTCTGAGGTGGAAGGAGAGGCTTCTGTGACCATGGCAGCCCAGTCCCCTGAGCCCAGCCTGAGGGCCTCCAGGGTGGACAGGTTGCTGTTCAGGGAAGTCAGGGAAGGGAAGTCAGGGAAGGGCATTTGGTCCCCATTTCCCAGCATCTCTTGCAGGTCACTGTATTAAAGCCTCTGACAAGTCCTGAAGTCCAAAGGCCTCTGACCCGGGGGCTCTCCAAGAATCTGAACACCTTATCTGGGGAACACAGGGAACACTACTTTCAAGCAGCCTTCCCACTCACGGGTGACTCCACAGCTCCTCTGGAGTGAATGTGGGCTCATATCTCACTGTGTGCCCAGCAGTGAGAGGCGCCTGGAGTAATTGCTGAATGTTGGACACCGGCTTCTGGCTCTACTCCACAGACCCCTCTGTGTCCCTCATGTGTCTGGGCAGCTCCCACCCCCCAGCATTCAAATCCACGCATGGATGGGCATGCCCTAAGTGCTGGGCAGGGTGCTGGGGTTCCTACCTTGATGTTGTCCTGCCAGCGGTGTGCTTTCTGGAAGTTCTCTGCAGCATCAGCCAGTCTCTGAGGGACAGAGCACAGGGAGGTCAGAAGCGGAGGAAGGCAGCCTGCCCTATGCCCACCCCAAAGCCTCTCCATCCCCAGCACTCCCTGGGGCCAGGCTGGACTGGTGACTCCCTTCCCCTCATCCTACGAGACCCTCAGAGATTCTCTGCCCCAGACACTCCCCAGCTTGCTGTGTGGGCACCTCCTTGACCACAGCTGGGTCCATGCAGGAAAGGTGAAGCCTGTGCAGTGACCCCAGGGGCATCTCCATGGGACTCCCTGTACTAGGCCAAGCCCTAGTGTCACTCTCTACCCCCGACACACTTGTGTCACCCCAGTGCCAAGAGGAAGCTCCTCTGGAGCTAAGGCTGAGCTGCAAGTTACAAAGTGCTTCACCTTGCCCTGCCCTTCTGACAGCTATCCAGAGCTCCACAGGAGGGGCCCACAGCCCACCCTGTCCATCCAGGCCCATGGGCCCTCTCCCAGACTTCCTGAGCCCCTTCCCACAGGGCTCCCAAGCCCTCTGTCCACAAGAGCCTGTCCTGTTCTTTGGGGCTGGTTCCAGTGGCCTCTTCCAACAAAGCCCCTGTGCCTGAGAGCAGAATGTCCCTCAGGGCATAGCTGTGTGTCTGTCCATCCCACATCTGCCACTGGGCACGCTGGGTGCCAGACTGTGCTGACTGGTGGAGGTGTGGCAGGCCTGGTCCTGCCTCTTGCAGCTCACAGGCACAACCTCGCAGAACCACCATGGCAGGAGAGGTTGAGGGACAGGAAGCGCAGTGCTGTGGGGGCTCGGGACCTCAGGGAAGGCTTGCTGGAGAAGACGCTGGGGCCCGGCCACCCTCTGGGCCTAAGTCCGGGTCACCCAGATGTTCTTATTTGGTACTTTCTAAGGATCCCTTCTCTACAGGAAACCTTGGGGCTCCCAAGGATGGAACTGAGTCTGGCCTCGGGGGCCTTCTGCAGAGCTGAGAGCAGTGATGTCCTGTCAATCATAATGACAACCATCACTATCAACTGGCCACCTACTGCACACTGAACCCTCCCCTGGCCAGTGACTCATGTGCTGTGCACCTTGTACCATTCACAGTGTGCCTGGCATGGAGCCATTGTGGCCCTCCTCAGATGAGGACGGCCAGGCACAGAGACGGCCAGCAGCCTGCCCAAGGTCACATGGTGAGTCCGGCTCAGGCTGGGCCCCGGAGCCCAGCCCTCACCAATGCATTTGTCTTGCTCAGCCCATGACCAAGATCCAAGGACCAGCCTCTGTTGGGCCCACCATGCTCAGTGAGGTGGGTGGCTCTGGTCTCTCACCCCCACCCCACCCTGTCCCACAGTGGGGCAGGCACGTCCCACCTCCGGGCTTACAGCCCTACTCAGAAGGTCCCGCCTCTTGGTATTCAGGACACCTCACCCCCATCCTTGAGTCCAGGCCTGATATGGCATGTGGGCCCCAGAGGGGACGTCCTACTAAAGCCTGTCAGCTGCCCATTAGGGGAAGTGGAAGTCAGGTCATGGAGGCCGGCATTTCCTCCTCTGAAGCATGGACTAGCAGGGCAGGGAGGAAGGTGGGGCCTCCTATGGAGCTGTGGCCTCTGCTCTCCTGGGGCAGAGTGTCACAACCCCATAGTTAGAGGGGCTGTCCAGGGCCATCTCCAGCCCCATTGGGCTGGCTACCCCTCCTCAGGCCAAGAACACTGAGTGGTGGGGGAGGCTATGAGGCTGGGGTCCCGGGAGCAGGGGGAGAAAGTGTCTCTTGGGGTCAAACCCTCTCACCCCACAGAGCTGGGCCCTCCTGGCCTCTGCTTCCCTCTCCTTTGTAGGCTCAGTCCTCTGTCCCCTGCCACCCTTAACTGCAAGGCCTGCTTGGCTGGGACCCACACCCTCCTCTCTCCCCAGCCCAGCCTCACACTCCTAGGGTTTTGGGGGCCCCAGGCCTCTCTACTCCGTGATGCCTCCCATGTCTTGCCTCCAATCCTGGCCCTCCTGAGCTCCTGGACACTTCCCTGGAGTGACCCTCAGACCCACCTGAGCTCAGAGTGCCCCTCTGAGGCAGGCCACCCACCCTGGCCCCTCTGCCTCCTCCATTCCACCCCAGCATCCCTCACACCACCTCCTGTGCACCCCCAGCTCAGGCTCTGTCCTGCCCGGAACCTGCATCCTCTCATCCTCATCACCTATTCTCCACACAACACCTGGAGCCTTTTCTCCAAATGTAGATCTGGTCATGACACCGTCCCCTGTCCCAAAACCCTTCAGTGGTTACCACTTCTCTGCATGTAAAAGGCACAACCTTCTCCAGGTCCTGTAGGGCCCACCTGACTCCTCTTCTTCCTTTTCCATCCTGGAGCCTCCTCTTGACCTAAACCACAAATGCCTGCCCACGCCGACCCCAAACCCAGGGATGGATGAGGCCCCCAATTCATAAGCCTGCAGTGACCTTGTGTAGAGGGCATTACTGTGTGACTTGTACGGTTCGCAATGCTTGTCACCAGTGTTAGGCGAGCACCTGCAGTACAGCAGGTGCCGAGCTCAGTAACTTGGCCCGGAGGCTGTGTAAAGCCTGACGAGGCAGTGTGTGAGTCAAGCCTTTGTCATCACTGTGCCCCTCCTTCCTTACCTGGTGACCTACTACCTTCCCAGGGATGCCAAATCTTCCTCAGAGTGGGGCTCTGTTGAGGCCCCTGTCCTTCCCCAGGGTTGAGACTGGGGCAGAGTGGAGGAAGCAGAGGCGGTCTCTTGCCGCAGAAAAGCCACAGGGTCGATGGGGCTGCAGACGCCACACTGACACTAGTGGGAGTCTCCAGGCTGGGCCATGACCCTGAGGAACTCCTGCCCCT
The DNA here is from genome assembly GCF_000001405.40 of Homo sapiens. NCBI lineage: Eukaryota > Metazoa > Chordata > Mammalia > Primates > Hominidae > Homo > Homo sapiens. Next base: position 50,396,991 of record NC_000003.12, read on the forward strand.
GCCTCTACTCCTGGCTGGGGGGTTCCAGCTCCTTCACCCTCTTAGGGCTCAGCTCTGACCCTGAAACCTTCAGGCCCCAAAACATGGGGGCTACAGGCCCCTCTGGCTCCAGAGCCTAGCAGACAGGGCAAGGGAGACCCAGGGAGGGAGGCCCCAGCTCCTAGCCACCTTGAGCTCATGGAATCCCATGGGCTCAAAGGCTGGGTCAGCCCACTGACTCGTGAATAACGGAGTCGTAATAGCCACAGCAAAAGGATTACTTTTAATCCTCAGTAACGATCAAGCCATTATTATTTTTTCAGTGTTACAGATCAATCAGTCCATCCCTGGGCACTGGACGTGTGGAAACTGTTAAACAGGCAGGCCCGGTGGTGGGGGAGGAAGGGCTAAGGCAGCTGGTGGGGTGCAGTGGAGTGGGCAGGCTTCGGCCACAAGGTCCCATCAGGCCTGAGGATGAGAGGACTGGGACCACCACTGGTGTGCATGAGGGGCCCTGAGCAGAGATCAGAGCCTGGACCTTGAAGCCCCCGAGTCCTGGCCTGGGTTCAAAGCTTGACTTTCTTGGAGCAGGGTCTTCACCACTCTGGTCCTCAACATCCTGCCTATAAACTGGACATAGTAACTGCACCCACTCAGGGTGGCTAGGCTCTTGGCAGCCCCCTTCCTCCAACCCTCAGCAGCTGCACATAGGCAGCCAGTCCCGTGAGGTTTCTCTCACTGGCTCTTGCCCAGCTCTGGGCCCTGCTGCTATCTGCTCTTTCTGCCTGGTTAGCCCTATCAGACTGTGTTACCTCCCCTGGAAACTTCCTTTTGCCTTTAACCAGCCCTCTGGACAAGGTGGGCTTTACTCCCCTCCGCCAAGGAGGACATGTCCTGAGGCAGGGATCTCCAAGCTTAGCCCCACCTACCTGGCCCAGGCTGAGCACCCAGACCTTGGGCTCCTGTCCCCATAGAGCTGACAATAGTCAGGCCTGCTGAGGGCTGGCAGGGAGACCGTGCCCACCCTGCCCCACCCCTGGAGGTTCATCCCTCCTAGCACTTCCCTTCTACCTCTCCCTGGTCCTCTTGATGGTTTGGGGACAGGCTGGAAGGGGCAAGAAACTGAGGCCCAGAGGCGAGGGAAGAACCTATTGGGATACCACGCAGGGCAGGGACAGGGTGCCTGTCTCTGGAGTGCCTGCCTGTCTTGGGGAGATGCACTCCATTCCTAGCCCTGACCCCAAGTGCCTGTCCCCCTGGGAGTGGTTCCTTGCTTGGGCTCTGGGCTCTGCTCCTGGAGGTGCCTGCAGTCTCTGGTCGCCCTGCTACCAGGCCCTGCACATGCTGCTCCCTCCCAGGCCACTCCTGCCCAGACTCCTCTAGCCACATCCACTTCCTGACCCTGACACTCAGCGAACCCTCTTCCATGTCTGCTTTCCCCTTGAGCACTGGGTTTGGTGGGTAAGTGTCTTGTGGCTGTCAAGTTTATGGTAACCTGGCCCTGGGCATACAGTAGATGCACAGTGAATGTCTGCTAAATGAAAACTGGGTGTCTCTGGACCTGTGTAGAGGCCTGGGCTTGAGTCTGGCCTGGCTCTGCCCAGCCAGTTGTGTGATCCTGGGTGTGTGGTTTAACCTCTCAGAGTCTATTTTCTTCAGCACATCCTGGGGGGTAAGGGCTGCCCATGGCGATGCGGCTATGAAGTCACTGATGGTGCCTTGCCTGGCCCGTGACGTCCCCATCATGGCCAGGGTATTGGAGGGAACCTCAGTGGGACTGCTGAGTGGGGATGCTCACACCCAAGTCCATCATGATAACAGCAGGCATTTCAGAGGCAATTATCAGAGAGTTTCACTTAACAATCAATTTCCCTCAGCTCTGGGAACCATTCTTACAGGAAAATGCAAGAAAGAGGAGGACTCGTCGTGCACTGGGCTGGGGACAATACTCCCCTGGGAGCAGCCCTGCACAGATACCTGCAAATCTCACTATGTTAAACAGCTTTCAATTGCAGTGGGAGCTGAGGCAGGCAAGAACCTGAGATCAGGGACCTGGGGCCAGGATGGGCACCCCTCAGAGGCCAACACCTGGGATAGGAAGGCCCCCTGCATGCCAGGAGGGGAGGGCCTTGGGTGATGGGGGGCTGGGGCTCTTGGGTGCCCCCACCTTCTTAGATGGCCTGCTCCTCCCCACCCCCAGGCTAGGTGCTCCACACTTCTCCTTGGCCTCCTCTCCTCACCAGCCCTCACCTGGGAGTCCCTCCCTGCCCAGTGCTGGTGGCCCAGAAGGGTCTGAGGAGCAACTGCCCATCAAACAGGACTTTTTCTGCACAGCCCAGAGGGAAAGGCTGGAAGAGTTCTTTGGTCTTAATTAGTTATGTTTACTCCCACTTCCCAGAGGACATGAGAGGCTTAGAAGAAAAGGCTCTGAACCCATGGGGTGCAGGATGTTGAGATCTAGGGCACTGAGGGCTGAGCCAGGCAGAAGCTGTGATGGAGCGTGGGCTCTGGGGTGGAGGCTGGGGGTAGTATGCCCTGAGAATGTTGCCGAGGGCTGCAAGGAAGGTAGCAATGACAGGATATCACCAGGTGTGGTCCAGTGCCTACCCTGGGTGAGGGCTTCACTGCTGCCTCCCCAGCAAGACTCACGAGAAGTAGATTCTCCTGCTCCCCTCCTTTCACAGCCGAGGGGATTGAGGCTCAAAGCATTAGTGTAGCTGCCCCAGACCCCTAGGTAGGAAGAGGGGGCATCAAACCCAGGTTCGCCTGGTGGTAAAGCCCAGCAGTATTGGACAGTGACTGTTCCAGGAAAGGACCATCCCTGGCCAGGTGGGGCCTGGCTGGTTGGACTCAGGTCCCTCCTGCCACCCCTTAGAGTGGTCCCTTTGCCCTTCTCCTAGGAGAGAGGATCAGTAACTGGCCTCCCAGCTGTCCCTCCGAGTTGCCCCCACAAGCCTTGGTATCACTGGATCCAGGCCACGGGAGGGGACAAGTACCAGGATGCCCAGCAGCCCCTGCCTAGCCCAGCACTGGCCCCATTGCCACCCGTCTTCCCTCCCAACTTGTGGGTCCTGCATTAGCTGTGTATTGTGCACAGATAGATACTAAATACAGATTTCCAATTTCCAGAGCTGTTATGGTCTAATGAGTAAATAATATACATATTTAAAACTGTCTAAAAACATATCTGCATAATTAAAATATCTGCATAATAATGAAGCAAGATGCAGCTCTGCCAGGGGGGAGCTGGAGCCCCAGGGCTGACAGTAGGGGCAGAAGTGCAGGTGGGGTTAGGGGGCCCTGGCCCTGTGGGCCTCTGCTGCTGCTGCTTCGGCCTTGAGCAGACATTTGTCTGTCCATCCACCTCCTGCTCCAAGCAGGTGCGTCCACAGTCAGGGACCAAAAGAATCCCCTCAGCCCTGTCCTGGCACCACTCGTGGTCTGAGGGAGGCTTTGTGTGGACAGACAGTGCCTGCTACATGCATGACGGCCACCTCAGCGACTTTGTGGCCCTCACATGATGTGCTCAGAGCTTTATGGACACAGTCTCACTCACTACAACCTTCTGAGGGCATGTCTTGCCCCGACCCCACATTTTGCTGGGTTCTGAGGGATGAAGAGAAATGCAGCAGGATGGGCAGTGAGGGCCGAGCAGGGTCCGTGACTTACGTGCTGAGGGTGATGGAGACACGCCAGTGGCTGTGCTTTCCTGTCGGGTGCACTGTTGACATGCATGCCTCCTGGGACAGGACGGGCACCCAGCCTTACCCGTCCCTCAAGGCCCCTTCCTTCGCCCCTTGGCGCATCTACGCTGGACACACTTGGCTCCTGTCTCATCTTTATTTTTTCCTTAACAAATTTGTTATAGTTTTTATTAACTAATTATTATAAGACAAGGTCTCTCTATGTTGCCCAGGCTGGTCTTGAACTCTTGACCTCAAGTGATCCTCCTGCCTCGGCCTCCCAAAGTGCTGGGATTACAGGCGTGAGCCACCGCGCCTGGCCCATGGCACATCGTAAGGTTCAAACCTACTCTTTTTGTATTAACCATGTTTACACCTTAAAGATAAAATGACCACCAGAGTAACAAAAAACACTGAAACCCCAGACCACAATTCCAGCAAACAGAAGCCTGCAAGGAAAATAAACATTTCTGGCACAGAGGGTGCCTCAGGGGAAGGCTGGCATGGGAGGCCATCACCGCTGTTGGCAGCAACAGGCTCCCTGACCTTTTCCCTCACAGGACTCATGCGTCTTCTGCAAATTGATAAAAAAAATTAGTAAAATGGATTTTTTTTTTAATTTAAAAAAGGTCAGAATCCATGTAACAGGGAAAAACTCATTCGAGTTGTGGTCTCCCTCTGCAGCAGGGCAGCCGCCACTCCACCCAAGTCCAGGCTTGACACCTCCCTGTGGGTGTCACAGGCTTGGTAATCAGTGCCTGCACCCCCTCAGTCCAGCCTGGAAGGGGCAGGCTGTGCTTCAATTTCCTAGGAAAAATATGAAGAAATGAGGGGTGGCCTGTGATGGAGAAGCAGAGGGAATGACTGTGACCAGCCAGGGTGGGGAGCCTGGTATCCCAGATGCTGGAATTTCAGGTCAGACAGAATTTCCCAGAACATCCTGGGCTCCCAAGGATCCTTGCTATGTTGTATTTTGCCAAGAGAGGACACTTAAAAAAACTCCCACTCTCTCTTATTACTGTTATGTTACCAAAAAGTGAACGTTTTATTTTTATTTTCAGTTTTGTTTTTTTTGAGATGGAGTCTTGCTCTGTTGCCCAGGCTGGAGTGCAGTGGTGCGATCTGAGCTCAATGCAACCTCTGCCTCCTGGGTTCAGGCGATTCTCCTGCCTCAGCCTCCCGAGTAGCTACAGGCGCCCACCACCACGCTTGGATAATTTTTGTATTTTTAGTTTCACCATGTGGCAACAGGGTTTCACCATGTTGCCCAGGCTGGTCTTGAACTCCTGACCTCAAGTCATCCGCCTGCCTTGGCCTCCCAAAGTGCTGGGATTACAGTTGTGAGCCACTGCATCCGGCCAAAGTGGACGTTTTAACATCAAGAGGAGGAAGGCCATGAGCTCTGGGATCCCTTCCCAAGGAAGTAAAGGAAGTGGCACTCACAGGTGGTAACAAGTATTCCACTGGCTTTCATTGCTTTTTTGCTTTAAACTGGAACCACAATCAATACAGAAAGAGGTCGGGTGTGTCCTGGGACAGGAGCCAAATGTGTCCAGTGTGAACAGGGAGAGGGTGAGGCAAGGGGCCTCTGTGGCTGGGCTGAGCATTTGCAGAAACCAGCTTGAATTTACAGACCAGTTTTCTGGAAATGGGAGTGAAACCCACCCTCTAGAGATTTTTACTCTGCAGCAGCAGGCTGACTCAGGAGGACGTGTGGGTGGACCTGGACAACCACGTGCTGCAGGAAAGGTCTGGTCTCAGGGCTGCAGGTCTCTGCCTTACCCAGTCCCCTGCTGAGCTCCCAGGTCTCCTGTTGAGCACTTGCAAGAGATGCCCCAATGAGAAATAAACCAATACATGCAACAAACTGCTTCAGGTCCACATTTGAACTGTGGCTTCAGAGCCCAGCCATATGAAGGCACCTCACCCTCAAGGAACCCAGAGCTGAAGGCTACTCCAGGCTGCTGGGGCTCTTTCCAAGATATTGCCCTGCTCAGCCCCATCCCACAGGGGCTCAAACGGGTGGGAATCCACCAACCTAGCTGGCACCCCAGCATGAAACTTACCCATTTCTGCAGGTCAGTCAGTCCCTGGCAACCCAGGTGGAATTTATCAGAATTCTGCCAGTTTTGTGTCAGTTTCCCTCCCCCTAAATTATGATCCATAATTCATCAACATTTCTCTCATCCTTAGAAAAAACCATGCAGATAGCATTGGGTGAGGGTACCCATCCAGGGGCCGTCGGCCACTCTGGCTAGGGGAGCAGGGACACATCCTTATCTGAGTGCTCTGTGGGGCATGGTGCTGCCTCCTGTCCCCTCATCAGTCCCCATTCTAGAGATATGTGTGGGCACGGGGGTGGTCGTTGAGTGTGACAGTGCCCTCCTCCCTTGTCCAGCCACAGAGGCCAAGGTACCCAAGTTCCTAGGGCTTGGCAATTGACCCAGCACATAATTTGGGGAGCACTGCCCTCACCTCTCTGTACCTTGATCTCTCATCTATAACAGGGAGGGACCAAAACACTGCCAGGGCCCCTCCCAGGGCTGTGAGGATGTGGATGGAGAGCAGGGCATAGACAGCGAACGGGATGGGGACTCACTTTGGAAACTGGAGACACAACTCCAGGTTCTGGGTTGCTCCTTCCCTTACCTCACTCCAGGGGCCTCCTGACTGGTTCCCCCTCCCCCAAACTCAGCTTCTCTCTAGGGCCTTCTAAACTTGGCCTGACCTGTTTTCTTCTTCAGTTTATGCCAACGGGCTGCCCTTCTCCTCAGCACCAACTTCGCTGGAGATCTTGTTCATTACCCCCCTGCAGCCCTGCTTGGCTTCCAGCCCTACTCCCATGACCCCTTCCTTGCCTTCCTGACCAGACCTCTCCCAAGCCCTGCAACCCACCTTCAGACTCCCAACCAAAGCTGGTTATCATGAACTCATCTGCCCCAGCCCCCACACCTTCAGGTTTCCCCATCAAGTTCTGTGACCTGTCTGTGTTTCCCGGATGCCTGGACCACTCCTCCCTTCCTAACATTATCCTTTACCAGGCTCTGCCAACCTCATCTCTCTTCTACCACACTGACATTGAAGTTTGCCTTCCTGCCATGCTGCGGTTCCAAAGCCTTGTTTGTGCTGTATCCCAAGCCTGGAGTGTCCTTTCTCATCCCCTCCCCTGGCTAGCTCCTCCTCATCCTGTAGGAGCCACTGCTCTTCTGCCTCCTCCAGGAATCCTGGTGCCCTGTAGGGCTGGGTTCCCACAATTGCCCTGGGGTTTCCATCACTGCATGTGCCTGATTCCCTCCCAGATGTGGTCCCTTGAAGGCAGGGACTTGATTCATGGATCTGTGTGGCCCCAGTGCTGGGCAAGCCAGCTCAGTGAGGAAATGCTAAGTGACCTCAGGCTCCCATCACAGTCAAGGGGTCAGGGGGTGGATCAGGAGTTGCCCTTGGGGATCTGCTGGTTTGGAGGCCCTGGGTTTCATTGGGATAGAGATGGCAGAAACCCGGTCAGAAATGGTACTGATGACAGAGAATAGGGATCCAAGATGGTGTGGGGGGTGAAGGTGTGAGTGGGGTGAGGCTGAATCTAAGTACAGGCCTCACTGTGTTCTCCACGAAGAGGCATGCGAGGGGCAGCCTCTGGGGTCTGAACTGCTGAAGTCTGCTCTCCAGGACCACAACTCCACTCTGGACCTTGTGAAAATGTTACCCATTAGCCCCACCCAGCTGCTGCCAGGTCAGTAATAACATGGTTATTAGCAGAAGTCCCCGGGGCTCTGCTGGAATGAGAGGCAGAGGGTGGTGGACAGGAGTGCCTCATCTGGCCAGGTCAGCCAGGAGCTGAGTCCCCAGGGAGCTCAGCACCCCTGCCCTGGTGCCAGATCAGTGCATTCTCCTGACATGCCCCAACATCCTCCTCCAAGAAGCCTTCTCAGATGCCTCTATGCCCACCATGGCTCAGGGGCAGGACATGGGAGGGTGACAGTTCCCATGGGAAGAGGTTGATATGACTCTCCTTCCTTCCTGTCAACACATGTTTACTGAGCACCTACTGTGTGCAGTAAACTGGCCTGAGGAGGTCAGTGAGCATTACAGACATAGCCCTGCTCTTACGTGGGGTGCCAGCAGTAAGTTCTTCTTTATAGTCCACCTAACTTCTTCCCACTGCAATTCAGTCCCACTGCCCTGAGCAGAGAACTTGCTAGAGGCCTCTACAGGAAGAGCTGCCTGGAATGGCACCGTCACTGGAAGAATTTAGGGTGCTAGGAAGCTCCCCTGCATGGGAATGTATTCCCACCTGAAAGCTGAGAGTGAGACCCCACCCCAGCTAGAACAAGAGAGCCTGAGTCCCAGCCCAACCTCCAGGCTCCCTTCCCATGATGTTATTTTTATACTTTTTCCTAAAACACAGCCTAAGCGGGCCCTTCTCAGCTCTATTAACATTAGGAATCTAATCAGTAATCAGACAGCTCATAATTTTCTGATTAGCTTTGATTAGGCCCAACCTCAGGAGAAGGAGTGGGACAGTGAAGAGGGAGGTGGGGACAAAAGGGCCCTGAAATGTGCCCGATGGGGCACTGGTTGGGCTGGGGGTGGAGGGTAGTGGAGAAGAACCTCTAGCCCCATTGTTGCCTGTTTTGGGGAAGGGACGTGGAATGGAGTCGTGGGTTGCACTGGGTCAAACAGGTTGCAGGGTCAGAGAGCAAGGGCCGTGGTGGGGAGGGGGGTGGGGGCGAGCCCAGCCCACCTAGGCAGCAGGAACACCAGAGCAAGCAGCTTGGGCGAAGACTTTCAGCACCATGGACAGAGGTAGGGAGGAGCGTCAGGGCTGGGTTTGGGCAACCACCTGGGTGTTATCTTGCCCAGGCCCCCTCATTCCTCGGTGGCACTCAAGGAATGATCCCAGGCATAACCTTGAGTAATGGTGACAGTGACAGAAACGGTAGGTCTGCTCAGTGGGCTGAAATATGTGACCTTGGACCTGGAGAACTGGCCCTGGGCACTCTTACTAAACACACCACAGGCAGGGCCTGCCTTGACAATCATCCCTTCAAGGTGAAGACAACAAGGTCAGGGGCCCACTGGCCCCCCCATACAAAGGGGGAACTGAGGCCTGGAGGGACTGTCAGGCCACTGTACCATTAGGGACAGAGCTTGGACCTGTACTGAGGCATCCCAGGCCAGGGCCAGATCTCTCTCCTGTTTAAGGCCTGTTTGTAGCTTTTGCATCACATGCTCAGATGGAACCATGGTGCTAGCCAAACCAGACTTCCTAGGCCTGCCACTCATGCACTCTGACCCCTGCTCTGACCCTGTTCCTGGCGATCATGAGAACTCTCCAATCTCTACCCCCTATCCATTGCCCTTCCCCACAGATTCAGACTTCTTGTAGCCACATCCTGGAGCCCTATTCAGGTCAGAGTCAGAGTGGCTCTGCCCCTGCCCCCTGGTCTGGGATCACAGGTCATTGCCCTTTGTCAGATGCAGCCATCCAGGTGACCGCTAATGAAATACACGAACCCATTGGAGAAGACATGCACAGCTAATGCCATGCAAATTGGCACAGAGGCAATCAGCCTGACTCTAAAAGCTGCCCCACTGGCCGCAGGCTGGCTCATTGTCTTTTCTGTCAATTTGCATCTCATTACCCAGAAGGCTGTGCTCACTGGAGGTTAAAAGAAAAAAAGCACCAAGCAAGCCCCACTGTGTCCTGCCTCCAGCAAGGGCAAAGCCCACGAGTGGGACAGGGCTGCCTGGAGGACTGCCCCTCAGAGGTACACTCCACAGGGAGCCCCCCATCAGCCCTATCACCCCCATCACCCACCATCAATATTATCCCTGCACCACCAGAATGCTACTCCATTCACCATCATCCCCATCATCACTGTTGTTCCCCCCACTTAACCAGCACCAATGTCCCCATGTTCACTGCCAACATCCTCCCCATCACCATTGCCAATATTACTCCATCATCATCAGTGTTACTCCCATCACCATCAGCTCCACCATCACTACCTTCATCCCCATCACCATAGTCATCACTTCCATCATCACCATCTTCATCTACCACCATCAACTCTACTGCCAACATCACTTCCATCACCACCTTTACCATCACTGTCACCACTACGACCATCACCCCACTGTGGTCACCTCTGCTAGTGCTCATGTCTCCTGGTAATCACCACTACCACTGTGCTCACTGCTACCTGCACCATCACCTCTGTATCCCTGAGAAGAGTCTGATGAAGAGACAGAGACAACTCATTCTTCACCTTTCTCTGTCCATCACCCTCCAGCATCATCAGAGGGTTGGGGAACCTGTAAACAAATGACTCAGTGACCAGAGAGCTCATAATCAACCTGGATATTGGTGCTTGTATCTAGGTACCTTGACCTAGGTGCTTGATCTAGGTATCTGTGACCTTGGACATGGAGAACTGGCCCTGGGCACTCTTACTAAACACACCACAGGCAGGGTCTGCCTTGATGATCATCCCTTCAAGGTGAAGACAACGAGGTCAGGGGCCCACTGGCCCCCCTATACAAAGGGGGAGCTGAGGCCTGGAAGGACTGTCAGGCCACTGTACCATTAGGGACAGAGCCTGGACCTGTACTGAGGCATCACAGGTCAGGGCCAGATCTCTCTCCTGTTTAAGGCCTGTTTGTGGCTTTTGCATCACATGCTCAGATGGAACCATGGTGCTGGCCAAATTAGACTTCCTAGGCCTGCCACTCGTGGGCTCTGACCCCTGCTCTGACCCTGTTCCTGGCGATCATGAGGGCTTCAGGAGGAAAGCCCTCAAGGCCAGGGGGTGGAATGGGTGCTTGTCCACTCTACCAGGGCCCCTGAAGAGACTGGGGCTTAGCTTACTCTCCTGGTTCTAGTAGGACCTGGGACTGGGCAGACAGTGACCAGCAGCCACAGTACCCCATGGGGCAGAGCCAGGAGCTGCATGTGTAATGCACAGAACTGATACCATTCTCTGAATCCTGATAACCTCCTCCCTAACACGGGGCTTCTACTAGTCCCAGCCTCATAAGACTGTGAGGATGAAGGCAGACATGAGAGGAGAACAGTGAGCATCCAAGGCTGTCTCAAAGGGCACATAAACCCTATGGGAGAGGAGTATGGTTAGGCTAAGCCAGGTGGGCTTTGGGAAAGGGAGCACCAGGCAAAACTTGAAGGGCAAGGTCAGATGAAGGGGATAAGGGAAGTAATGCCCAGAGGGCAAAGATGTGGGGGTAGGAAGGAGGGCAGTGGAGGCCAGGGGAGCTGATTTAGGCCTTCGATTCTCCTGGGCCTCCCTGGACTCAGGGATTGGTGCGGTAGGTGTTTGTGCTTATGAACATGGCCCAGCCTCTTCCACAGGACCTCATTTCATTATCTGCACCTTGCTTCACACACATGCTTCCAAAAAGCCCCAAGAAGCCCAATCATTATTCCCATTCCCCCGACGAGGTCACCAAGGCTCAGAGAGGGTGACTCACCCACCCAAGACCACACAATGATCAAATGGCAGAGCTCAAACTGAATCCAGCTTTGTCCATGCCAGGGATGGGCTCTGACAACTCCCTGTGTCCCTGGGCAGCAAGGCGGGATATGAACCTAGGCCAAGACAAAGCCAGGGCTCCCTGCACAGGTCATCCAGAAGAGTGGGAGCAGGAGCCAGACTCTTCCAGCTAGGCTGTCACTCTGCTGGATGTGGACGCCTGAGGCTCCACCTTGTCGCTGCCCACCAGCTTTGGGACACAAAGCCAAGCACTGGTTGGCCCGGGGATGATGCTGAGGGCCCAGGCAGAGGTGACAGGCAGACAAAGGGCTGGAGGTGGTGGGCAGGGAGGGCACAGCCTGGCTGCCAGGTGGAAATGCCCAGGGTAAGAGCTGCTCTGAATACTGGCTGCATCCTGCTGCTGCAATCAGCCTCGACACTTGGTTATTACGAGGAGTAAAGGCGGCCAGTGGGACAGCTGGAGCCGTGGTGACAACATTTAAGGCGTTTGTCAGAGCCGTGGGACACGGACTGCCAGGCGCTAATGGCTTCTGCTTGCTGCTGCCAAGTGAGAGGAGGGTGGGCAGGCGGAGGCGGCCTTGCTCCTGCCTGGGCCCAGGCCTACCCCACACTGCACAGCCACTCCACGACAGGTAGGGCCCACCTGGGCCTCACAGATGCCTAGCAACGGCCACAGAGCCATGGCACCAACTGGAGAGGGCAGGACAGCAGTCGTGTACATGTGCCTGCAATATTTGGGGCATCGTTGCCGCCTCTCCCTTCATTCAGGCTGCAGTCTCTCTCCCCTGGGACAAGGGTCTGTTATCCACTACACCATCTCCCAGGAAAGGGACCCCTGAATCCCAGCTGGCTTAGCCCCCGACCTCCTCAGCCCATTGGGCTGGACTTTCTGAGGGAGAGACCCTTCTAGTGATGGATCCACACTGGATTCAGATCTACCCTGAGTGATTTTGGTTTTCCTGGCCTCAGTTTTTCTCCCCGCAAAATGGGAAAATGACACCATCCACCCAGGCAGACTGGCCACATTAATGATAAAACAGAGGAACGCTGAAGTGCTGGCCACATGGAGGCCGACAGCACTTGGGCTCATGAGGAAGGGCTGGAGGTAGAGTCAGACAACACCCTGGAAGTGGAGTGTGGACCCTGGGGGCTGCCTGAAGGTGGGGGCAGCCTGGAGGAGGCAGCAGAGCAAGCTGCAGGGAAGGTTCAGGGGTTTTCCAGGGAGAAAAGCCCCATGGCTGGTTGACCAAGTAGGGCTTTGAACAAAAAGTGCTCCTGAAATATATGGGTTGGCAAGGAATTCCTGCACCTGCAGAGCCCCTGTAGGACCCAGCACCAGCACCGCCTGTGCTGCACACGGAGCTGTCATCGTGGGCGATGCCACTGAGCACTTGCTGTGGCCAGCATCGCTCATTAATCCCTACAGCAGCCCCTGCAAAGCAGGTCTCATTTCTACACCATTTTGCAGATGAGGAAACTGAGTTCAGAGGTGGTTCCTCAGCTTATCTGTGGCCACGGCTCTCTGAGGGCAGGGTGGAAGGTTGAACCTGGGCTGTGTCATCAAGTCCCCCTCCCCTACTTGCCGATTAGCCCAGGAGACACCCTGAGCCCTCTCTGAGGAGGAAGTGGGCCTCTGGCTGGCTGTGGATCAGACAGCGTGGAGTGGGAGACACTGTGTGGCTGGGGATGGACCCAGCGGGCACGAGGAGACCTGAGAGGGTCCAAGCTCTGCCTCAGATTCCCTCCACGATCTCAGGGCACTTGTCTTCCCATGTGGCCTTGGAGTTCTTGCTACTTTCCCAGAGCATAGACTGAGGCCAGAGGAGGCAGGAGGGGTCCTTGAAGAAGGCAGGGAGTTGTATACACTCCCCAAGGCCACCCAGCGAGCTCTGGCCCCCAAGAACCCTCTTCTACCTGTGGTTAGCCTGCTGCCAGGCTCAGGTCAAGCCCACATGGCATCAGTGCTGGGGACACTGCTGGGGGTCAGTGTTGAGCCCAGTGACCCTTTGGGGGCGGCTGTGCTTGGCCCTGCCTAGATCAAAGACTGTTGTCTGGAAAAAGGGCAGGGCAGAAACTCTGGGACAGGACCATCCCCTCAGAAGGCTGGGCAGACCCCAGGGCCACTCTTGCATAGAAAGGCTGACAGAAGTTCTGTTGTGAGCCATCCTCACTCATTCTCACAGGTGAAGAAACCGAGGCTCTGCAGAAGGGGGATCCCCTAGTGTGAGCAGGAGGCAGTGAGGCTAAGCACAGAGCATGCTCACTACCTTGGGGTTGGTGTCCCTTCCCCGAACCCACAGAGCTGGGTGCTCCCTGGGATGGGGGGGGGGGTGTTGTCTTTGTGCCCCAGAGTCAGCCCAGCCTCAACCCACACAAGGTATGCAAGGCCTCTGGGCCACCTGATTCCCAGCCCACTGCTCTGCCTGGCCCAGGCCTGCCAGCCCACTCCTGGGTTGAGCTCTTTTCAGCACTCCAGAGTCCTATGTTGCTCTCCTGCCCACAAGGCCACTCCGCTGCAGGACTCCTCCAAGGGAAAGGGGGTAAGTGGGACCCCTGTGACCAGGCCTCTTGGGTGTCCACGGAGGGAGCTGTTCCAAACAAGGTGATGTCAGAGGTCTGTGGCTTTAGTGGGAGTGGGTGAGGAGGTTTCTTCCATCTGACTTTGAGGTCAACAGCTTTGAAATCCTGGGGGTGGAGGGCCTGGAGTTAGAGAAGGAGGATGTGTGTGTGTGTACATAAACACATGTGCACATGTGCAGACATGGGAAAGCACATCCATGCTGCCAACATGTGCTCAGGCACACGTGCATATGGTGTCTGGGTCCTTGCTTTTGGTTCACCAACAACTTTAACATCCAGAACTCCCCTCCTGAGGCACAGGCAGGGAAGGGCTGTTCCTGTTGGGGCTGTGTGTGGGGTGGCTCACTGGGCTGTGGCTCCAGGACCTATAGGCTCCACCACCTGCCCACTCATGCCTGGCCAAATGGAGCTTCTTGGCTATGACCTGTCTGGCCCTCACCCAGGGGACCGCTCCTCAAATGTGCCCTCAATTTGTTCATTGCTTCACCTCCCTCCCAGCCCTCACACCAGCCTGTGATCATTTTGTTTTGTGTTATCTCAACCAACACTACAGTGTGGAATAAAAGGAAAGGGCCTCAGTCTCCAGGGCTTTTCTTCTTTCTGCTACCATGTCCGTGGTCTGCACTTGGTGCTAGAGACATAGGATGAGTCAGATCTGGCCCCACCAGAGTGGAGGGGAGGGGCTTCCGCTTGTCTCCATGCTCACTCTCCCCCAGCTCCATTCCAGACACAGTGCAGCCAATACCAGGCTAGACCAAGGAAATCTTGTGCGCCAGCTCCCAACCGACTGTCCACCAGATGCTTTTGTGATTCTAGTTTTCACTTATGGGTACCTGTTGTCCATATGTGACTGTCACAATCATAGGGGCACAAGGCTGGTGCTACTTAATCCATTTTTCAGAAGGAGGAAGCTCAAAACAATGTAGTGAGTGCTCCAAGTCCACAAACCTGGCAGAAGGAGAAGCTGGAGCCCACACCTAAGTCTGTTCAGCTGCTGAGCCCAGGCCTTCCAAGCTGCAGCCTGAGATGGTCACACCTGTGTGACCAGGACTCCCAGCACTGCCAGCAGCCTCTGCCTGTGGCCCCTGGGAAAGAACGAATGGGGCTCTGAGGCTTGGGGAGGAGCAACATGCCCAGGGTCACACTACAGTCCAGGTGCCAGCTCCCAGACCCTGCTCCTAGCAAAGGTGCATGGGCTGAGGGGCACCATCCTGGAAATCCCCCCACAACCCCCAAACACCTTCCCATGGCAAGCCACGCTGGGCTTCTCCTCTGGTTAGAACACAAAACACTGGGTAGGTCTCCCTTGACTTCCAGGAGGCTCAGGGTGAGCCCATGGGCTCAGCTAGAGCAAGTGCCTAGTCTGCAGGCTGCTCACCTCGGCCTCTGCCCCGTCATTGTTACTCATATTCTGCAATTTTACTGGATGTGCTTTTGAGAAGAGCTAATTAATACTTTGCCAAATGAGTTGGGGAATCAACCAAATTAAGCTATCTCTGCCCACAACCCCCACATCTGGGCAGGGTGGGTTGCCCTGTGAGGCTAGGCTGGCTGTGGGCCCTGCTCTGAGCCACCACCCCAATGGTGGGCAGGCCAGCATCTGGCAGGCGCAGCCGTCTCCCTGGAAAACGAGACATTTCTTATTGAGATAACGAATCGCTCCATTTAGATCCAAATTAACCTCCCCCAATTACCCCATTTTCTACCACATTTCACCAGATCGAAATCCCCTTCTGCCTGCACAGTCACGTGCTGAGCCCCTCCTTGCTCCCAGGTCTCGTGCATCCCAAAGCCATGGGCACTCAACAGCCCTAGGCGGCCAGCAGGCGCCTTCCCTCATTGGCCATGTTTTTCTTTTCTTTTTTTTGCAGGGGGTGGGGAGGGAGAGGATAGGGGTGGGGGAGGCTTGATGCAGCTGCTGCTCTGAGGAGTGGGAATTTCTATTTTATTTTTTTAGCTCGTTCTTTGAAATAAGGATGCAATATGGGATCAATTTTTGATGACAGTGAAGTAAAAGGGGAAAACAGTAGCAATTTTCTTTTCTGAACATGCCCTATTTAATGGAAGGATGTCACCGTGGAGTTTTATCTGGAGGGGAGAGGGCCTGGTTGTCAGGGACTCATGGTCAGAGATGTCTGGCACCATCTCAGCCTGGGGGGGTGCTGGGCACCCCCTCCCTGGTCTCCCGGTGCCCTCTATTAGGGTGACTGCCAGGGCCCAGGACTTGGGACAGGGAGAGGCCGAGTCTCCATCTTCCCTCACCTGGCACGAGGGTGGACCCTCCCCACCTTGTGCTCTGCTGGTCTCAGGCTGCATGAGGAGTCTAGAGCTAGGGCCCCAGGGGATCAGTGTGAATTAGGGTTATAAAATCCCACCCAGCTGCTGCTGCCGCTGCCACCTCTGTGTTAAACCTAGGAAGCGGAGCTGGTTGGGGTAGGGGGGTGGTGGTGGAGCATGAGGAGGGGGAAGGGAGAGGCCTGAATCCTGAGCTGGCCAGGACTGGGGGCAGTCAGGGTATCTGGTGCCTTGTCTCAGGGCTCAGGAAGGAGAGATGGGGGTAAGAATAGGGCAGAAGTGAGGGTGTTCCTCAGTGGGGGTGGTTTTCAGAGAATACTGCAGGGGGAACTGTTGCCTCTTCTACCAACTCTCTCCAACCCCTGACCCTCAGCCCTGGGTCAGAGACCATTAACTGGAATTGGGCCATGGCTGTGTGGAGTCAGGAGGCCTCTGGACCAAGCACTGCGGGACTCTTGAGGCCTCTGCTGGGAGGGTGGGATGCTTCCCCGTTGTAAGTTGCCCCAAGTGAGGTTGAGGTCCCTAGGCTGGCTGAGCATGGTGGCTCACCCCTGTAATCCCAGCACTTTGGGAGGCTGAGGTGGGTGGATCACTTGAGGCCAGGAGTTCGAGACCAGACTGGCCAACATGGCGAAACCCCAACTCTACTAAAAATACATAAATTAGCCGGGTGTGGTGACGCACGCCTGTAATCCCAGTTACTTGGGAGGATGAGGCAGGAGAGTCACTTGACTTTGGGAGGCAGAGGTTGCAGTGAGCCGAGACCGTGCCACTGCATTCTAACTTGGGTGACAGATTGAGACTCCGTCTCAAAAAATAAATAAATAAAAGGCTCCTCAGCTGCATGAAGCAGAAGCCAGGGTTTCGGTTGCCAGGGCCCCATTTCCCCCATGAAACCCACCCCCCTAGTCAGTTTGCCATGCAGCCCCCTTGAAACCTGGGACATCCCTAAAGTAGCTGAGCCAGTCTTGGCCCATTCCTTCTGATGTCTAGTGCCCTCTGGCCATCTGTCTTCCAAAGCCTCCTTTACCTTGCAGTGCAGGGACAGAAATGAGTTAGATAGAACCATACCTCTGAGGCCCATGCAGCACAGCTACAGACATCTCATTCACAGATGCATGCAGTCACGCCAGGCAGCTCTGGACCCGCAAAAACAGCACACAGTCATGCCCAACCCCCACAGGCCCACACAGAGCCCAAGGTTAGAGAGCCACCGAGCCACATACCCGCACCGTGCAAGCGTGGCCAAGCCCAGGTATGGTCCTTACAGTGAACAGCTCTGCCTTCACACAGGGAGAAAACCACTGGGGTCTCTGCAGTCTTCTCATCCACAACCTGTGGACTCTCTAAACAAACAAGCAATTTAAGACCCCAAAAATACCTTCCAGAGTCCTCAACATGAGGTCAAAGCAGGGCTGGCAAGAGCAGACCCTGCTGCCTCCTCTAGGGTAAACCATGAAACAGAAACCAAGGGACAGGGCAGCCCCCCTTCCAAAACAATAGCAGATCCTGGGAGGGCAGTGGAAGGGTGGCAGGCTGGGTGTCTCATCCCAGTGCCTGCCTAGCCCTGTTGACAGATGCCGCCCAAAGCTGCACCCACTACTGCCCTTCCTTCTTCGGCTGTGGCCAGGCCTCTGAAATAATTAGCAATTCTGCTCTACAAAACGCTGGCCCGATGGGATAATAAACTCCAACATCTGTCAGAAGAGCGAGCTCCTATGAAATTGCCAAGAGAAACATTTTTCTCCTCATTCAATTCACATTTAAATCGAAAACAACCCCTCCAAGTCTGCGCCAGGCCGGCGGCGCAGGGCTCCGGGAGCCCACAAGCTGTTCCTGGGCCTGCAAAGAGGCTCAGGCGCACAGTGATCACTCACTCAAATTAACAAATCATTTTATTTAGAAATGAAGAGAATTTGTAAGTGACGCATGGCTTCAGAGGCACTGAGGAGGAGGGAAAGCCAGCCATGGGCCCGTCTTTCCTCCCCTCAGCAGAAAGGCCTCCCGGAGAACGCGGGTCATGGGGGCCAACACTCTCCATCTCCACAGCCACCCAGTGTGATAGGCAGGCTAGGAATCCTGTTGACATTCTGTGGTGGGACACTGACGGCCAATGAAATGCCCAAGGCCCCCAGTGGCTCCTGCTAGACTGAGGGCACAGGCTCCGATGTGAGGGAGCCCAGCCAGGGCTGGCTCTGCCAGAGAAGCAGTGTCCTGGGTCTGCAATTCCACTTTTGGGCTACAGAAGGTGCTGTGCAGAGAGAGCTGAGCCCCGTGTGGGTCCAGGGTTGGGTTTGACTATGGATGAGCTTTGTCAATACAATTATACTCTGGAAACAGGAGTCCTGGAGACTTGAGTTCCAGGCCTAGGGCTGCAGATTCACCATCTGTGCAATGAAGGACACAGACCTGGACTGCTAACGGTCCTGTCACCTATGAGAGCCGCTGAAGATCGGATATCAAAGGCTGACAAATGAAAAAAAAGTTGCTGATAAGCCCTGGTCCTGCCCAGACCCCTCCTTGGGGTTACCATGGGCTCCTGAGGTGTCTGTGTGTCCCCATCAGGTCCTCTGTTCCAGGTTCCCACAGTGCCTGTGTGCCCCTCACCAAGGAACTCACTGCTCTGTCCTGCAATTTCCTAACAGGCTGTGCACTCTCTGAGGCAGGAACAATGCTGTTTGTTTTTCCCCATTCCAGAGGGTGCCCAGCACTTGGTAACTATTTGGTGAATAAACAGGTGAATGAATCAATGAATGAATGGGAGGACCCTGGCTGCACAGACACTCCAGTGCATGAGAAAGGAATGATGAATGTCTACTATGCTATATTCTCACACCTCCGTGCTTTTGCACACACCATCTCCTTTGCCCAGAATGTTGTGGGCATCCGCCTCCTCTGGACGGACAATTAATGGTTTTCAACTTCTTACTGCCGTGCTCACTTGCCCTCTGCTCTGGGCCTCTTCCTGCTTAGCTTCTGCCCTGCAGCCTGTCAACAGCTGTGGTTACAGTGGTGCAGGCATCAGCTGATTTACAGAGGTGGCCACTCTGCACCAGATTTTCTTGAGGTCATGTTGGGGACTGATTCTTCCTTGTCCCTCCTTCGGCCAGGGCTGAGCCCATTTGGGGCTTGGAGAATGGCCCATCTCTGAGAGCTTCCCAGTTGGGAATGTCAGGAGCTGCTGAAACAAACACAGAAACACCCCTGGAGGGTAGAGGGAATTTTGGAGGGGCAAGACAGAAGACAGGACCAGAAGGATGCAGCGTGAGGGGAGAGATTCCCAGGAAGAAAGGAGGAGGGTGAGATAGAGCTAGGAGTGATGGGGCTAGCAGCAGAGGCCCGGCTGAGACCTCTATTTCTCCTATAGGCCACCTTTAGGTGGTACACAAGGCCCAGAGAAATGTTTCTCCTTCCCAAACTGTTATGGTTGTGAGCTCAGAGCTCCACGGCGGGGTGACCCCTGATTTGGCACTCCCCACTCTGGGCTCCAGGGTGCCCCCCTGAGGGGAGGGCAGACAGGAATGGTGGGGGGCTCTGAAAACCCCTGCTCTGTCCTGGGCCCCAGGGGCTGTGCAGAGGAATGTGGAGATCACAGCACATGCAGTGGGGCCACGTTAGACCTAGCTGGGAAGCCAGAAGACCTGGGTCCCGGCTGGAGCCGCGGAGCCACAGTGTGGTCTCGGGCAAGTCTCTTTTCCTTTCTGAGCCTGTTTTCCAGTCTGTAAAATAGAGATCTTCATCTTGGACCTGCCCACCTCTAGGTGCAGAGGTGAGGCAAGTGGAGAAAGGGATATCACAGCTGTGATAGGGCTGCACACCAGGAGTGAAAGTGTGTGTGTGTGCCCATCGGGTGCACACAGATACACGTGGGCATGATGGGCTGAGATGCACATGTGCACATGTATCCCATTCACGTGTGTGTGCATGTCCACTGCAGGTTCCACATGGGGACATGGGCTCTACGTGTGCTCCTGTGGTTGCAGACAGGGGAAGAACAGGGAGAAATGTGTGCCCATGGGTTTTATACATGCACTTGTGGGTGCCTGAAGCATGCCCACATGAGAGCCTGTGAGATGAGACTGTTGGTGCAGCAGGAACTTTGAGGTGGTGGAGCTCTCCCTTCTCCTCCCACCCCATCTCCTCAGACTCTTCTGGTGTAGACACATGTCTCACTCACACACCCCCATACATGCAGGCTCTGCCATTGTGGCCCTGGCCCACACCTTAGCCATACATACAGGCACACATATCTACCCAGCACCATGCCTGATATCCACACAGGGCACATCCCAACCACATGACAACCCCCATGAGCTGACAGACACCCTGCTTGTTTCTGGCCTAGGCAGGCCCTGCAACCCTTGCTTGTGAACTCTAAAGGGCACTTGGGGGGTCTCTTTTGCTGACATCAGCAGCTGCTCAGGGTGGCCTGGGGCTGGTAACCCAGGATGGTCCAGCGCCGTCTGCTGTGCCTACACTGCACCTTTCCCCACCTGCTCCCTCACAGGGCTGGGCAGCGGGGAGGACCCCACAGATCCTCAGGAAGCTGGATCACCGGTGGGTAGGTGGGGCGCAGGCCCAGAGCCAGGAGGAAGGCATGCCTCCTCCTCCTCCTCCTCACTGTCTTCATGCCTGTGCAGGCTCCAGGTTTGCACCTGTGGATGTGGGGAGGGCACCAGCACCCTCTCCTTGCCCCCCTGCTGCTTGTCCTCTGGCACCTATGACAGCCCATTATGCATTCTCACATTACTCATCTACTTTGCTTCCTGCCTGGCCCACAAGGTCCCTGAGGGCAGGACCAGGCCGACCTGTCGCTGTGCAGTCCCCAGCAACTAGTGCAGGATCTGGCACACAGTAGACACTTAGTGTGTACGTGGGGAATGAATGGATGGGTGGAGCCTGGCAGGATGGGGTTCAGGGAGCACCAACATGTGCTACAGTGGGAGGAAGAGCCACACATCCCTGCCTGTATCAGGTTTGGAAATTAATGGGCCCCGCGAAGGGGCCAGATGGGAGGTGGTGGCAGTGCTGTGAGAGGCAGGACTGTACTTGTGCTCCTATTGGCCCAAAGAGACCGCACCCTGCCCTGTGAGGGATCATAGGCTCCTTCTCTGTGATCACCCCCACCTCGCCATCTGCAGAGCCGCAGAAGAGGGCACTGCCTGGGGCTGGACCAGGGAAGGACACACAGTAGGTGCTCAACATGTGTCTGTAAAATGAACAAGTAACACCCCTGCCTTACTCAAAGGGCTTCCAGAGTGTCCAATGCCAGGGTTGAAATCCCTGTGTGGTGTTCAAAGTTCCCACTGCTCTTTCTACCTTCTTGGCCCTCCACTGCCCCGAACTCCAACCAGGCCCCTGTGCAAGCCCCTTCCTGCCTTTGCTTGTGCTATGCCCCTACGTGGCCTGCCCTTCCCTCTTCCTGGCTAATTCTAATTTCACCCATTCCCAAATCTTGCCACAGGCCCACTCAACTCCTTGGGGATGTCTCCCTGAGCACTCCCAGGGCCGGTCAGGGTGTCCTCAGGGTCTGTGAAGCAGGGCATGTGCAGGAAGCCTCAGGAGGGGAATGCAGGGCAGCTTGGGGGGCCAGTGTGCAGGGATCTTTGTTCTAGCTCCACAGGGCCATGGCCGCCTCTTCTCTGCGGCATCCTGGTGCTCCCCATGATGCCCAGCTGTGTCCACTGGCTGCTGCAGGGTGGAGAGGGAGAATGAGGTGGAGGGATGGAGGAATGCAGGGGTGGGGCCCCTCAGAGGCATGGGCCTTGAGGGGGTTCCCCTGTTTCTCCCTCACAGCTGGGGCATGGCTGGGATTTTGAGTCCCTGAGCCTTTGCGGGTATGGAGGGGAGCCTGGCCTCTGGGGGAGGGAGATATGCAACCATGGGGAGCAGCGTCTCAGTGTGGGAGTTGGGGGATGATCCTGGATGAGTCTGTGTGCTCTGGGCTGTATCTGGAAGCCCTAAGATGGAGTTGCTCAGCCTGCAGAGGAGTGGGGGAGGTGAGAGGAACATGGGGAGCTGGTGACTCAATCCCTATTTCCTGGGCCAGGGAGAGATTATGGGAGGGGGAGTCTCAGCTGAAGTTCTCTAGAGGCGGAGCCACGGAAAGAGGCTTAGGCTTTTGCAAGAGGCATCATGGTATCATACAAGGAAGAACTTCCATTTAGTGGGCTCCCTCTCTAAAACAGGGACCTGAGGACATGGTGGCATCTCCCTTCAGAGTTAGGGATGGGCTAACGGATCACTGCCTCGGAAAGGGGGATGGGCCAGCCCTTCTCCAGCCCCATAATTAGAGATGTTGTTCTGGCTGCCTGAGGTCAAGGACCTGGGTCTCTAGCATACCTGGGGTCCTGACCACATGAGCCAGGACCTGACACCATGGTTGGAGCTCTGAGTCGGGAATTCTACAAGGGAAACATTGGTGACCCCGTTGGTGACCTTGAGGCCCATGACACCAAACCTGGGCTGCTTCTCACTTGATGAATAACCCTGTGGGCCCTTCCCATCCTATGACCATTGGGCTCGGGAGTGAACCTGAAGCTACCAGAGTTAAAAGCACCCTCATGGGAAAGTCGGGGCCCCTTCTACTTGAGGAAATCCCGGCCTGTTTAATGGGCACATGCTGTAGCCTTAAGTGAGTATGCAGGATGTGGCGGAAGCACACACAGAGCCCTCAGGAGCTGGTGCCGTTTCCCATATCTGGCAGCGACACCTAGGGTTGGAACCCTCAGACGCCTCCCTGCACATCTATGGCTGTACCGCTCTGAACGTGCACTATCTCTTCTGATCTCAAAAGCTAAGCAGGGTCAGGCCTGGTTAGTACTGGAATGGGAGACCACATGGGAAAACTGGGTGCTGTAGGCTTTAGGGGAAAAAAGAAAAGAAATGCCTCCCCTGGCATGATGGGAAGCCACAGAGGGTGCCACAGGGGAGAGGGTGGCCAGCAGTTCCCTGGGGCCAGGCCCTGCTTCCCCAGGTCCCCCGCGGAGACGCGGAAGGCCTGGCCTCTGCTCCTTGCCTGCCGTCTCTCTTCCCTCCACCTCTCCTTCTAAGAGGAAAATCACAGTGAAGTGAACCTTGTGGGGAGAAAGGAGAAGATTTTTAATTAAAAGTTAAAGAGAATTCACGTCCTGACATCCCGAGGGAGTCGCAGTAAGAGAAGGAGGGGAGCTGATGGGGCAGCAAGGGGGAGAGCAGAAAAGTAGGCCATGCCAGCTGAAGGCTCCATGCATGGTCCTCCCAGCTGCCCCTGCCCGGCTGGGGTCCATCAATGTGGCAGGCTCTGAGCTGCACGGGGCCCTCTGTGCAGATGGGGCCTCAGCAGCCTCTGGTTTTCCATGTGGGGAGTGGTGGGGGCTCAGCAGTGGTGCTGTGGCTAGGGTAGCACCAAATACTGACTTGAAAACAGCTTAAACTGCTGTGCTGCTCCCTCTGCCTGGTGGCCTGGCTGGAGTTGTGATGCTTGGTCAGGGCCAAGGCTTGGGCCACATATGACCCACTGCGGGGCTGTATACATACCCTGTGCATAGTCCACAGCCCCTGGCAGCCCCTTCCTGAGAGATGAACCAAACCTTGGTCAGGGTGGAGAGTGGGAGGGTGTGGGGGCTCCAGGCAGCCCACCAGCTATGGGAAGTTGTCTGACAGGTAGGTGGACGGACAGATGATGGCGACGATCACTGGGGTTCCTGTCAGCTGTGTTTGCTGCATGCCTGGCAACTGGCACAGCCCATCCATGTGTGGCTATATGTGCTGAGTAGAGGCAATGCTGGCGTCCTGGCCCCCTCACCCCTTCCTCCTTGCCCCCAGCCTGCCTGTCACACACATGCCCTCATGTGCCAGGCTGTGAGTGGGAAAGGCCACTTAGTATCTCATTAGTCTTAGCCCAGCCTGGGCCTGGGCAGTTCCCAGGTGTGAATAGGGTACATGGGCACTCCTGGGGCAGGGCTCAGTCAGGCCTGTGCCATCCCTTCCCCTGGGTTCTGGGAGGTCTCTGACACCCTCAGGCCCTGCTCACTGACCTCCATTGGCTCTCCAGGCTCTGGAGCTGAGCTGGGGCATGTGTTGAGGGGCCCTGTGTGCTGGGGAGGGGGCCAGAGCTCACCTGTGAGGTGGCCCCACATCCAGAAATCTTTCTTCATCCCATTCCCTCCTTACCCTTTCCTGGGAAAAGAAAAACGTGGAGGGGGAACTATGACAGACATCATATTTTGCAAAGTGAGCTAATTACAGGGCAGTCACGCAGGGAGATGGGATTAGCAGAAGAATATTTGATAAAAGGGAGCCCAGGTATGCAAATGGGTGGCAGGGAAAGGTCAGGGTCACCCTGAGGAGATTGTGGGGACTGGTGCTTCTGGTGCAACTGGTGCAGTTGCCCCCCTCACCCAGGCCACAGTCACAAGGCTGGGGTGTCACTGCTGTCCATAGATGAAGCACAGATGGGTCCATTTTCTCTCTTTAAATGTTTACTACTAACCTGCTGGGCCTGGGGACAGGGTCTTCCCAACTCTCTCACCTGACTCGTGGTGGGGATGCATCAGCCCAGGGCACTCCTCCCACCCCATGGTGCCCTGCTCCCCAACTCTTCAGCCCTTGGTACTACAGGGACACAGGAAGATGATCTGGGACTCTGAAGCCCATCATTCTAAAAACTATCCCCCAGCAGGGCCACGAGGCCTCCAGCACCTGGAGCCAAGGGTCCAAGGTGCAAACTCAGAAAAGCTTCAAGCCCCTCAGAACTCTGGCCAGGAACATGATGCTACACTTGCACCAGGACCCCAGGATGTGAGTGAGTCCAGGGGAAAGGCCATGCCCTCTGACCCCAAGTGACTGGGAACTGCTCACTGATGCACCCCACCAGTTCACTGGCTGCCTCCTGGGGAGGTGTCGGCAGACATCTGAGGAAGGAATACGAGAGGCAGGCAGGAGGCACTGCCTGCTTCCTGACCATCCACGTTGGTTCCTGGGGGTTCTGCCTTCTCACCCTGCAGTCTGCTCCCGCCAGAGATCCCCTGACCCAAAGGCACTGCTTCTACCCTCCATCCTCTTTAGCACCAGGAGCTGTCACGGACCATCCCTCCCTGGCTGCCTCACCTTATCCTGAGTCAACCCCGACATCCCTGCAGCCCTAGCTCTGGCTTCAGGCCTCTGACCCCTCCCCTGACAACTACAAAGGCCTCCACCCTGACCACCCCACTTCCTGTGGACTGGAGTCTAACTGCCCACCCCAGTTCAGAACTTGGAACCTGGCTCCCCACACAGTGGAAGCTGGAGGCCGCCCTGGATTCTGCCAGATCTTCCACTCCACTCCCCCAGGTTGCCACAGGCTGTTCCCTTTGTCAGAATGCTCCTCCCTGCTCTGAGGTGCAAACTCCCTCCTTCCCTCTAGCCTCAGCCTCAATGCCCCTTCCCTGTGCTTCCAGGTAACTAGGACACTTTTTCACAGAATCTCAAAGTGGAGTCAAGTGACAGGGATCTTCCCTGCCAAGCCCCCTCCTGGAGCAAAGGATCCAAGATGCAAGCTCAGAAAAATGTGAGACCCCTTCTTTCAATAGCGATAGCCACACGGCACAGGCGATCTGCATGCTGACCACACTTCCCCTCAGAAGACCCCACTGGCAGTCCTACCAGGTGGACTCTTACTGCCCATCTACAGATGGGGAAACTGGGGAGAAAAAGGAAATCACTGGCAAAGGCCACAAGGCTGATGGGTCAGTGCTGTAGCTGCAATCTCGCCTGGCGCTTCTCCCTCTTCATCCAGTTGCCTGATCCATGCTGCCCTGGAAGCCGAGTCACCCTCACAGACTCATTTCTGGAAAACCTACTTATGAAGTGGGTGGGGGGTCTTATTTCAGAAGTAAACAGGATTTAGTTGGCCCAGCTCTGCTACGCGGCCAACAGACCTGGTCCCTAAGTGGTGGAGCAGCGTTGGCTGAAGTGAAAGAACCCAGGTTCCCCCCAGACCCAGGGTAAGCTGCTTCCCCTTTCTGGTCCCCTGTTCCCCCATCTGTCTCTGACAGCTGCCCCTCAGTGCCAGTCACCAACCAAAGCTGCTCATTTCTGCCCTCCCCAGGGCTGTGGCTCCCTGACCCCTGGCCTATGCCTACGCAGCTCATGGATGGATCTCAGCTTGCCTGGTTCCTGGTCTCCTCAAGCCCCATCCCGGCAGTCCCATCCCCTGCCCTGACCCTGCCTCACTGGCTATCTGTCTGTTCTTCTGTCCATTTGCTTGACCACCTAAGGCTCCTCTCCTCGGAGGCTGCCAGACCTGATGACTGGGGACACAGGGGAGGAGAGAGCAGCAAGGGCTGCTCAGAGGGATCTTGAATAGAAGGCTGGGAAGCCCCACACTGAATCTTCAAAGACTTCATGGCTGCTGTGCCAGGTAGAGACTGCCTGCCCTGCTGACCTTTTCTAAGTCCCACCCCATTGCCTAGGGCTGCCCCTGCTGGTTTCAGATGCCTGCCCAGCCTGCACTTGGCAGTCCTGTGGGATGAATATGTGAATCAAGAATGGAGAGCTGCCCACTTGTCCACCAACCCTGTCCAGGGAGGGGCTGGACCCTAGGCATCTGGGAGGCTGAAGGATGGGGCGTCTTGCCCTAGCTGATCTCCGTAACTGGGCTCCAGCTGGTGTTGACACAGCAAACATGCTGCAACTCCCATTTGTCAAGGCACAGAGTGGGCAAACACAGGAGGCTGCAACAAAGGGCCCGACAACCGTGCCCAGCCTCTCAAACAAGGGCCCCCAGGCCTGTGCCAGGAGGCAGGAAGCTTCGAGCAGCTGGATACTTTGGCCCTCAGAGATGGGAGGTGGGGACAGGGCCCTTGACAAGGCCCCCAAAGAGGGGAAGGCTGGCAGGAGGCCCTGCAGCCCAGGATTGTTCTACACACGGGGCGGAGCTAAAGGAGGACAGATCCATCTGTCTGCGGGGCCTGCCCCACGCAATACCCCCAGAAGCATCCCTCCCTGGACTGGTGTCACCAAAGCCTGGGCATAAACTCTGATGACAGATCTGTGCGGCCATACCTGTTCCAACTGTACTGGTAGGGAAACTGAGGCTCACAGAGTGTGAGGTTTGCCAAGGGCTCAGTGCTGCTCAAGTGTGAGTGGGGGATGCAGCACAGGGTGTGTGAGGGCTTTGCTTCTTGGCTACCTTCTATGCTCTGGTTCTGGTCATGGGCACCCCGTGCCATGCTGCACCTGCCTAAGAGGGACCCTTGGCCACAGGTTCTTTTTTGGGGCAGTGCAAGGTCTGGACTGTGTGGGATGTGGTCCCTGGATGGGGTCTCGGCTAGACCCCAGGGAGCCCCGTGTACCCCAGGGAGACTGGCCTCACACTGCATCTGCACATGTGCTCTGTGGAGCCTGCCAGTGGGCAAGACCCTCTGCCACTGCATGCATGCACCCCAACACACACGCACGCGCTCTCCACCTCAGGACCTTGGGCCTTCTTGCTCCCTTATTCTCCCTTGCCTAGCTAAATCCTCCCTCCTCCCAGGTCCCCTAGGCCTGGTCAAGTATCCCCATGGGCTTGCCCCATGGCTCCACCCTTTGTGGTATGCATCACTGCCATCTTCAGCAGACTGCACTCCTCAAGGGAGGGGCCTAGCAGGTCTATTCGTGCTGTCCCCGTACCTGGTAACCTACTACGATGCCAGCACACAGCAAGGGCCAGTGCTCAGTAAACAGAAGCTGAAGCAACGGAACCTGAGGCACCCAGTATCCCAGGACAGGAGGAGCCAGGGTCAAGGTGGAGTCTCTTCCAGGAAAACCTCAGGTGCCCCTGCCCGGGTCACCATGGCACCTGGAGCCAGTGAAACCTCAGGGGTTAGCTTGGGGAAGACAGCTGAGGGTCTAGGAGGGTCCCGAGGGCCTTCTTGCCACCCTATCCCCCTACCTGGGTCTGTGGCACTGGCCTTCCCCAGCAGCACCCCTGTAAGCCAAGGTACCTCCCACAGGTACCCACTGCCACAGAGAGGCATCGCTCGCTATGTATTTTAAGGCACAGAAAGTGGGGCCAGAGAAGTGACTGGCCGCTCCCAGGGCCATGCTTCCACAGGGCCAAGCTTGTGGATATGCAGCTACCACCCCAGAACTCAGGCGTAGAACCCTGTGCCCTGCCTCTGTCACCCCCACACACCCTCTCCCCTGCAGTGGAAACTGATGCCCAGGCCAAACCTTCCAGGTTCCCCTCCCAGCCCCCAGTACTCCCATCTCAGCAGATTCAGCCTGAGTCAGTTCTGCTCACTCTCACTGCTAAGCCAGTGCCCAGGCTGGGAACTCTACTAAGATGCCTTCCTTCTTCCTTTCTTCTATCTTTGGAAATTCCACCTGCCTTCCAAGGCTCAGCTCAAATGCTACCTCCTCCAGGCTGTCTTCTTAGACTTGCCTGTCCCATGTTAGCTGCTCTGCACATTGGGACCCCACAGCCTGTTCCCCATCTCCTTGAAGTCTGGGCCCGAGGGCAGGGATCATCCTGGCCACCGGCTCGCCCTTCCTCACATGCACCTACCCTCCCCCAGCCTCGCACACCAGGATTTCAGAACGAAGGGCCAGACACTATTAAAACTCAATTAAAATTCTTACTTCTCTGATCCTAAATTAGGCTGGTTTGTCCCTGTGGCACCTGCAGGCCCTTTCCCTCCACCTCTTTGCATCTGCTCCCTTCGCCACCTGGGACCCCCGGAGAAGTGGGCACCATCAGGGGATCCTCCCTCTACGCAGGCCTTCTCTGGGGAGTGGAGACACATACATCTCCCTCCCTGGGGTTCATTTTCTCCATTCAACGGACTCTCATCTCCCTGTCCTGGATTCCTCTCCTCTGGTGGTGAGGTGCAAGGGTATTAAAAAGGAAACTCGGGGCAACAGCTCCCAGCCTGCACTTGGAGCCTTCTCTGAGTGGGACTGGCCATCCTCTCCAGCTGCTCCCCAGCAACCCCCAGTCGAGGTCCTGCCTCTAGGCCCTTGCTCATGCTCTGCCCTCCACCCGGCTTTCTCACCTTCCCTTCCTCCCCTGGCCTTCCCCTTTGCCCCAGTCAGCACCACTCTACTTCCTCCCAATCCCTGGGAGCTCTGGGAGGGCAGGTACACAGGCTCAGGAGCCAGGGTAAGCAAGGGGAACTGTGACGTTGCCTCACCCAGGCAGTGACCAGGGTTGACATCTAGTCTCCGACTCTGTTTTCTCATCTGTAAAACGGGCATTCTGCCCCACAGCAAGTAGAGACTGGAATCACACAAGGCCTAGGGCCAGGCTGGGGCAGCAGAGGTTTGCTGAATGACTGAGTGAGCAAGTGAAAGCCAGGGAGGCTGCATGGCACTCCCAGGGGAGGCACCTGGCATCAAAAGCAAGGCCGTAGGGTGGGACAGGCTCTTGCAGTGAGAGCTGGGCCTGGGGCAGCTCAGCCAAGGTGTCCCCACAGGAGGTGGGGTGACACCAGTCAGGACACCCAAGGTGTTGAGCTTCCAGGCCCGACACATGCCTGCAGTCAATCCCTTCCTCTGAACTTCAGCCACTAGGGAGAATTCGGTGGCTGGGTACAGGTGGTGGGGCTGACCCATCAGGCTCTGTGGGCCTCAGGAGTGTTGCACACCAGCCCCCTAGACCCTTATTTTGACTAGTAGGTGCTAGTCAGGAATGATCACAGCGCTTCTGACCCCTCCTGAGGTCCCTGCATCTTGGAGGAGGTCCCAGGAGAAGGGCCTGCTCCACGGAGCAGTTTCAGGGGCCAGAGAAGCTTAGCCCCAAATCCACAAGTCAACCTTTCCCAAGGCCTGGCAGGCTGGGCCAGGCCCTTGTCTGACCACCACTAGCTCAGGCGGGTGGCTGAAGACAAGAGAATGACTATTTCTCTTGAGGACCCTTGGCCATGTCCCAGCCATGTCCCACCTGCACTGTCTCCCTTGACCTTCCCAGGGAGACCAGCTCCCAGCTGGAGGCCTTCAAGGGGTCTCAGGATTCTCGACTGCCAGACAGAGATGCAGGCAGGGGAGGCCGTCCCCACACTCATGTCCAGCTGTTGGGGGTAGCGTCTTTGCCCAAGGCTCACGCTGACCCCAGGGACACTTGGGTTTACCGTCCCTTCCGCAGACATCCAGGCCACCTCGTCCAAGGAGCCCTCTCTGACTCCCATTCCTTGGTGGTCGCTCTGCCACCGCATGCTCCCTGGTTTCTCCTAGCGTTCACCACCAAGTCCCTTCCTTATCTCCTTGCCAGCCAGCTCTTTGGCTGCCTCCCTCTGTAGGCGGAGGGCCCCAAGGGTGCCCACACAATGGGTGTCCAACAGATTCCCAATCCCCAATGCTTCCCCCATCCCTGGGGACCCCCAGCTGGCTCCTGTGGGCGGCAACTTGCCAGGAAGCAGCGGCACTGTTTGGGTGAGGGGAGAATAATCAGCTGTAAACGCCGCAATCAGGGAGAAAAGGCTGCTTGGGCGCTTGGCGCCCACGCGTGCGCCTAATTGGCTCCACGTGTCTGCGGCTCCTTTCCAGAGCAGGAGAGTGGAAGGGTCAAGATCTCTTAATGTTCATAATGGAGGGGAGGCAGAAGCCATCGCCAGCCCCACATAAACACCTTTTAATTGCCCAGAGAAGGGTGGGAGGAGGCAGCCAATGCCACAGGATTTCCTGCCTGTCCATCTACCATTACTGCACCTTTTAGAGCTTCCCTAGTGTGGAGTCAGATCCCAGAGGCTGAGCCCCAGCCACAACCCAGAGCCACAGCGCTGGCAACTGTTCTACAAATGTTCACCAGTTTGCAGAACTCGTGTTCTGTTCCAGGCCAGGCCTTGGCAGTAGGCGACATCCATGGCCTGGTCCTCCAGGGGCCAACCTGTTTGTCTCACCCTCGTCAGTGAATGCACCCGTGGACTCAGCTGAACTGGCCTCCAGCTGCCTCAGTGCCAAACTTTCCCCAACATCTTGCTGCCTCCTCCAGGCAGCCTTCCTGTGACCTCTTTGGACTGAAGGGATCTTTCTCCTGCTGGCCCTTCTGCCTGCACCTCTCCGAGGCCCCCAGTATCTCCCTGCTGTGGCTCTCATGGCTGCATCTCTGTCCCGTTAGGCCAGTGGTTCTCAACTGGGGCAACTTTGCCCCCAGGCAACATTTGGCGGTATTTAGAAATATTTTTGGTCATGACAACTGGGAGAGTGGTGTACTGCTGGCATCTAGTGGGTAGAGGGCAAGGGTGCTGCTGAACATCCCACAGTGCACAAGGCAGCCCCACCGCAAAGCAGGATGCAGCTCAAGATGTCAGCAGTGCCGAGGCTGACGCCCTGCTTTAGATAAGGCTTTAGAAAGGAGGT
Source organism: Homo sapiens (assembly GCF_000001405.40). Classification (NCBI taxonomy): domain Eukaryota; kingdom Metazoa; phylum Chordata; class Mammalia; order Primates; family Hominidae; genus Homo; species Homo sapiens. The sequence continues at coordinate 50,428,336 of NC_000003.12, forward strand.
GGGAGCTGGGTAGGATGGTCTCCTTCCTGACAAAGGGAGCGGTCTGCTGCCCCACAGTCCCTGACTCCCTCCCTGGCTCACACCTCCTGCCCCTCTGAATGCCCAGCCCAGAGCCCAGTTCCTGAACAGACCCGGTCACACTGCCAACAATGCATCACTTTAATTGGGTTAAGTGGCCATTAGCAGCAAAAGCAGGGCGGCTGTGTGCAGAAGGGTTTTTAATTTTACTCTTTAAATGATGCTCATTCCCCAGAGAGGCCACCAATGGTGGGAACAATGCCCACTGGAGCCCCTAGAACCAAGGCCAGAACTGCATGCCGCCCCCTCCCATCCATCTGAGCCTCATGGGGGTGTGGGAGGGGTGCTCAGTGTCTTGTCTTCACTGCCCAAGGAAGAAACTGAGGGGGCAGGGACTTGCCCAAGGTCACTAGGTCATCAGAGAGCAAGCCCCTGTCAGAGGAAACCAGTGTCCCATCTCCTATTCCCTTGACCCTGTCCCACTCTGGACAGCAAACACCACATGGCCACTAATGGTAGCACAGAGGAGGGCAGTGGCTGGGGAGCCATTTGTGGGGTCTGGAGCCCAACTATCTGGATTTAAACCCTGGTTTTGGCCAGGTGCCGTGGCTCACACCTGTAATCCTAGCACTTTGGGAGGCCGAGGCGCGCAGGTTGCCTGAGCCCAGGAGTTCGAGACCAGCCTGCGCAACATAGCGAAACCCCAGCTCTACTAAAACACAAAAAAATAGCCAGGCATGGTGACACACACCTGTAATCCCGGCTACCTGGGAGGCTGAGGCATGAGAATTGCTTGAACTTCGGAGGCAGAGGTTGCAGTGAGCTGAAATCCCACCACTGCGCTCCAGCCTGGGTGACAGAGCAAGACTCTGTCTCCTAAATAAATAAACCCTGGTTTTGCTGTGAGACCTGGAGCAAGTGGCTTAAGCTCTCTGAAGCTCAGTTTCCTCAAAACGTAAAATAGAGAGAGGAGAGTAACCCAGCGACCTGTGTGAGGATTCAGAGCAATACAGAGCATGCAGGCTTATTTCAGGTCCGGCACTTGGTGGGCACTCAGAGGCCAGTAATCCTGGGAAGTAAAGATTTCGACCATTTTCTGGGAAAAATCCTGAACTCTGGCCGGGCGCGGTGGCTCACGCCAGTAATCCCAGCACTTTGGGAGGCCGAGACGGGCGGATCACGAGGTCAGGAGATCGAGACCATCCTAACATGGTGAAACCCCATCTCTACTAAAAATACAAAAAAAAAAAAAAAAAAAAAAAAAAAATTAGCCAGGCGTGGTGGCAGGCACCTGTAGTCCCAGCTACTCGGGAGGCTGAGGCGGAACAATGGCGTGAACCCGGGAGGCGGAGCTTACAGTAAGCCGAGATCATGCCACTGCACTCCAGGCTGGGCGACAGAGTGAGACTCCGTCTCGAAAAAAAAAAAAAATCCCTGAACTCTGAATCTACACAGAATCATCTGTGGCACGTTAAAACATCCTGATGCCCCGCCCCTCCACCCCTGCTGACCCCCCGAGAATCTGATGCGCTTGATCTGAAGCAGAAGCTGGGTGCCATAATTTTAGAAGCTCCTTAGACAATTCCAATGTGCAACCAGGGTTCAGAAATGCTGCACTAAGGCAAAGGTCTGACCCTTAGGACAATGGGAGGGACCTGAGGGGCACAGGCATGTTAGGAGGGGTGCTGGGCTTAAGCCTGGGGCTGGTGTCTCCAGGTGCTAGATTCCTAGCGGGGCCTCCCACCACCTCTGGTTTGTTTGAGGAAGGAGGCAAAAGGGCCTCCCGGAAAGCAGGTTTCTAGCCACCATGTTGATGTCCTTCTGGAACCTGCTCTGGCCTTGCTGTCCTAGCCCTGGGCTTCCCTTTCTCTAGGAACCAAGCCCGCTGAGCCTCGATACCCCTGGCTGTGTCTCTGAGAGGAGGCTGGAATCTCTCCCACTGGGGTCACCCCTCACCTAATCCTGGGCAGTACCTTCCCTTCCCCCATGGCCTCTCCTCTGAGCCACACAGCACAGGATGGTGCTGCAGGGGCACAACCTTCAAGAGATTGTTCACACTGTGGTCTTTACAAGTTGACGCCCCTGGAGTTGTGAAACCAGAAGTGCTGGGCAGGGAGGGTGCTCATGTCCTTATTTCATAGGGGGAGAAACTAAGGCCTGGGACAGCACTGGACTGAGAGTTCCACAAGGGCAGAAACCGGGCCTGTCCTTCATCACTGCACCCCCAGCCCTGAACAGGGCATGGTAAACAGTAGCCATTGGCGGATGTTGGTGAACAGATGGAGGAGGAATGTAATGATGAGGGGGTGGTCTTCCTGAGAGCCAGGCTGTAGACTAGGACCCAGCTGGGAGGGCAGGAGAGTCCTGATTTGGGTCCAAGTCTGCTATAAGAACTTAGGCACCTCCCTATTCCTCCCAGGACTCAAGACTCTGAGAGAGTGGGCCTTAGTTCAGAGGCCCCCATCTCCCTAGGTAGTCAAAGTTCCAAGACAGGTACCCCTCCATGTCTCTGAAGCTGAGGGCCCGGCCTGTTTCCCAGACTTGGGGATGCTGGTTGCTTGCATTGCAAGGCCCCTGATCTGGCCTGCTCCCTCCTGACTCTTGGCCCCAGCAACCACCCTTTGCAGCTTGGAGAAACTCGTTACAAACATCTGATTGTCCCTGATTAGATGAGACAATGAACTTCCGTCCTGTGTTGCTCAGCTCCCTCTTTGCAAGCCCCCAATTAGAATTCCAGCCCAGAGCAAAGGATTTAAATTGGATTACTGGATGGGGTCCAGGGAGAGAGGAACAATGTAGTGGGGGGTGGGGGTCCAGTCCCCCAACAGCCCTCCCTCCATATACACTCAGACTGCAAACAAATGTGAAAAAGGAGAAAGGGACCAGGACTTGATTAAAAGCACATTTAAAACATAATTAAAACCAAAGCTCATCTTCAACAATTAGGACCAAGCAGGGGGAAGGGTGATCCTCCCCCTCCTCTGGGGATATGGGCAGAAGCATCTCGTGTGTCTACAGCCAGGGGTGCTGCAGCAGGAGGAGTTCACTGCCCAGGAGCGCTGGGAGGCCATGAGCTATGGGCTCAGTGCACGCCTCAGGAATAATGTGGGGGAGTCAAGGGGCTGGCTCAGAGTCAGGGAGACCTGAGTTCAAATCTTGGCTCTGCCATATCCTGGCCTGATGCATGGCACCTCTGAGTCCCAGTGTCCCCCTCTGTGAAGCCAAGGTAGCCAGGGCTTCCTTCTCCGGGTTGCTGTGAGAATGATGCATGATAGACTCAGCACACGGTGAGTATCTGTCTGGTCAGTACATGCCTTTCCCCATCATTTCTCATAAAAAATAATTTCTGGGCCAGATGCGGTGGCTCAGGCCTGTAATCCCAGCACTTTGGGAGGCCAAGGTGGGTGGATTACCTGAGGTCAGGAGTTTGAGACCAGCCTAGCCAACATAGTGAAATGCTGTCTCTACTAAAAATACATAAATTAGCTGGGCATGGTGGTGGGCGCCTGTAATCCCAGCTACTTGGGAGGCTAAACCACAAGAATCACTTGAACTCAGGAGATGGAGGTTGCACTGAGCCAATACTGCACCACTATACTCCAGCCTGGGTGACAGAGTGTCTGTCTCAAAAAAAAAAAAAAAAAAAACAAAGAAAGAAAAGAAAATAATTTCTGTTTAGTGCCGACTGTCCCAGGCCATGGCTGGGCTGCAGGTGCAGTGGAAGGGAGAGACATCTGTCTCCCTCACATAGCAGAGTCCAGCAAGGGGGGTGCAGGGAGAGGGTTGGGACCAGGACCTCAGGCCTTTGGCTGCTCCTCCCAAGCTATCGGAGTTGATTGTTCCTTTAGGGGTGGGGGAAGTGGCTTGGAAAGAGACCCCAGCCCTGTGATTCCCAAGGGGCTGGGCAGGAGGCTGGGCCCTGGGCTCCACGCATGGAGGGTGGGTCAGGCGTCTTGTCTCTGCCACCACTCAGCACCCCTGCTGTGCCGGCCTGGCTGAGTGGCAGGCCGAAAGGCCTGAGGGCTGTCCCTTCCCGCATTTATCAGACAGTTCCAACACAAGTTCAGGGCTGGGTGCCCACATTTGTAAACTGGACAGGGGGCAGCAAAGCTAGGAAGTAGTGTGCAAATGAGGGGTCTGGAAGGAAGTGGGGTGGAGACAGGGTCGGAGAACAAGGGAAAGGCAGGAGAAGGGCATCCAGGCACGCCCAGTTCAGAAAGGTGAGAAGGTGGGGCGCGATGCACTGGCTGAGAGAGGCGAGCGTAATGGGCTGCTATCCCTGCAGAAGGCGTGGCTCTGCCTGCTCCCCGCTGTCTCCCACACTCATGTCCAGGAGATCCTGAAGGGTGGGTGGAGCCCTGCTCTGGGTCCTCTGGGTGGGAGGTCCTCAGAGTCCACCTTCTCTGGGAAGCTGGCCCCAAGAAGCAGTCTCCACCTATTTCATGGCCCCAGGTCACATAGGGACAGGCAGGGGATCCCATGGGGGACAGCAGGGCCCAGCTCCTGGAGAAGGAAATTCTGGTTCTCTCTTGGGGACTGGATATGGCAGGGTGTAGGCTGGGGTGGCCACCCTGACTTAACCCAGCCAGGACCCTGGCCTGAGCCTGGGCACAGCCTGTGTAGACTTGCTCATTTAAAAAAACTGCTTTATTGAGATACAATTTATACACCAGCAAATCCACCCAAATAAAGTATACAATTCAGTGGTTTTTAGTATATTCAGAGTTGTGCAACCATCACCACAATCTAATTTTGGAATATTTTCATCACTCCGAAAAAGAAACCCTGTACCCATTAGCAGGCCTTCCCTATCCCTTCCCTTCCCAGGCACCCATGCATCTACTTTCCATTTCTATGGATTTGCCTATTCTGGACATTTCATAGAAATGGGATCACACAATATGTGGTCTTTTGTAACTGACTTCTTTCACTTAGCATAATGTTTTTGGGTTCATCCATGTTGTAGCAAGCAAGCATCAGGAGACTTTATTCCGTTTTTTTTGTTGTTTGTTTTTTTTTTAAAGAGATGAGGTTTTTACTCTATTGCCCAGGCTGGAGTGCAGTGGCATGATCATGGCCCACTGCAGCCTCGAATTTGAAATCCTGGGCTCAAGCCTCAGCCTCCTGAGTAGCTGAGACTACAGGTGTGCATCACCATGCCCAGCTTTGCTCCTTTTTATTGGATTAGTTTGTCTTTGACACAGGCTGGAGCAACTGCAGTTATGCCTCTGATCTGGGGGGAGCTTGGATGCCTCTCACTCATTTACGTATGACCTTCCCTGGTCACTTGGCAGCTGAGAAGCCCCATCCCACCTACTCTCCCTGGGATGGGCTGAGTGTCAGGGGTCTGCCTGCTTTGTCATGGCAGCCCAGCGCATTCCTGTTACCCCTCAGAACTATAGTGGTCTGAGGCTGACAGGCACAACCTCTCTGAATATAGAGGCCCAGATGGGGGAGCAGAGAAACATTCAAAGCCATGGGCAGAGCAGCCCCCATCCTTACGTGGCCTTCTCTGTGGGGCTTGCAGAGCCCCCTCGACACTCCCTCCAAGAGAGCCTGCAGCCTACCTCAGGGGCAAACTCCACCAGCAGCAGGTCACTATCCTGGCCAGGTGCCCATCCAGGGCACCACCCATAAACAAACCTGGGGACCCAGAGGGATGGGAAAACCCCAGGCCCGGAAGGAGGGAGGGGTAGGGCCTGCCCCAGTCCCAGCCTCAGGATCACACAGAGCCCCAAGACTCCAAGTCACCACCTCTCATGCAGCTACTCCAGATAGTATCATCCTGTTCCTGCCGCAGCTGCCCACATTCCACGTGGGCACAGCCCTGCTGATGTTGGCCCAGCTGAACTCAGGAGGGCCACGTGATGAAGGCTCAGGACACTGCCCTCATGGTACAGGACCTCTCCACCTGGCCCTCCCTCAGTGCCGCCCCCCTGCCCCCAAAACACACACCTACCTTCAGGGCCTGCACCTTCCTGTCCAGAAGGCTCTCAATGTCCCCTGCCACCTTCTCCACCAACTTCTGAGGCTCATTCTCCTGTACCTCGAACAGGTTCCGGTTGTCCTTGTAAATCTGGAAGGAAGCAGAAGCCAGGGGTGAGACCAGGTGGTCCCACGTCCTCATGCCATGGGCCCTGCATACCCCTCTGCACAGCTCACCTCAGCACAGTATTCACCCGCACCCAGACCCTGTCTTTGGCCTCTGAGAGAGGGCATGGAAGGCCAGCGCCCCCACAGACTTGAAGGCAGGGCAAGGCCAGGGGCTCCGTAGCTTGCATCTGGGATGAGGGCCCAGTTTAGGCTGGTCATTGTGGTTGGTGGGATGGGGTTGTCACTGCCTTCTCTGGGCCTCAGGGCCCCCCATTTCAGGGTCATGAGCAGCCCTGCCCCCGACTAGCTCAAGGTAACTGTGAATAGCAGAGGGGAAGAGTGGGCTGGAGAGGAGGCAGGAGGTTGAGGCGAGATGGAGTCAATAAGCACACACCACATACCCCATCCCAAAAAGAAGATGCTCACGCCCATGCATGGGCACACACACAGCCATGCCTCCACGCTGCTCAGGCATCTGGACCCTTTTTTGTGGGTGCTGCCCCAGGGCACTTGCAGGAACTAGCAGGAGCTCTGGGCAATCCCACGGGCTCCTCTGTCATTCAGGGCACAGAATATGGGGAATGGGCACCAGGGAGGAAGGGGCAGGTTGGGGAGAATGAATCTGCCCAGCCTTCCTCCAAGGGGGGTGGGTCTGTGGGCAGGTGCATGTGGCAGTGTAAATCTGAGGGTGTGTGTGTGTGTGTGTGTGAGGGCTCAACATATCCGTTTGTGTGCACGTGCCTGCGTGTTGGGGCTGGGGTGGGGTGAGGGTCTCTAACCCCCCAGGGGCTTGTGAGTCTTAGGAGCAGATTTCTGCAAGTGTCTTTGTTCACAGCTGGGTCTTGGGTGTGTGCGTGTGCGTGTGCGTGTGTGTGTGCATTTGTATGCATCACATACTGCTGCATGTGTCTCCAAGCCTGACTGGGTCCATGTGTTCATTCAGGTGACCCAAGGAGGTCTGTGCCCCAAGTACAGGCTCCTTCACCACCAGAGGTCACAGAATAGGCTGCCACGACTGAGCCGTGCCACCAGGCTGAGCAGAAGTGGAGGGATGTGGAGAGACAGAGAGGAGGTGATGAGGGGAGATAAGGAGGGGGGAGAGGCAGCCGATGAAAGACAGACAAGCAGAGAGAGATAAGGTCGGTAGAGTGACAGCGAGAAGGCAGGGAGATAAGACCCTGTCATCTGACAGGGGGATGGGGTGGGGGGGTTGGGTGCTGCTGGAGCCCCTGCTCTGCTGCTACCCAGTGCCTGGCAGTCCAGGGGTTAAAGCACCACACAAAGCCAGCTCAGGCAATCTTCTCCTCCTCCCGCCACCCCCATCCCTCCCGGCTTCTCTTTTCTTTTTGTCCTTCTTTTAGAACAAAATAATTTGTGGTGAAGTCGCTCCTTCCCGCAGAGTAGTGGCAATAAGGGGGCGAGACTTGAGGCCTGGCCACATGGCCAGGGAGAAGAGAGGCCCCGAGTGAGTGCCAGGCCAGGATGTTCCCTGGGCCCCTGGGCCCTGCCTCAGGACAGACGTTCACAGAGGGAGACAGTGTTAGAGACACAGGGTGAGGAGGGGTCAGACCCTGAGGATCACTGAGGAAAGGCAGGGAACCTAGAGCCTAGCACCTTACTATTGGGGAAACTGAGGCACAGAAACAGGAGAGGGAAGGTCAAGGCCAGGCGATTGAGTGGCAAAGCCAGATCCCCCATCAGCTTTCACCCATCCTTGACAGATCATTCTGGGGTGTGTGGCCATGGTCTCAGCCACATCCACCGATGCCTCTGGAGAGTGGTGCCCCGACCCATTTGCACCAGCAGGGGGCACTGCTGCCCGGCTTCTCCTGGCCTGGGATGAAGTTCATACCTCAGACTCTGTCAAGGTCATTACCAGGTGCAGCCACAGTCTGGGCTGTCCATGGCTGTGTACAGCCCCAGGACCTGAGGCAGGACCATGTGGTTCTCCTGGGAAAGTCCAGGAGTCCCTCCTCTTGGGCTCCAGGGTGCCCCTTGCAGCCTGGCATGGTAACTGTGCTGGGGATCAGGGGGCTGCAGAGTGAGTGGGTCTCTAGGTGGCAGGCCCACACCTCAGGGCACCAACAGGTGACATGAGGCCTTGGAAGCTGAGACTCTGCCAAAAGTCACTCATCTCTGAACCTCCGTGACTGATCTATTAAATGAGAGAACAGTAGTACCCACCTCACAGGCTGGGGACAGCAAACCCATGCCTTGAGCAGCCTGTGCTGTTGTTACGGCTATTAGTTTGGGATCACCAGAATTCTGCAGATGGAATCATAGTCCCTCCCTGCCCCCACTCTCTCCCTGCTAGATCTGTACACTTGGGGCTGTCCAAAGCCATCGGCTCCATTCCTGAGCTGGTAGCCTCAGTTTCCTGGGGTCTGCCCACCTCCAGCCCCACCCTGTTCTCCCAGATCGGTCTGGGCAGTCTCCCACACTGAGCCACCCTGTCCTTGTCTCCGACACCTTAGCCTCAGCCCCAGAGGTGATAATGGTGGAGCCTAGACACTGGGACGCCACTGATAGGGCACAGCCATGGCCAGCTTCCTTCTCTCTCTCCCAAGCACCATGTCTGTGTGCAGTGGACACCTGGCAAATGCATATGCTGGATTCTATGTCCAAAAGCAGAGCTCTGGGGCCAGCTGGGCCCAGGTCTGATTCCTCAACTTCTGCCTGCGGCTGCATGAGCCCTCGGGGCCCAGGGATGCATCCACCGTGTTTTCTTCCTGTTCTATTTCTACTCGAGGACCCACCACAGCATCTTTCTGCCGACCCTGGTCTGGGTCCCATCAAGCCCACTGACCTGTCATGTGCCTGCAGGCCTCTGGGTCTCCAGCCCAGGCCAGTTCCCACAGCTATACTTTGACTCACGCTGTCCCTGCATCCCCTCCACCTTGCCCTGCTATCTAAATCCTCTCTAGGGCAAGGCCAGGGAAATGGGCTGGAAGGGGTTTCTGCTGAGAGGAGAGCAGAATCCCAGAAGTGCAGGGGCTGGTCATGCTGCCAGCCAAGCCTGCTCCCCAATCCCAAATGAGCCCTTGAGGTGCAACAGTCCTCGAATGATAGCCCCTAGTGCCACAGCCCTCCCCCTCAACATTCCCCTGAACTTGCTCCAATTGTTCCTGTCTTCTAGGGTGGGCCCTGAGCTGAGCCCCAAATCCCCAGGAGATCTAAGTGACACAGCCCAGCAGATGGTCCCATCCTGGGAGAAAGGTCATCTCTACATTGATGTGGTCCAGGGAGGTGCTTTCCACCTGCAGGCCCAGCAGGAGCCCAGGAGAGCCCAGGGCAACTCCAGTGCACAGACTCTGCCCAAGACTAGCCCCACTCCAGCCCCAGCCTCTAGCCCTGGCTCCTAGGGCCAGCTGGGAAGTGCAGAAAGGCCAGGGTGCACCGGATGCAGAGCCTCAACCACCACAGCAGGATGGCAATGCCCACTGATGTCCTTGGCCCAGAGAGTTAATTAGAAAAAGCCAACTGCTCCCACAGCAGCACAGCCGGCACAGCCCCACCTCTGCTGGACTAAGGAGCACGACGGGGCCCAGCTGATCCCAGGGTGCCCCAGCTCTGTGCCAGCAGTGATAGGGAGGGAGAGGCAGCAGCTTTAACCCACAGAGAGTGCCAGGATGCTGGTGGGACAGGGTAGCAGACTGGAGCCAGGTGGGGATGTGGGGGAGGACTGAGGAACAGGGAGAACAGGGGTGGCTGAGGTCCCAAGGGACAATTCAGGAGTCTGTTTGGAGCCCCTTGTTCCCAGGAATTCCTGGTTCCCCCCCTTGTTTCATGTACTGGTGACCATGGCTCAGCTGGTGCCCTCCTCCCTTGAGGGCACTCCTATCCCACCAGTGATGGAGACCTGCCCCTCCACCTCTCCCCTCCCCCAGGGCTGGCTCTAGCTTCAACCCTCTCTCAGCTCTAGCAGTTCTTCAGTTAGGCATCAGGGCAAGTCCGGCCAGCCCTCCATCCTAGGGCTTCACAGGGCCGTGGGGGCTGATGCCTCCTTAGAAGCCCCGAACCCTCTGCCCAGCCTCCTGCTTCCCCCATGGCTCCGTGTAAGTGGGAGGCGAGCCTGGAGGACCCTTGCAGGAATGGTGACCTTGGACAGGAAGCCTGCATGCTGGCAGGAGCAAAGGGAGCCAGCCTCGTTCCCACAGCTCCTAACAGAGCTGCCTGGGAGAGAGGAGTCCAACTACCAGCCCCAACGTGCCTGGAACATAGAGACAGCCACCACAGGAAACTAAAGGCCTCAGGACAAGTGACCTGGGCAGGCCCCAATCAGAAGGCATTTTAGAAAGTCAGCAGCAAGGGAGCCCAGACCTGAGCTACCAGCAAACCTGCCTAGGGCAAGGGGGAAGATGGAAGGGGAGAGGAAAAGGAGAGAGGAGAGGGGAAAGGAGAGTGGGGAAAAGCAAGGAGGAAGGGCCAAGGAAGCTGCAGGAACAGCCCTGTTTGCCCCGAGTGTTAGCTCTGGCTGCTCTGGGGCAGGTGGTTTACATAGATGACATCACTGATCTCCTACAACCCCTGAGGAGGGTCCATTCTGATCATCTCCATGTGGCAGAGAGGACACTGAAGGCCAGAGAGGTTAAGGCGCATGCAAAACTGCGGTTTGAACTGGGTCGAATCCAAAGCCCTTGCTTTAGGTCATACTCTTTGTACAGTTCTGTACCCCACCTTTATCCCTAAACTTGAAGGCAAAGCCATGGGAAAAGAGGCATAGGGATGAACTGGGCAGGCCTGAAGGGCTTGGGGCGGATGCAGGCAGAGGCTGAAAGACTGAGGCCCCTGGAAGGTGGGAGGGCCATGCTGGAGGGGAATGAGGGGAAGACTGGCAGGGCCAGCCCAATCGACTAAGCACCCACCCAACCCTGGGAGTCAAAACAGGCACTCGCACGCAAGGCTCCTCTCCGCAGCGAAGGTGAACAGCCCTAATCTCTGGAAAATTAAATCAGAAAGAAAATGGAACAAGAAAGATTTGACGCAGGCTTGGCCCTGCTGCCAGCTGTCTCCTCAAAGACCCAGCTCACCTTGGGGTTTTGCCAGGTGCTCCAGCACCCCTGGCCTGAGCCCCGAGGCATGACTCCGGGGAGACTGGCGCTCCAATCCCCTCACCACATTTCACCACAGGGAGCAGCCAGGTGAAAGTCTTAACTGTCCATTAGGCCCCTGCAGGGAGGGCAGCCAGTGGATGAGAGACTGTGGGCGAGGCCTCCTGAGGCCCAACCCAAATAAACAAGCCCTGGGGAGGGAACCACCTCAAGAGGCCACAGGGTCTGCAGTTGGAGGCCGGGGTCAGCTGCCAGACTGGGCTACACTCATGTCAGGGATGTTGGGTGGGTGGCTAGGGGGCTTGTGGTGGCTCAGGAAGCCTGAGCTGGGCCAATGAGGTAGGGCGATTGGCGACAGGTAGTGACCAGTTCAAGGACCCTAGCCAGTCAGGGTAGAGCCAGGTCCGGGCCCCCTGCCTCACCCACCCCTTCTAGGCTGCTAACCTGGCCTTCTGCCTCAGTGAGAAAATAGAGGGTATTGACATAACTGCAAATCCACCTTGAAGACTGGAGAGTTGATGGGGTAACCAGGCACCTGGGGACCCTCTACCACTGACAGCACTTGGGACAGATCCAGGACAGGCTGCACCCCTCAGGGCTCTCCCTATAGCCTAGTTCTTGATGGGACTGAGGGGCTGCCCCATGATGGGTGCACAAAAACCCTAATCTGGCTGCTCTGGGGACACACCAGCCACGAGACTGGGTGTGTGACTGGCAGCTCCCCAGGAGGGGGCTAAGGCCTGTCCCTCACCAGCCTGGCACAGGGCTTACAGTAGGGCAAGGGGCCCCTGGAGCCCTCAGGGCACACTATCGGTGCCCAGGCAGGGGGGCTGCGTGCCACTCAGTTACATGCTTCATCAGCTGCTGACATTTTTGCCAACTGCCATGTTAGGTTCCTAAGTGGCCATGCCACACTGCCACCATCCCAGGCGGGGTGGCCCCATGGTCACTCAGCTGTATATGGTGTCCTGTCACACACAGGTTTTGTACACTGTGATGTTAGTTGTCCCATTAATAATTCCCCTTCATATCCAGTACAGAATGCCTGGGATGAACGCTCTCTTTAGAGGGCATCACAGACACAGAACCAGGCCATTACAATCAGCCTGCACGGGCTACAGTGGAGGTCACACAGCAGTGTGGGAGCAGAGAGGAGGGTGCCTGGCCTGGTCTCCTGGGTGGGCGGCCCATTAATAGCACTATCCTCCCCCACCCCCACCTCCTTACATCCCCCTGGAACAGCAGAGATGGAACAGACCTCGTCCCTGCCCTCCTGGGACTCTCTATCCAGAGGGGACAGATGCCCAGACAGGTGGCAGTAGACAGAGCTGTGCAGGAGACACTTGGGAGTGGGGCTGGCCTGCTCCAGGGTGGTAGGGGGCAAGAAAAAGCCTGGGGAGGGCTTTCCAGGGGAGAGGACATCTGAGCAGTCTGAAAGGCTGGGCAGGGGTTTTTGTGGGTGGACAGGGACGAGGGACGCTTGGCAGCAGTAGCGCCAGGTGCAAAGGCTGGGAGAAGCGGGGATAAGGGACTGCTCAGTGGCTGCAGAGGGGCTTGTTGGGGGACAGAAGCTGGGGAGACAGGGTGTGAGGGCAAGGGGAGCAGATACCCAGGTGGTGGGGACAGGGGGATCCTCCAGGAAGGAGGGACATGTGACTGACCACAAGGTGAGAAAGGCCTGGCGGCTCTGTGGTCCCTCGTCCTCAAGAGGCAACTTCTAGGAGCTTTCACCAGCAAGATTACCTTCACAAAACTCACAGGGGCCTGAAGCCCCCACCACCACCCCCAGCAACGCCTCCCTGTTTTTAAAGTTAAAGTTTAGTTGACTGTCATCCATTACCGCAATTAGTACATTATGTCTAATTATGCAATTAGTGTAAAAAGTGCACTTGCTGCTGAGAATGGGAAATTACGCTGCCTCGTTACGCTGTAAAATCCATGTCATAAAAAGGCTCAATCTCTTGTTTTTCAAAAGACACAAAACCCAACACAAAACAATAAACCAAATCCTCCCAGCCAAGCAAGGGCCAGTCTGTGCCAACCTCCCTGTGCTTGCCCCTGTGCAGAGCCTGCCTGTGAGGCCTGCCCTAAATGTGCCCCCAGGCAAGGCACCACCCACCAGAGACACTGGGCATGGCCCATTCCTGGGTGTAGCCCTTTGCTCCTCTGAAACATACGCGAATTTCCAAACTGACTTGAAAACTGTGGCAATCCTGATTATCCATTTACACCAGGCCTGACTTGAGGCCTCCAGTGTTAAGGCCTGTATCTCAGGGGAGAACAGTCCTAGAAGGAAATGGTATCCACCCAGCTCCAAAATGAGAGGTCCTTTCTCCAAGGTTCCTGATGGCTTCTGTGAACAGGGTTGCAGAATCCAGCTCGGAAGTGGGAGGAACTTTCCCACACTCAGGACTCCCAAAGCCTGAAAGCAACACCTGGATAAGTAGTGAGCCCCCCACCACAGGGACTATTCCAGCCCAGCTGTCAGGAATGCTGAGAAGGGACTCACCCATCATTAGCAAGCACCGTGGCTGGATTCCAGGCTGCCATCGTTAGATAACAGCATTCCTATGGCCGTGTGCCTATGTGAAGCTTGCAGTCTGTGACTTTATCTCCCCTAAATTCTGGCTCCCTTGGTGGTCACGAGGATGCTTTGGGGACAGGTTTGGAGTGAGAAAGAATCAAATGAGGTCTCCCTACTACAGAAGTGACAATCCCAAATGGCCCTGGGCAAGGGGGCTGGAGAGGGGGCACACTCCAGTGTCCCCGCCTGCCTATGCCAGCATGAGGCACACTCCTGTGTACCTCAAAACAAATGCTGCAGGACCAAAGCCATCCACGATGTATCTCCAAGGTCACAAGTTAATGCTCTAGCGTAGGCTGCTGAGTGCCTGCCCAAGAAGCACTTTCCCCAAGCAGCTTCCCTGAGCCCCTGCCTCTGAGCTCCCACCACTCCTTGATCTAAGATGCTTGACCCAGGCCTTGGGGTGGGTGGTGCAATACCACGGAGACACCTTCACAGACAAGAATCTGCCCTGGCCTCCTGGGGATGATGCACGACCTCATGTAGGTGCCACTGCTGAGTGGCACTCAGACAAGGTATTCACAGAATTCACAGAGCAGAGAATCTGAGGCATGGAGACCCACATATCCCAGGGCCCATGGGGCACTGGCTCCCTGCAACCTCACCCACCTGCAATTGTCATCCATTGGTTCTGGGTGTGCTGAGATACTGGAGCACTGACCACACCCCAGAGAGAAGCAACTACTGAGAAAGCAGCTGGGGTAGAGGGAGGAGGGCATGGACCCCACTGGAGGGGCATCTGTTGCCTGAACTCAAGACAAGCGTCCCTGGACAGTTCCAGCCTCCAGGCCTTTGTCTACTCAGATGGGCTGGAGAGCAGGGGAGACAATTCTGGCACAGCACAGCCACATGGACACCAGCCATGGAGACTCTCAGGGCCCCCATCCTCTCAATGTGGCCTGGAATAGCATCGGGTGGGGAATTTGAGCCTGAGGTGAACCAAACCGCAGGCAAGAACCAGGGGCCCCTGTTTGCTCCCCCTCCCTGAGTTGGGAGCCGCCGGCTGTCGAGGCAGCTGGGAGGGAAGCTGTGCCCAGCATACCAGCTGGCACGGGGGAGTGCGAGTAAACATACCCGCACTTTCCCAACTCACAGAAGTCGCCGGGTGCGGCCGGCTGGTGTGGGCGCCCATGTTTATGGGAAGCAGATTGTTTGTGTCGGCGTCTGGGCCCCCTTGCCACCCACCCTGGCTCTGCTCTCTCCCGCTGCCTCCCCATCCAGTTGGCCCTGCCTTCCTTTCATCAGAACTCCTCAGCCTCTTGACTGCAGAAGGATGGGGATAGTGATGACAGGTCCTCTGTGTGGCCAGACAGGGCTCAGCGCATAACCCATGGAGTCCTTGTCATTTGATAGCTCTGGGAAATAGAGAAACTGGCTGCAGACTACCAGGCAGTGAGTGGAGGTGCCTGTGGCACTGGGCTTCTCAGACCCCAGCCATCAGTTCCAGGCCCCCGCTGCCGCTCAGTTCTCTGGCCCGCAGACTAGCCCGGCCTGCCCTTCAGTCCGTTCACCACCTTGTGCAGCCCTGGCCCAGCTTGGCCTTGGACAAGGACCCTACCCCCGCAGCAGGACAAACGGCCCCCTCTGCCCTACAACAGCCCAAGTAGACAGACCCAGAGTTGGGCCGCTGCCTTGCCATCTGGCCTCTTCAACCCCTTCACCCTCGTGCCCCCATCTTCGGATGTGTAAAATGGGTTAAAGTAAAGCCCCCTTTACCCACCTCTCAGGACTCAGGGACAGTGGGCTGGGAGTGAAGGGCTCTGGGAGCCAGGGTGGGCAGAGGCTCCAGTGGACCCTTGGTGGGCCAGGGGGGACTCCCAATCATGTCACAGCTCCAGTGGGTTTCAACGGGTCATGGAGCTCTCATGTGAGATGAAACAGTCATTGTGGCCCAGAGTCCTTATAGCCCAGAGCTGGCAGAAATTCACCCCCATAAGTACCCTCATGAGACGGAATTGAGGCCAGGAAGAAAAGGGCAAAATCTGCTTTCTCTGTATCACCTCCATCCACCCCTCACAACCCTGATAGGTCAGGTGAGCAACCTTCTTCAGGGGCTGGGCAGGTCCCCCAAGGACTCCAGAGTGGCTAGAAACTGACCTTGCCCCAAAGCCACCAGTCAGGCCCTGGGGGTGGAGATGACTGTAACAAGGGCACCCTGGAGGTGGTCAGCAGCTGGCTGGCTTTTCATCTTACAGATGAGGATACTGAGGCGCCGGGAGGGTCAGAATCTGTCCAAAGAGGAGACTTCCCAGTCTCTTGCACCCACAGCCAAGAATGGCCAAAAGCCATGGGTCTGAATTCCTGCTCTGCCCTTAAGCAGCCTTGTGGTTTGGCTCGAGCCTTCACCCTCACAGTCTGCACAGCCCTGAGCTACCTCAGCCAGGCCATCCTGGCATTCCTTAAAGATGGAAGTTCAAGTGTGGGGTGCTGGTGGCTTTTCATGGGACCGCCTTCCAGGGTTGCTCCCAAGGCCCTGAGCACCTTCCCTGATCCATTCTGTCCTGCAGGGACCAACTTTCCCGGCCTCACAGGCTGGAATTCTGTCCTGTGCTGCTGAGACTTGCTAAAGATGTCACCACATAAAGACAGCACCAACGACAGCCCCAATCACAGTAAGAGGTGCTGCTGAGGCCCTCAGGCTGGCTGCTCTTGTGAAAACATGAGATCTTAGCATGGCAGGTGTGGGAGATAAGGGTAGAGAGATGAAGGTAAGCCCAGAAGATGAGCCCATGTCCTCTCATGGTATCAGGGGCCTCTTTTGGGGCAAGGTGATCCCAGGGACCTGCCCTGTACCAGTGCACAGATGCAGCAGCAGGCACATGCACTTGACCTTGCATACCAGGTCACACACACTGACCTCACCACATTCACACCTAGGACTCAGGAAGCCCCTTGCAGATCTTGCTCAAGTCTCACACTTAGGCTCACAGAAAAGGTACCATAGCCTAGATGGGCCTGTCCACTGTCACTGGATATATGGCAGCCCCAGGCCTGCGTGAGGCTCTGTGGGTGTCCATTCACACCTCAAAAAGTGGTGTGTGGCCATCTGAGATGTTTTAAGCAGTGGAACTTTGCTGGCTTGGACGGTTGGGGCTACCTGAAGGTCATGACCCTAAATCCTGCTGAACACACCATTGGAAGGGCTCCTAACAGCATAGGTGCCGGACCTGGATGGGGCAAGGGCATGGCCTGACCCACAGTGGACTCTGAACCAGGGTCCCAGGAGAGCCCAGCTAGGCTCCCCCTTCTGAGTTCTTGATGCAGCTGACCACAAGGCACCGGTAAGGCAGTAGGCACCAGAGTCACTGTGAATGTGCAAGCAAGTGTGCAAGGGGACACACCATGCCTGGGCCATCTCATTTACCTCCTCTGTCAGCACCTCCTGATGCCATCTTACTCCCTCCTCTAAGTTTTCCTTTTTCTCCTACTTCCAATTTTTAGGCTCTCCTTGAATTTTATGTATCCTTGTAAGTGCCCTTAAGTCTTCTGTAGAACAAGTCGGAAGCATAAATAAATAAACAAACAGGACCAAGACACTAAGGCTGTGTATAGACTGAAGATATGCTGAGGACAGGTGCACATTAGGGACATGCATGCTCTGAAAACACATGCACTCTGGGGACACAGACCCAAGGGAACTCAGCTTCTCCCATCATTTACAGCCTATCCTGGGCTCTCACAAGAAAGCTCCCATTTTGGACCTGAAAAATGCAGGGGTGGGGTTACCACCCAAAGCTTTCCTAGAGCTGGGGTCAGTGATCTCTGAACCCAGTCCATAGAGGTGCTCCTGAGCAGGCTCTGGCCCTTCTGTACCTCAGTTCCCCCTTATTTCACTTTTGGGGAAGAGGGACAATCCATGGCACCTCCAGCTCCAGGTTCTCTCTCGGTGTATGCAAAACTCCAGCAGCAACAGGGGCCAGCATTTACCTTCCCGCATCCGTGCACAGTGTTTGCCATGCAAACAAACTGTGCAAACAGGACTGATGGCCCGGCCACACTGGCAAACACCATGAGGGCCCTTAGCCTGAACAGCCATGAACTTCTAAGTTAAGTGTGCTATGCTCAGGGGAGGCACATGCTGTGCCTGGGCCCTGACTCCAGGTGTGCCACCTCCTTGTTGCCAGGTTTGGGGGCTGTGGGGTTGGGTGACAATTATTACGGGATTAGCTGCCATTACTGGCGGGGCCAAAGTGAGCCTCCACACCGGCCATCCATTTCATCAAATTCTCACCAGCCCCAGTTGTCCTTATTTTACAGATGTCCTTATTTTACAGATGAGGCAACTGAGGCACAGAGAGTAACTGGCAGAGCTGGAATTCAATGACTACATGGACTTACCACATGCATGAACACAGACCCTGTTTCGGACTCTGCCTCCATCTCCCCAGCAGCTGTCTCCAGCCTGTGGGATCCTGTAACTCCTCTTCAGGCCCAACCCTGCCCCTGACCCCTCCTTTGGGAAGCCACTCTGACTGCCCCCTTGGCCATGTCCATTGGGCCACCTGCACCAGGGCTATGAAAGTCAGCGGGGTCAGCTGAGTCTCGGGTTCACAAACCCCATCCTGTTTTGAACATCCATCAAGAGCTTTTTCTCAGACAGTTGGGTGAACCCTCCCAGGAAGCCAGTCCCTTCAGGATAACAAGCCCCTAATTCATTTGCCTGGTGCTGTCTACCAGACCCCGAGGGCTCATTCGCCCAACCTGTGCCCAGAGGGATTGCAGGGGGAGGGAGAGCCAAGGACAGTTCTGAGCTGGCCCAGAGGGTAGGTAGACTTCAAGGAGGTGCTTCGACTTGTAGGAAACCATCTTCGTTTGTAAGGTTGGAAGTCTAGGACCCTAGGCTACAGGTGCATAAACTGAGGCCCAAGTCAGCAGGGTAAGCAGCAGCAAAGAGCCAGGATGACCCAGGCTCCAGCTTCTCACCTTCTTCCGTGCTAGGAAGGTCAGAGAAGACATTCCAGGGAAAGGTGTAGCTGGATGGGCCAAAACAGATTGTGTACCTTCCCGGCAGAGGAGCAGCATGCAAAGGTGAAGAAGAAGGAAGGCTGGTGAGGAGAGCTTCCGGGGGAGGGGATCCACTAGCAGGCAGGGGCAGCTCTGAACCCGACCCTCACCGGGAACTCACTGCCTGTGTGAATTCTGAGAAACTGTAAGGTCGTCTGGAGGCTACAGGCTGGAGGCCTGGATCCCCACATGCAGTGTGACCTTGTCTCCCCCACCGCCCCCTTCTCGTGGTCAGGTGCCCATGGGGTCTTGGAGGCGATGGTGCCCTGGGCTTCCACATCGTCTGTCGGCAACCTCCAGCAGGAAGGAGGGAGGCCTGCACTTCTAGCTCTGTCAAGGGCTCCCTGAGCAAGGAGGCGGTGAGGGCAATGACGCCAGGAGGACAAGAGCGGAACAAATTGCCCTGATTATGTAAGGCAGCTCTACTTCCTCCTTAGGAGGGAGAGAACTGGGAGCTAGGTTCCCCCCTGCCCCATGTCCCTCCCATACCACTGGGCCTGCTAGGAGACCCCTCAACAGAGGCTCACTCAGTCCGCCCCTGGGGCCTGCAGGGCGTGACTGGGGCAAGTGGCCTGAGTTGGTCCTGCTCAGTCACTGCTCCTCCAGTGTCTTTGAGCATACATGAGCCCCTCCAGGTTTCCTGCCTGCACCCTGAGCTGGCAGCCTCCCTGCCTGCTTGCCCAGAACTCCACACCCCAGGCCTCTCCCTGCCCCAGTCACCACAGAGCCTGGGGAACTCTGACCTCTTCCAGAATCCAACCAAGGTCACATCCAGAATGCCACACCCTGACTGGATCAGGGCTCAGGTACGCTCTTCTAAGTGCCCCACAGAGGTCTAAGCAGGGAGCCCTCCTTTTTAGGCCCCAGAACAGGCTAAGAGTCAGACCAGCCATATCCTCAACCTGGCCTCTGGACTACCCGTCCCCTCCATGAACAAAACCTAGCCTCCCCCAGGGCCTTGAGCCCTCTGAGTTGCTATCACTTCCCCCTACCCTAGGGCCCTTAGGGAATGCTGGAGATGCCCTAGGCTGAAGCTCCTAGGTGGCAACCATGTGGCTCCTCCCTGGCACAGGGCAGGCATTCCCTGGACAGGCCCCTTTACCAGTTAGGCCTGGGTATGTTCTGCTCTGCAGGGTTGCCCTGCAAAGGAGGCTGGGAAACCCTCTCCCATATAGTATTACGCTTTGTGGAGTCATCAACGTGACTGGAAGCTCTGGCTATCAAGCTCTTTGAGTTTACAATGCTGGGAGGTTTAGGGTTCCTAAACTGCAAATTTATCTCCTGCCATAAACCCAGATGATGCAGAAGCCAGTGTGTGCCTGAGTGTATCTGTACATGTATGTAGGAATGTTCACTGGTGAGCACATAGGAAGCGTGATGGTGCTTCCATGGGCACCTCAGGCCCAAGCACATGACCCAGTGTATGTCTCCAGGTACTCACATATCCTGGTGCCTGTGTGTCGATGCACATATGTATCCTGGTGTGTATATGCCCAGGTTTATGGCGCATGTTGGGGGAAGGCTCGCAATGAACAAAGTAAGGTGCATGTGTTCCTGAGCTCAGCCCTGAGCTCCTGTGCTCAAGTACAGCACACAGTAGGTCTCAGGGAACATCTGTGTGTGTGCACAGGCCCAGGGTACCCTCAAGCAGACCAGTCCCTGCCCTTCTGCCCACCATTTCAGAGGGACTAGAGCCCTGCACTGGTCACATCCCTAGAGCCAGGCCACCCACACTGTGCTGGTGCCCGCTTCTAGCCACTACCCCCACAGACCCTGAGAACACCCCATTGATGGCGCAGGCTGCAACAGAGACAGTCTGAGGCACAGATTCCCTCCTGCATGTGGGGGAGAGCCGCAGCGAAGCCCTCAGGCAAGGGATCCTTCCTGCCCACCCCCATCCCACAGACAAGAGGATCTGGAAACATCACGAAAACGACTGATCTTCCTGCTGATGGTGGGCGAGAAAAAATTATCTTTCTCTGAACACTAAAAATAAAGCCCAGTTTCCTAAAAGCAGGGCCCTTCTTAGCCAGTGGCTTAGAGAGGCTTCATCACTGAACTCCTAAGGTAGATTCGTTGAAGCCAAGAGAGGAACAAACCCTCGGCTGCCTCATTGAGGGGCTCAGCCTCGGAGCAAGATGGCAGCCCCCCACCCCTGTGATCCAACCCTGGACCTAGGACCTCACCATGAGCCCTGATGATGCTATCAGAGGTGGGCAGGAAGAGGGTAGCAGGAATTGGGTCCATATGCTGCTCGTGCCCAGCTAATGGGCTGACAAATTAGCAGGTCTCCCCTCTAGGAGGTGATGCATGAGCAGTCGCCCAGGAGAGCTGGGGGATGGGCCACCCTCCATAGCACTCCTTAGGCTCAACCCTGATGCCACCTCCATGGCTGCGCAGCCCTGCTGAGATTCCTCAGGGGTAGTGGTTGGGACTAGGGGGTGACTGTGGATTTTAGGCATGGGGAAGGCAGAAAGGGCATAAAAGGGCAGACCCAGCCTCAGAAGCCATACAAAAACAAGCCCAGCCAAGAAGGCCCAAATCAAGGCCAGGGATGAAAATAGTGTCAGCCTGAAAGGACACCATTAAGAAGGGTCTTAAAGCGTGGCCCTGTGATGCCTCCGCCACACCACACTCAGAATGACCTTGAGGCCATGAAGAGAGGGTGGCCTGGGGCGGGGGGAGCCTGTACTCCCAGGACTGCCCACCACACTCCCCATCAGAGACACAGGCATTCAGCCCGGGCCCTAGGGACTGAGTAGGTGGGAGAGAGACCTAGGGCTGGGTTCTGGGGCTTCACCCATGAAGTGGAGCTGCTTCTCCCACACAATGACAGGACTGTCACCACCCAAGCTCACAAGGGCTGTGGAGGGGACATAGTGGGAGGTGAGGCTCCATGTGAGGAGGGGTCCATGGAGCCTGACTCAAAGCAAACTGCAGCCTCCAGAGTTTGTGAGCCCCAAGCCACAGAAGGGGGCAAGCTAAAGGTGGCCCCCAGGTCTCAACCAGTCCTCTCAGTGGAGACTTAGGCCAACCTGAAAGCCCAATATTCTTGATTTGCCCCCAAAATCACTATACAGCCCCACCTTCCATGCACACAGGACATCTAAAATGGGGCAGGATTCACACATTCTTTTGACAGCGGATCGGCCTGGCTCCCTTTGAGGGCCCTCGGGTCAGGTGAGGCAGTCCCTGACCCAGTTCCTGTGTGGGCTTCCTGTGCAAATGGGCCCCAAGCCCCACCTACCCCCGCACCGCCTCCCCTACCCTGCCCCCGCCCCGTGTAAACAGAACCCGCCACTCTCTCCCAGGAGCTGCTAATTCCTCGCCAGAACTGCTCGGACGTGAAATTGGAGTGAGACAATGTGTGTTTAAGGAAATGAATCTCGAATCTTAAGAGGCTCTGGAGCCCGCCCTGCACCCCCATCACCCTGCTCTCGCCCACCAGAGCCAGGAAAGGAGCACTTGGCATCAGAGAAGAGAAAGGCGGAGGTGACATTCAGCGCCAAATTAGCAGCCGCCACAGCCAAATATTGTACTTGCCTCCAATCTTCTTTTATTTTTCCAAAGAAAAGGCTTTTACAGAGTGAAAGAGGCTGTTGGAACACTGAGGCTGATGATCGTTTGTAAAAGGCAGGCCTGCTGCGCGCATGCCTGACTCAGAGCCTTCCCTTCCCATCGGCAGGCCTCCCCTCCCTGCCCACAGTCACATCCGCAAGACGCCCG
This sequence comes from Homo sapiens, assembly GCF_000001405.40. Taxonomy (NCBI): domain Eukaryota; kingdom Metazoa; phylum Chordata; class Mammalia; order Primates; family Hominidae; genus Homo; species Homo sapiens. Next base: position 50,450,812 of record NC_000003.12, read on the forward strand.
CCGACGTCACACCCCACCGCACCAGCCACACTGGCCGATGTCACGGGTGTCCTTAGCCAACAAGACCCAGGGGCTCTGACCCTGTGCCAGTCCTGGACATGGGACCTGCCTCTGAGCTGTCTCCCCGCCTACATGGGGCCCTTGGAAATGAGGACTCATTTGTGGTGTGTACAAAACCACTGTGCCTACAGAGGCCTCAAAAGTGACCAGTCCATGACCTCTGTAGGGGCTCCTCATCCACCCCAATGGCCCTTAGTGCCCCCTCCATGGACAGCCACCCTGCCTCTGCCATCATCACTTTTATCCCTCCCACCAGGGGCTGTTTTTTTTTGAGACGGAGTTTCACTTTTGTTGCCCAGGCTGGAGTGCAATGGCGCGATCTCGGCTCATTGCAACCTCTGCCCCCTGGGTTCAAGCGATTCCCCTGCCTCAGCCTCCCGAGTACCTGGGATTACAGGTGTGCGCCACCATGCCCAGCTAATTTTTTGTATTTTTAGTAAAGATGGGTTTCACCATATTGGCCAGGCTGGTCTTGAACTCCTGACCTCAGGTGATCTGCCCACCTCGGCCTCCCAAAGTGCTGGGATTACAGGCATGAGTCAACACGCACGGCCCAGGGGCTGTTTTAAGGCCCCTCCCCAGGCTGCCTGACACTTTGTTGAACACTACCAGTCATCCTGAAGTTCAGGCCCCTGAACCCAGCCTACCTCCATCCACGCTAATTAACCCACTGAGCAGGCTGAGCAGATACCCTCTGCATGCCCCTCCACTATTTTCATCCCTGGCCCCTTGACCAAGTGCTTGGACAACTTCCATGGGTTTTATCGATGGTACAGACTTAGCCCATGTCTCCCATTTCCTCAAACCTGGCTGCCAGGGGCCTGTCCAGTGAGAGGATGGGGAGCCTGCTGAGAGGCCCCCTAGTTCCCACCTGGATGGTGACTGGAACCTGGCCCTGTCCCACAGGTGCACCCTTCAAGCTCACACTGTGTCTCAGAGCCCACCTCAGACCCCACTCCTAACCAACCCCAGGAGGTGGAGGCGTGGCAATGGTCCATTTTGCAGGTGGGATACTGGGTTCAGAGAGTTCTTGTGACTCACCCGAGGCCTCAGCGCTGGCAAGAGGCATAACCAGAACCTGGGTCCAAGCTGCACAAGTCTCATGATGTGGATGCTGGGCTGCATCACCCAGATTACCCCTTCGGCACGAGGCCCTCATCCCCTCACTGCCAAGGGTGTTGCCTGCTGACTCCTCTCATCCGAGTCCCTCCCCAGGCTGTACCCCGAGCAGATGTGGCTCCACTGCCTGTGGTCACAGAGGTGGAGTGGGGGTGCACAGAGGCCTGGTCCCTTGGCCTCAATGGGGACAGCTCTGATGGGCCAGCCCACCTCCAGGGCTGTCTGTGGAATTGGCTCAGGCTTGAGAATGCCTCACAGCCCAACTTTTCCTGCTGCCCAACCCTGCGTCCTTCACCCCTCACAGGTGTGGTTCCCAAGAGTACTCTCCAGTAAACACCTGCACATGACCTCCATCTCAGAGTCTGACTCCAGGGAATGGACCCTATCGGAGCTGGTGCCAGAAGTGGTCCCAGAAGGCCAACCCTAAAGTGGGCATTGTTGTGCTGACGAGAACCTCTCCATGGAGGCAGGGGGAGCCCTGACAATCCTGACATGTGATGGATGTAACTGCTCATTGTGAACCAGCTTGGGATACCTGTGAATGGGTGCAACATCTCAGGTGTCAGACAGGCTCAGGGAAGTGTAATTATAAGAACTATGGAATGGGATGGCTGTGGCTGGGAGCTATCAATGCTTTGGAGAAAGACAAGGCAAGACTGAGTAAGATTCAAAACAAATTTACGGTGAAATGTGAACATGAGAAGCCCCCTTGGCAGGATATAAGATGATTCTCATCTGCAACCAGAGGCAGAAAAGCACAGGACTTTATCACAAGAGTCAAAGATCCTCAGGGGGTTATAGTTTCAATCCCAGCAGGCTGGTTACACCAAGGCCAGGCCAAGACCCTGACAGCAAAGAAGTGGGGCCCTGCATTGTAGGATGGGAACATCTGAATCACTGCACTCAAGAACCTTGACCCCCACTAAACTCTCTGAGCCTGCAGAAGTAGCCCCTCATCCCTGCTAAAATCTAGGATTTCCTCTTTGTCTGAAGATGATGCAGAGGCCTCCTGTGTGCAAATCTTAAGAGTCTCAGAGTCTTTTCCCAGGAATATGACCTCAGAGAGAAGGCTCAGTTCTCTCACTGGGTCCAGAACGAGTCCATGAGCCCATCTCCACATCACTGAGACCCTAACACCAGCCTCTCCTCTCTTCCCCGCTGCCTGCCAGAGTCGTTCCCACTACTTGGCCTTTGTCCATGCTTCCCCAGAAATGCTCACCCCTCAGCTCTCCTCTTCCTCCAGGAAGCCTTCCCTAAACCCCCTGGTGAGTTCATCTGTGCCACCTCCCAAGTCCTAGCAGCCTCTCCATCTGTACTGCACATACACTGCACAGCCTACAGCAGGTCACCTGCTTTGGTCCCTGCGCATCCAAATGTCCCCTGAATAGGACAGAGCGATTTCGGACAGTCCAGGCCCATGTGCACCCACCAGTGCCAAATCCTGGACCAACCTACAGAAGTTCAAGAAAACCCTGTCACGGGGGTGGCTGGACTTCCAGGCCCCCAGCCCTGTCCTTCACACCCGGGATCCCTGCACTCAGGCCTCGCCCCTTTCAAGGAGGTGTGATTATTAGGACCTTCTCCATTACAGATAAAGAAACTCTAGAGGGCAACTGGCCCGTCCAGCGTCCTAGAATTGGGAAGGGGCTGCTCAGGATTTGCACCCCATCTGTCTGAATCTTCCTGACCACCATCCTCACGACTTCTGGCAAAGGAAGAGAGAGGGGCAGGTGAAGGCTCTGGGAGCTTGGCGAGACGGGAATGGACTCCATGGAGGATGTCTTGAGGGCTTCAGACAGGTAGATGTGCAAGGCAAAGCACTGCAGGAAGAGGGAATGGTGAGGGCCACGGCTGGGAGGTAGGCTAATGTGGAGGGGAGCCCCGGTTTGGAGTGGTAGGTCAGGGAAGGGAGGTGTGATCTGTGTGAAGGTCACGGTGGACACGACCAGGCCCGGGTCCTGCATCTGTTCTGCCCTGCCCCCGCCTCACGGAGCCCCATCTCCCCCTCCACACCCGGGTTCCGGTGCCTGCTCTGAATGGCCAATGAGGCCATCTGATTGGCTCATCAAGGGCAAATAATAGCTTTTGCTGAATTCAGCTGCAGCCAATCAGAGGCAATCAAGCACACAAGAGGCCTGATGGGCCACACAGGCGCACCCACAGGCACCAGAGCTGCCCCTCAGCCAGGCTCCGGAAGCCTCCTCCTCCCTCTTGTGTCTGAGCACTGGGGAGGGGGCTAGGAACCGAGTCCAGGAGGCCTCAGGAAAAGAAGGGGAAGGGACCGAGCCGGACTCCACAGCATTTGCTTGGCACCCGCTGTGTACGCAGAGTGCCGGAGAAGTTGGGCGTTGATGGGGGAGACTCGGGCAGAGGACGCGCACCCTCCCTGGCCCACTCACAGGCCCCTGGAGGGGCCCCCACAACAGCCCCCCAGCCACCCCCAACCTGGCCTCCAGCATCTCTCTCTGCCGAGTCCTTGCCTCTCCCCCGAGGAGAGCGGAGCCTCCAATCAGGGCCTGGGAAAGCAATTTTTCAATCTCCAACTGCAAACACTAATACCGCTGAAGCTAATTTTACAGATTTCCACTTCGAGGCCTTGCCTTTGTCCCAGAATCCCTCAGCCCGGGAGATTAGCAGTTTAGAGACTGGAAAAAATAAGGTATTTTAAAATTCAGCATAAAACTCTCTCTTATACTCGGTGAGCTAAAAAAAAATTTTTTTTTTGATTGGAAAAGAGCCTGTTAGTGAAGGAGGAGCCAAGTCCAGTCCCTGCTCCACAGGGTGGCTGGAGGAGGGGCACTGCCTGGGCCAGCCTCTGCAGCATGGCTCAAACCCACAGCCTATGGAGAGGCAGAGAAGGGGAAGGGTCAGCTCTCATCCTGCCCTGCGTGCTGGGAACACTGCCTGCTGCACTGGTAGGCCCTCTGCTTCAGGATCTGGATGGCGCCCCCCTTGAAGCCACCCAGCATTTCCAGGCGTCCAATCCCAAAAGTCTTCCCAGCTGAAAAGAAAGGCTTCGGCCCTAGGGATAGAACAGGTCACAAGCCTGCTGCTCACCGCCACTGCCAGTGAGGCTGATTCCACTCCAAAACAGGCCCTCTCTGGGCCTTGGTTTCCCCATCACACCAAAGGTCCAAAGTCCCTGGCCACATGCCCTCCTGGTATACATGCAGCTGAGCACTGTACGCCCCCTGCACACACACACCCCAAGCCACACATACTCGGACCCTCGCCCATGCGGACAAGCACCGGAGGCATTTGGTGGCGCTCACTCATTGAGCACCTCTCTATTGCAGCTCTCACAGATGAGCGGCATAATCACTCCGCTCTCTGGGGGCCACGAGCTCAGAAACATCCTAATGAAAAATAAATGTATTTACAGGGAGACGTCAAAGCCGCCAGGACCAGTCAAAGTAATATGCCTGCGACCGGCACATGGACTTTTATTTCTTCTCCCTCCACGCTCCAGAGCTGCTCCTGCGGCGTGGAGAGATAAATATTTTAAATAGCGACACTTTGGCGATGCACGGTTATGCAAGACAAGGAATAATTAGAAAATAAATTACTTTTTTTAAACACAGCGTTACAAACATCGGGTGCATCAGATTACTGTTCTCTGCAGGCCAGGGCCACACGGCTCAGGGAGGCCAGCGCAACAAGGACCTCAGGGAGCAAGCACACACCAGCCTGTCCCCACAGCCCCCAGATGGTGACACCCCTCCCGCCTGCTCTGGGAGGCTCCCAGAATCGAGCTGAAGACCACACTTGGCAGCTTCCAGAAGATCTCAGCGATGGAAAGGCTTCCTCCGGCGTCTCACCAGCAGTAGCGCAGACTAAAAATAGTTTAATCTCCTTGAAAGCAAAAGGAGCAATCAGCAAAACAGACACTTGGGCCCACATGCTCCCCCCATTCCTCTCCTCGTTCTGCCCCCATCCATCCAAGCTGTCCCCAGCTATGCATTGTCAACTTCTACCCATCCCAGGATAGTGCCCCACAGCCTCTGAGGAGGGCAGCTATTGCCCATCGTCCAGGACTCCTCATGTCTGCAGCCCTACATATACACAGCATGTGTCCTTTAAACCTTGTGACACCCCAGAAGGGAGGCAAGACAGGAAATGTTAGCCCTGTTTTACAGATGAAGAAACTGAGGCATAGAGAAGTGGAGTCATTTGCCTGAGGCTAGCAATGGTAGACAAGGGCTGTGTGCAAATGGAGGGGCTCAGCCTCTGCAGAAAGGAGGTAGGTAGCTTTTAATTAGCACCTAGCCTGAGTTCTGGTTGGCTCCCAAGACACAAAAGCTGCCCAGGGCAAGAAGAGGCAAGGGCTGGTAGAGTGGGGGAGGGGAGAGGCTCACACATTTCAAGGATGGAGTCAGCTCCATTCACAGCTGAGTGGGTCTATCACACAGATGTGTCTTGCCCACCGCAGCCAGACCAACATTGTGACTTCACAATTTTCACTCACTGGCCTGGGATAGGGTCTGGATCCTGTGTTCTGGCTCAAGCTTGCTAGGTGGCTGAGAGTCTGTCCCAACCTTCTCTGGGCCTCAATTTTCCGAGAGATTGGCCGAGGCAGTCAGAACGACCGTTGTCTCCAGGGATCCCTGCTTAGGACCCACCAGGAACCCTGCTGCCCTCCCAGGCCTGCCCCTCACACACTCTGCCCTTTCTCACTCAGTCCTACTTCTCAGCATCTGTCTACCTGCCCTCCTTTAGTGCCTAACTGCCTGAACTAGGAACACGGATAGTGTCCTGTTCCACCGCCTGGTTTTACAAGAGAAAATTCAGACAGGGAGGGGAAGGTCATGCATATGAGGCTACCCCTGGAAAGGTCAGAGGAGGCAGAGCAGATCAGGACCCAGATTCTGATCCCAGTTTCACACCCTTCATAACACTCCTTGTGGCTCCCCCAAGGACAGTACTGTCTGTTCAGAGTTCACTAGTGGAATGAAGCCCCCAAATAAAATGATAAACTGGAGCCAGGTGTGGAGGCTCATGCCTATAATCCCAGCACTTTGGGAGGCTGAGGCAGGCAGATCACTTGAGGCCAGGAGTTTGAGATTAGCTTGGCTAACATGGTGAAACCCTGTCTCTACTAAAAATACAAAAACTAGCTGGGCATGGTGGCACGCGCCTGTAATCCCAGCTACTCAGGAGGCAGAGGCATGAAAATTGCTTGAACTCGGGAGGCGGAGGTTGCAGTGAGCCGAAATTGCACCACTGCACTCCAGCCTGGGTGACAGAGTAAGACTCTGTCTCAAAAACAAACAAACAAACAAACAGAAACAAACAAACAAAAACGACAGACTAGGCTCTGGCAGGTAGTCCAGCTCACACAGTCTCTCGAAATGCCATCAGGGAAGTTGGAACTGAGGCTTCCTTTCCTGCTAAATATCGTTCCTTGTAACCAGCAGCTACCTGCAAAATATCACTCCATAATCTGGGCTCTGAGTTTTTCAAAAACTGTCTAGAAGGTGCTACACCCTGCTCACCCTCTCTCAGGGGCCAATGTCTCCCCGCAGCTCCTGGAAACCTCTGCCTTGGCTCCGCAGTCCATCCCTGGCCCCAGGTGCTCTGGTCCAGCTGTGTCTCCAGGTCCAGTCCTTGCCTCTTGCTCCAGCCTTTAGCCCCAGGTCCAGCTCTTGCCCCAACAACCCCACGTACCTCTGCCACTGCCTCAACACACCTGAGGCTTGGTTTCATCACTTGCAGCAATGATGCTGAGCGCAGAGACTTCCCTCCACCTTTTATATATGAAGAAACAAGACCCAGGTCACCTGATTTCTGAGGCTCTTCTTTTTGTTTGATTCTTCTCACAGTCCACCCTCCTACTCCCTCAGCTTCAGAAGAAGCTCAATCTCAATAGGTGATGATGGGGACTGAGGAGGGCAGCCCAAGTGGACAGACTAATGAGGGTAAGGGTATGGCCTTGGGGAGGCTCAGAGACCTGCCCTGACTCACTCAGAACCAGCTAAGTCTTTGGGAGCTGCCCCAAAGGGATGAGCCTCAGCCACCTGCCAGGTTCAGGGTAATGCCCTCCCCCAGCCATGGGTGCCCCAGGTAACACTACCTGCTAGATTATGAGCACAGGGAAGGTGCTGGGTCAGGGAGCCATCCAGGGAATAGCTGGCCCGCTGTCAGCCAAGGCAGAACTTGCTTTATCAGCAAAGCCCTTCCCCGCTGCTGGCTGCGTAAGCCAGGCCTGCCAGGGCTTCCCACTGCGCAGATGGGGAACTGAGACTTGGGACGAGGGGCACCTGGCCACGGGGAGAGAACCAGGCTGCTCAAGTGTCCCTGTGAGGCTAGCTGAGCTGCCTCTCTGCACCTTCCCCGAGTCCCAGAGACTCCCTGCTGCTAACTCCAAGCCAAGCCCTGTGCCCAACACACCCCCATGTACAGGGCAGCAGTTCTCAAACTGTGTTCCCTGGAGTCCTAGGCAGTAGACAGGGAGTCTCTGGGCTCATGTGGAGGGTCAGGTGTAGTGAGAGGGTGGTAAGAGACCAGCCCGGGCTTGCCTACCCACTTAGCCAAAGAACCCCCTGTTCATCAATTCACTGTCCAGGGCCCAGCGTAGATTTCACTTAACCAAACAGTAAGGACTCAGCTGCTACAAGAGAAGTGAAAGCAATGGTGCCTGGCGAACTTTCTTTCCCCAAACTCCCTGGCACGACAGTTAAGGACTATTCAAAATGGCAAAACCCACAGGAACAAAGGAAATGTGCAGGAGGCACTAGGAACAACATTTTGGAAGCTGGAGCAGACAGACTATGGTGATTGACTTACCAGGCCCTGGCAGGCCCACTGCTAGCAGCAATGGGTTAATGCTGGGGAACCCCAAAGGCTAGGTCCTGAAACCCCAGCTAGAAGACCGGGAGAACCTTCTCTGGGGAACCTGCTCAGTCAGGCCTGTGCCATCCCTTCCCCGGGTTTCTGGCCCAGCCCACCGACCTCCATCAACTCTCTAGGCTCTGGAGCTGAGCTGGGGCATGTGTTAGTGTATGTGGGGCTCTGTGTGCAGGGGACAGGGCCAGAGCTCACCTGTGAGGTGGCCCCACATCCAGAAATCTTTCTTCATCCCATTCCCTCTTTACCCTTTCCTGGGAAAAGAAAAACATGGAGGGGGAACTATGACAGACATCATATTTTGCAAAGTGAGCTAATTACAGGGCAGTCACACAGGGAGATGAGATTAGCAGAAGAATATTTGATAAAAGGGAACCCAGGTATACACATGGGTGGCAGGGAAAGGTCAGGGTCACCCTGAGGAGATTGTGGGGCCTAGTGCTTCTGCCTGGGCCACGGGGAGTGGAGGCAGTTGCCCCCCTCACTCAGTCACAAGGCTGGGGTGTCACTGCTGTCCATAGATGAAGCACAGATGGGTCCATTTTCTCTCTTTAAATGCTCACTACTAATCTGCTGGGCCTGGGGACAGGGTCTTCCCAACTCTCTCACCTGACTCGTGGTGGGGATGCATCAGCCCAGGGCACTCCTCCCACCCCATGGTGCCCTGCTCCCCAACTCTTCAGCCCTTGGCACTACAGGGTGTCACACAGGAAGATGATCTGGGACTCCGAAGCCCATCAGTCTAAAAACTGTCCCCCAGCAGGGCCCTGAGGCCTCCAGCACCTGGAGCCAAGGGACCTAGGTGCGAACTCAGAAAAGCTTCGAGCCCCTCAGAACTCCAGCCAGGAATGTGAACCTGATGGTACACTTGTACCAGGACCCCGGGATGTGAGTGAGTCCAGGGGAGAAGCCCATGCCCTCTGACCCCAGGTGACTGGGAACTGCTCACTGCTGCACCCCACCAGCTCACTGGCTGCCTCCTGGGGAGGGGTCAGCAGACATCTGAGGAAGGAATATGAGAGGCAGGCAGTGCTTCCCAACCATCCCATTGATTCCTGGGGGTTCTGCCTTCTCACCCTGCAGCCTGCTCCCACCAGAGATCCCCTGGCCCACAGGCACTGCTTCCACCCTCCATCCTCTTCAGCACCAGGAACTGTCCCAGACTATCCCATCCTGTCTGCCTCGCCTGATCCGGAGTCAACCCCCGACACCCCTGCAGGTTCCAACTGTGGCTACAACATGGAGTTTTTAAATACTAAATAAATAAATAAATACATAAATACATGAAATGTGAATTAAGCCTGTTTTTTAAAATTAAAGAAAAAAAGGAGACTAGGGAGACATGACAACTAAATGCAAAGTGGTTCCTTGGATTTGATCCTGGAACCAAAAAAGGACATTAGTGCAAAAACTGGTAAAATCCAAATAAGGTCTTCACTTTGGTTTACAATACTGTGCCAATGTTGATGTCTTAGTTTTGATATTTATACCACGGTTATGCAAGACGATAACTTAAAGGAAACTGGACAAAGGGTTAGGGAATTTATGTACTATTTTTGCATCTTCTCTGTAAATCTAAAATTATTCTTTTTTTGTTTTTTTGTTTTACCTGTAAATCCAAAATTATTTCAAAATAAAAAGTTTTTTTTTTAATCTATAAAGCTATACTGTCCTCAGACAACTAACAGACATTGTGGCAAGAATGAAACAAGAACAAGATATTATTCTTAAAAAGGTCCGGCTGGGCGTGGTGGCTCACGCCTCTAATCCCAGCACTTTGGGAGGCCGAGACAGGAGGATCACAAGGTCAGGAGATCGAGACCATCCTGGCTAACATGGTGAAACCCCGTCTCTACTAAAAATATAAAAAATTAGCCAGGCGTGGTGGCGGGCACCTGTAGTCCCAGCTACTCGGGGGGCTGAGGCAGGAGAATGGTGTGAACCCGGAAGGCGGAGCTTGCAGTGAGCCGAGATCACGCCACTGCACTCCAGCCTGGGTGACAGAGCAAGACTCCGTCTCAAAAAAAAAGAAAAAAAAAAAGTTCCAAAAGACATCCTGGAAATTTAAAATGCAATGGTTAAATGTAAAATTTGATGAGAAGATTTTCTCACAGAAAGACACAGAAATGGAATATTGGAGACAAAAGAAAAATAAAAAAGAACAGGGCCTGAGTTAAGGTTTCTAGAAAGAACAGAGAAATGAGAAGGGAGGAAACAGTCAAAGAAACCATTCAAGAAAACATCCCACAACTGAGGGACACAAGTAGTTTGAAAGTGTGCACTGAGTGGTAAGAAATGAAAAGCCGCACAAAGATAGGTCAGTGTGGAATTTCTGAACACTGGGCAAAGGGAGAAAATTTACAAGTTTCTGATAAAAACCAGGTCATGTACAATGGATCGGGAATCTGAATGACTGGGGACCTCTCCATAGCAACTCAAGAAGCTGGAAGGAATGGAGTGCTGCCTTAGAAAATCTAAGGCAAATGGTTTCCACCCTGGACTTCCAACCCACCTGAAATCTCTGTTGAGCGTTGGGGAGAAGGAAGGCTTTCTGAGACATGACAGTCTCCAAAGTCTGGCTCCCCTGTACCTGTCCTCAGGAAGCCAACTGAAAATGTTCTCAGCTGGGCGTGGTGGCTCATGCCTGTAATCCCAGCACTTTGGGAGGCCAAGGCAGGCAGGTGGATCACTTGAGGTCATGAGTTTAAGACTAGCCTTAAGCCTTAAGACTAGCCTGGCCAACATAGCGAAACCTCATCTCTACTAAAAATACAAAAATGAGCTGGGCGTGGCGGCGCAGATCTGTAATTCCAGCTACTCAGGAGGCTGAGGCAGGAGAATCGCTTGAATCTGGGAGGCAGAGGTTGCGGTGAGCCGAGATCATGCCACTGCACTCCAGCCTGGGGAGTCTCAAAAAAAAAAAAAAAAAAGAAAAAAAGAAAGAAAGGAAGGAAGGAAGGAAAGAAAAAATGTTCTCTACACCAAAATGAGGGAGAAGTCTAAGGAAGAGGCCATGGGATCCATGAAAGAGGGGACTCCAACCCCAAGAGGGGGAAAGGAAATCCCAGGGACACATTGGTGCCGCAGGCTGGGAGAGCAGCCAGTCTTCCCTGGAGCAAGGTGGAAGGCTCTGGGCAGGACTTTCTTGGAAGGTAAATTTAATTTAACAGAAGCCCAGGTGTATGAGAGCCAGGTCAGATAAAGTGGCGGGGAGTTGGGGGCAGAGTGAGTAAAGGTTCACAGAAGACTAAACAAATAAACTAACAACAGCTGGGCACAGTGGCTCACATCTGTAATTCCAGCACTTTGGGAGGCCGAGGCAGGGGAAGTGGATCACTTGAAGTCAGGAGTTTGAGACCAGCCTGGCCAACATGGCAAAATCTCATCTCTACTACAAATACAAAAACGAGGCAGGTGTGGTGGTGCGTGCCTGAATTCCCAGCTACTGGGGGGCTCAGGCAGGAGAATTGCTTGAACCAGGGAGGTGGAGGTTGCAGTGAGCTGAGATGGTGCCACTGCACTCCAGCCTGGGTGGCAGAGCAAGACTGTCTCAAAATAATAATAATAATAATAATAATAATAATAATAATAATAATAATGATAATAATAATAAAACTAACAAAACTGAGACAGTTTTTACTGGTAGGAAACAACTAAAAAATTGTATCCAAAAGTCTTCCGCAAGGCGCAGTTCTGAATTGCATTTGCTGGGTCAGGGCAATGTCAACAGTGAGCCTCACCATATCATGTTATGCACAAAAGGGCGAGGGATGGGCTGGGGGAGGGGTGCAAAGCCCTCCTCTCCCGCAGCAGGATGCCCACGGATAATGCCTAAAACTGAACAATCAAGAAGTAGCGACATAAGTATGTCATTTAGAGATATGGAGCTCAGAGATTAGAAAGTGACAGCCTCTGGGGAGCTGGAAATGGAGAGGAGGGGGCTGCTGTGCTCCTAACACAACTCGCCTGATAAAACCATGACTTTACACCAGGCGCCTGTGTAACACTGATTTGAAAACCCTAAATTTAAAAATCCATCTAGAAATATAAGAAAAAGAAAAAAAAAAGAGAGAGGGAGGCTGGGAGGGGAAGGATAGAAGGATAGAGAGAGAAGAATGTAGGCAGAGGAGTCAGGGACAGGGGACTGACTGCTTTGACTCCAGCCTCTGGCCTCAGGACAGTGGCCGTCAAAGGGCAGCAGGCGACATCACTACTTCTGTTTACTCTTATTGCAATGAAGACAGTTTGAGATTTCAATTCCCTGATCAACTGGGTACACAGACCAGGCTCCTTAGACTGAAACACTGAATTGGTATTGGTGATCCCTGGTCAGGGGTCCCACCCCAACACTCCCAAAAGTTGGCAATAATCACAAAGCAAGTTGAGGGACAGCAGCCACAGGCATCTGAGAGATAATGCCATCCATCCTAGAGGACAGTGCCAGGTGGTAAGGAAGAAGCTCCAAATTTCTCTTTTTTTTTTTTTTGAAACAAGGTCTCATTCTGTCACTCAGACTGGCGTGCAGAGGCACAATCACAGGTCATTGCAATCTCGACCTCAGCTCACGCAATCCTTCCACCTCAGCCTCCCCAGTGGCTGGGACCACAGGTGCACGCCACCACGCCCAGCTGATTTTTGTATGTTTTGTAGAGACAGGTTTTGCCATGTTGTTCAGGCTGGTCTCCCCCAGAGTCTATGCAGCCAAGGAAGCACTGTCTTTGTACACACCTCTGTTTAAAGCTGTGCCATTTCACCCTGACCAACAGACAGCCCTGCCTGGGAAGGGACAGGAGTTAGAGGAGGGCTGTCTGAGAAATGGGGCTGAGTGGGCTGCAAATGTCTTTGCCACCTCTCACACCCTCCCTGGAATCCCCAACTCTTTGTGTAACTTTCAGGAAATGCACAAACCAGCAAGCCCTCAACCCAGTGGCCTCCTTGTATGGGACAGACATCCTGTCCCAGGGGGAGAACGAAGGCTGGGCGTGAGAGAGCCCCTGAGTCCCAGGGAGGGAGGACCCTCATGTGAGCCTGCACTGCAGACCTCATGCCAAGGGCAAGCTCAGCTGAGAGGAGTCCAACACAGTTTGGATGAAGCCCAGCGCACCTGGCTCCTCAGAAGGGGAGATGCTGAATCCAGACGCCCTGGGTGGGCTCGGTTGCCTCTGCAGATCATGCAGAGGGAGCATGGGAGCTCCTCAAAAGGCAGGACAGCAGGCCAGGTGAGTACCCTGGGAGAACTCCCTCCATCACCCAGGCCTTGACCAGGCCCAGGCCATGGCTCATTGAGACTGAAGCCCCCCCAGCGACCCAAGAACCTGCTGGCACCCCAGGATGTGGGATCACCCCAAATATTCACCTTTCTACATCCCACGTTTACTGGGTACTCACTTCAGAAGTGGCCCAAGATTATTTGGGCACTCCAGGATCTGTGGAGGAGGCAGGTCAACTAGCTTGGGACTAGACATGACCTTCTCTAGTTTGCCTAGGGCATCTAAGGCTGTGAGTTGAGTGTGCACATTCCTGGAGGGCTCCAGTGCCCAGCTGCTGCTGAAAATCATGCAGGTGGGAGAATCAGACCTTCCTGGGCAACAGAGGGGCATGTGTCCTACCCCAGGAGCTGGTCTGAGTGGGTAGCAAAGCCTCAATCTGGTGGCCCTGTTCAATGAGGGAACCTATCCAGCCTCCTGGGAAACCCTGTCTGCTGTGGGGGTGAAGCCACAGCCCACATAAAAGCTGTGGTCTGAGGGGGAGACACAGTATGCCAGCCTCAGGGGTCCTAGTCTAAGAGGAGAAGCGGCCAGACCCTTCTTGATGCAGAGGATGAGTTTTCAGGGCCTAGTCTGCTTTGCCCCTAGAAGGCTCCAGACCTGCTCCTTCGTTTCCCCTGAGTGGCTCCTCTACCACTTAGCAACGGAGACAATTTACATAATGCATCCAGTGTGAGAGCAATAATGGCTGGGGAAGCAGGGTGCCCGTTAGTGGCTCCTCGAAGGGAAAATACCTGCTCCCACACCACTGCCTCCTCCTCTAGCGAACTGGGCTGCAAGGCTGCTGGAAAGCAGGTGCCTTTAAGTGCTTGGCTGCTGCCAAGAAGGGCCCAGAAAGGATGTGCCAGCCCTGGGACTGGGGCTGGAGCAACCTCAGGACAGAGATGCACATGGGAGGAAATTTCCAAAGCACCTGTTCTGAACATAAATCTACCCAGCTGTACTCCTGGAGTCCATACTCCTGCTGGGCCTAGGCCCTCCATCCTGATCCTTCCCGGAGGAGGAGGCCACTCCAGCAGGCGGCATGCTGTAGTCGGGAGGCTGGGTGCCAGGCTGCAGCTGCCCGGGAGGTGGCCACATTTGAACACAAAGGCAGCGATGGAAGGGGTAGATAGAATACGTACAAATTACTGGCATAGTAATTGCTTTTTATATAAATGTTCTTTTTAAAAGTTTTCCCTGGTGTGAAAGTCCGTCTTTAGAAGGAATAAATTCACTGCACACCAATTTATTCCACACTGGTAGATGGAGCATAATGAAGGCTCCTCCGTCAGCACCTGATCAAGAGGCAAGTGGCTGCCACTTGACCCAGCTTCCGGGTCTCCCTGCACGATGATGCAGTGCAGTGGCAGGGCCAGGGGTCTTTGAGGGGCAGCAGGTCTGCCTGCCAGGAGTCAGCATCAAACCCAGACTCTAAGACTCAGGTACAAGTTCAACAGATCCCATCAGTGTCCCAGGAGCTGTGCCCAAATGACGAACATGAAACACGGGCAGCTGCAATCACAGTGATTCATGCTGATGGGGAGGCGCACAGGGCTATGGGAGCTGGGGAGCATGGGGGACCCTCACTTTCTAGGATCGGGTGAAGGGAGGTGTTAAGAAGGCTTCTAGGGGATGAGGTCTCCCTGGCCTGCCTGCAAGGCATGCAGAGGAAACTGGATTGTGACAAGCATCTAGGGGTTGTAAGTGGGAGTGGTTTGTCTTGTACTGTAGAAAGCTCCCTGGTGGACACTAGCTCTTCTCTAAGCCCAAAGGAACCAAGACAGGTCCCCCTGCCTTTGGAAGGTAACTCTTCAGTGGATCCAAGTGCACTGGAGAATCACCTGACCATGCCTGCAAACTCTGGAGGATGCCCCCACTCCCCAGGAGGCCCGGGACCTGGAAATGAGGCTCTGGCTCCTTGCTCCTTACCAGCCACAGCTCTCTCATCTGTGAAATGGGGACAAGGTCCTAGGTGGCCTCACCACCAGCCTCTGTGAGCACTGGATTAGGGATGAGAACTGCCTTGCACAAGGCCTATGATCTCCACAGTAGGGATCTTTGGTCCAGCCCCACCCCAGGATGCACCCCCAACCACCTGGCAGCCTGCCCCCATGCAGGGCTGCTGAGCAGTGTCAGACAGAGTGACTGGGGGGATGCTCACCATGCATGGGGGAAGTGTGTGTGTGCGCATGTGTGTGTGTGTGTGTGTGTGTGCTCCTCACCCACAATTGAGATTTCTCAGCTTTGCTAATTAATCAGCTAAGTAGTTCTCGCCTGCTCGGGTGACAGAGCTCTCCACACCTGCCTCCTCACAGTCCCACCCTACCCTAATGTGTGCCCGCTCACACCTCCACAGGCAGCACTCAGAACTGCACATTTGTGCACACACACATGCACATGCTCACCTTCTATGACCACTCCCATCTATGGACACACAAACGCTCACATGTTACTTACAGCACTGACGCACAGGGGTTCACTTATTCTCTTCTCCGTGTGCAGGCATGTGTGCTCACATTCCCCATGCAGCACCACGCATCTCTCATGAACCATGATCAGCCCATGTTCCACCTCACATGAGCCTCAGCAGGTCAGGAACTGTGTCTACAGTGGATCACGGGACCAAGAATCACCAGGGCTAGCTGCCTTCCCAGTCTGACCGCCTGCACTCAGGTGGACTCCTGGAAAGCCTGGGCATGACCCTGCCTTCCGGCCATGGTCTCCATACCCCATTTGATGGGAACACTGGATTGGGCCTGCCAGAGATTCCTGACAACCCCCATCTTCTGTCTGTACCCGAAAGATGCAAAAGCTGAAGGCAGCAGCAAGTATCAGACACCACTGGCCTCAGCATTGATCTGGAGGGATTCCTGGAGGAGGGGAGCTGTGGGCTGGGTTTAAAAAGCTGGGAAGAGGCCTGTAAGGGGGTGGGGGGAGTGAGGAGTGTGGCAAGTGGACTTGAAGAAGCTGAGTGGTCTAGTGAGAGTGAAGGGGAGGACACCCAAAGGCCTGAGAAAGGCTCCTTGCTACCCTAGCCTGGTGCCACACACCTGGGCCAAGCCTTCAAGTCACTCTAGGAATGGCCAGCCTCCCTGGCCCCAGACCAGTATCTGGGTAGCCAGCACACTCTCACATCCAGCTCCTCTCCACTGCTGCTGGGCCCTCCATACCCTCACAAAGAGCAATCCAGGGATCATCTATGTGGGGTTGAGTCCTGGCAGATGCCCCATGCCTGCTACATCTCCTAGGGCATCTGGCATCAAGGCTCAGTCAACCCTGATGCACTAGTCTCAGTTTCTCCATGGGGGCAGATGGTTCCCAAGGTCGAATGGGACAGAGTCAGAGCCGGGATCTGTCCCTTTTCAGTCCTCAGAGCACTGCCGCTTTGCTTCTCCATCTACTGAATAGTTACTAGCTGGGCACCTCCTCCATGTCAGCCTTGTGGGCACCTATGGACATGTGTACCCCACAGGCATACGTACACACCTGCCCGCCTGCGTGTGTGCATAGCCTGCCTCTCCATCCAGACTGCACACCCTTGCATACTGAGGTCAGGCCCTCAAGCTCCAAGGGTCGGTCACTTGGTTCCCTGCTTTAGGAGAACCCAAAGATAGACAAGGAGGGGGTGTGCCTAGGAGCCAACCCTTGCCTCAGTCTCTCCCCCTCTCCATGGAGCAGGCCAGCCTCTGTTCAGAACTGTCAGGTCCCAAGGCTGGGAGACAGATATAAGAAAAGGTTTATGGCTCCGTAACTTTCTCCAAACATAAAATCTCCGCTTACAAGGTGAGGGCAGCCACACTCAGAGAAGGTGGAGAGAGGCCATGCTGAGCCTCCATCTCCTGTCTGGTTGTGGGGAATGCTGCTCCTGCCGCCCCTGGGGCCGGCTGTGGTTTGTCAGAACCAATTACTTCTCTGCCTCCGCCAAGTGCTTGGGGCTCCATGAATCCGAGGCAAGTGTCTCCGTGGCTGCCACTGATCCAGCAATGAAAGGGAGTGAAGGATGGGGGAGGAATGCAGATTGGGTCAACTGTCCCCAGGGGGCCGAGCATAAACCCATTCAGCCCTCTGTCCCCAAGCCCCATCTCCCACCCTCGAACATTCAGACCAGCCTCCGGCTCTGGACATGGCAGCTCTGTCCCTTTTCAGAGATGGATGCATAGGCCGGCTGGGGTGACAGCAGACCCTGGCTACTCTTCAACAAGATGCAAGGGCTGAGTTTGAACTGATCTCCCGCTGTCCTGCTGTAAGGCCAGCCTCCCTAGGGACCTCTGAAGAGAACCAGCAAGTTCATCAGAATAGTGTGTGTGTGTGTGTGTGTGTGTGTGTGTGTGTGTGTGTGTGTGTGTGTGTGTGTGTGTGGCTTTAGGAAACTTTCACAGACAAACCTTGCTGATCCCCAAGATGGAAGGATTGAGCGGCCCTCACTTCAGGGAAGGGCCCTGCAGCAAAGCCAAGGGTTAGCGACTAAAATCTTCCAGGCAGAGCAGTGCTGTCTGCCTAGGGAGGTTCTGTTCATGGCCACTGAGATTGTCTCTTCCTTAAACTGAGGGACAGAGAACCCAGGCAGAGAACCTTCCAGAGATCCTGAGAGATTCCACCCTCAAGAACCCCCGATCCTCAGCTCTGGCCTCAGCCACTCTATTTTCTTATGCACTAACTTCCCCATTCCCAACGCCAACATCTAGGCACAGGTCAGAGTTGGGTGGCTTTGTATGACTCCCTACTCCATTCCATCCCCTTCTCTCTCTTTTTTTTTTTTTTTTTGAGATAGAATCTTACTCTGTTGCCCAGGGTGGAGTGCAGTGGAGCGATCTCGGCTCACTGCAACCTCCACCTCCCAGGTTCAAGCAATTTTCCTGCCTCAGCATCCCAAGTAGCTGGGATTACAGGCATGCACCACCATGCCTAGCTAGTTTTTCTATTTTTAGTATAGACAGGGTTTTGCTATGTTGGCCAGGCTGGTCTGGAACTCCTGGCCTCAAATGATCTGCCCGCCTCAGGCTCCCAAAGTGCTGGGATTACAGGCATGAGCCACCACGCCCAGCTGTCCATCCCCTTCTTTAAGCCCATGAGGCCTGAAAGACAAGGTGTCAACTTGTTGACTGATTGGAGAAACTGACTCACAGTCTTCCGGGGTATAGGGGCCCTTCCTTTTGTCTCTGCCCATCTCCTCCCCAACAGCATCTCTGCAGCTAGCTCCCTGGATTTCCGGCCAAAGAAATCACGTACCCTTCGCTGGTCCACAGGCCCTATTTTTTCAAGCTCTGCCCCAGCTTGGTGGCCTTTGTGCCATCTTAGGGAGATGTCCCTAAAAGGTGTCATGATCAACAGAGATGAAGGGACCAGTTTCTAAACCCCTGGACTGAATCAAGCAGAAAGGACACCTTGGGCATGTGAACTTTTCTAAACTGTGATCAACCTCTGGAAGGGCAGGCAATTGACAGTGGTTGTGGGGGTGGAGATGGGACAAAGACACCCCACACTTACGCAGGGCTAGGTCTGCAGCCGTTCCTTGCTCCTGCTCCCCTGAGATCTTCACATACCCTGTGAGACAGTACTGCTTGGATCCCCATTTCCCAGGTGAGGGAATCAAGGCTCAGAGAGGCAGGACAACATGTCCCGGGTCCCACAGTGCCTGCCCTTCCTGTCTGCTTCATCCTTTCACCACTTCCCACCATCCAGCTATTGCCCCTGGCACAGGCCCTAGGTTCAAACCCAAATCCAGCTTGGCCTTAGCTGTGGGACCACAGGCAGGTCCTACCTTCAGAAGGCACAGCTTTTCCTACCGCTTCTCTCCCACTCCAAGCTGTTCCCCATCCCCTGGGAACTGATCTTGGAAGTGCCCTCTAGTGACCTGTTGGCACAAGCTGGAAGCTGAAGGCCCCTCTCCATGACTGCACCACCAGCTGGTCCCACCCAGAGATGCTGCTCCCACAGACCTGCCCCTCTGTGCCCATGGCCTCCACAGAAACCTGGGGGGCAACTCCGTGCTGAGGCTACTCAGAATCCCAGAAGCCTTGGAGCAGGGTTCCCTGCCCCAGCGCTGCCCTGCCAGGACTCTAGGAGCCAGGGGCCCATGTGCAGCCAGGCCTCTCTGGGGCCTTCCTGCCACTGCATCTCTACCTTGTCTAGGCTGTTCTGATACAATACCCTCATTCCAGGGGGCAGGAAGAGAGGAGGCCTGACAGGGAACAAGGGACTGAGAAGGGGACCCATACCTGGCCCAGCCTCAGCAGCCTGGAGGAGCCACTGGGGTGGGGGAGGCTCCAGGTGGCTGGTGCCACAGAAGGGGTGGCCAACATGAGCCAGGGTCCCTGGGACAGGCATCCCAGGACAGTCCCCCTGCCCACACAGCCCCTCTCTGATGAGGGCGTGTGGAAGGATATGGGCGACCTAAGCCAGTCAGCTGGCCCAGGCCAGATGCCTGCCATGGATGAAATAGCTTTAGAAAAGCTTCTCAAAAATGGAATTTTCTCCTGCCAGCAACAGAGTGTGTGTGTATATGGGGGGAGGGGGCGGGGGGGGGGGGTGGTGGTCAAGATGGCAACAGCCACTCCCCATCCAATCCTGTGTCTCCCCACACAGTGCTCAAGAGAGAACATTCCCAGACTTTACAGTGGGCGGGGGAGAAGGGTACCAGAAGAGGCTGCCCCCAGGTCTGGGCCTGGGAAGGAAAGAGGCAGAGAGCAGGCCGGGTTGGGGGGGACACAGAGGGGGTCTAGGCAGGGCTTTGGTCAGGCTCCTATGCATCTGCCTCTCTCTACCCAATTATGCTCGAGCAGCGGCCTCACCACGTCTCAGACGCCCTCCCGGGAGCCCCCCCTTTAGCCCCACGCATCCCTGCTGGGTGCCAAGCAAGAGGACCATATGGACGGAATAATAAGACAATTAACTTTCCATTAAAGAATAATATATGTGGGTTTTTAGGGAGGCAAGCGACAGCAATCCCTATCCAGCGGCATATTTCACACCCGCGCTTCCCCACTGCCCCCCACCCTGATGCGCCCCACATCCCCATCATCTACACCAGGAGACGAGGGCACCGCTGGGCCTCAACAGGAGGTGGCTGGGTAGAGGGGTGGAGGCTGCGTGATGAGCAAGTGCAGAGCCTGGAGATGCTGGCTTCAAGGCTGCGGGAGCCCTGCAGAGGGGCTGTGCCATGCTTGCCACCCCTCACCTGACTCTCGGTGCGTCAGTGCGACAGCCTGTACCAGTGGGGGACCTGGCCAAGGAGCTGCATGCCTGTCTCCTGTGGGCACATGTTAACCACAGTGCTCTGGTGAGGGGACCTTCTGTGGGGTCTAGGGGGGACAGCTTCTTGTGCTCCTCTTGCCTGGCCCTCTGGGCGCCCCTCCCCACCAGCTTCCTTCTTCCTCTTCTGCTCCAGCCCCTCTTAGGTTCTGAGGTTCCCTGGCACTTGTGGGCACTGCTAATCCCACTCTGGATGCCCAGAGGGCACCCGCCCAGAGTGTACCCTCCCTAGATGGTAACAGAGCTCAGCCTCAGCCAGCACCCCCAGAGTCAGTGTGTGAGTGTGCATGTGTTTCAGATGTTGGTGGTGCCGGCTGAGGTGGAGGGTGGAAGGGGACAGGGGGAGGCCTGTCTCAAAGGCACCTGCAGAGTGGCCCTGTCCCACCTACCTGAGCCCCTCGAGAAAGTGGCCCTGGACATGGCCAGACTTTGGTCAGTGCCGGGAGCCAGCTCCAGATGTAGTACTCCACAAATATTAATTACACATTCCTGAGGAGTGCTGAGCAGACAGGGCACAGAGATGGCTGGGGGCAGAGAAGATGGAGTAGATGGAGTAGGACTGTGCCGCTGTCACTGGTTGGAAAATGCCATTCCTGGCTACCCATAAGAAATGGAGACACACAGACACCGTTGATCTGAATCACCATGACTGTCCAGAGAAGCACAGAAGTGGGAGGGGAACAAAAGACTCAGGTTGGGGATTTCCAAGTCCTGGGGTCCCATTCTCTGTGAATGCAGGCTCAGCAGTCTTGGGGAGGGGCGGCCCCGGGTAGCTCCTCTGCTAGACAGCTCCCCAACCACCACTCAGGGCTGACCTGCCAGGGATCCATTATGAGACTGGCTGGTGGAGACAGCAGCCAGGGCCTCGGTTTCCCCATTTGTATGACAGGATCACAGGAATAACTAGCAGCATGTAGCTGGGCTAAGGCCATCATGGGGTTAAGGCAGGCAGGACATGGGTCACGCCGTATGCCATTTCTGCCCTGACCAGCGCGCAAGCTATGAGTGGTTGATGAGGACTGGGAAAGGCTTCCATGGGTCCAGAATTGGCTTGAGCCTTCCCAGAGGGTAGCCTGTGGCCTCCAAACATGGCTGTCTCGGGTTCCTGCTTCTAGCCCAGCTCTGGCCAGGCAGCTCTAGCCTCAGCCCCGACCCCAGGCAGAGGAGCTTCCCTCCTTCTATAGAGATCCTCCAAGGAAGGTGTCTCTCCGAGGTCAGGAATGCATCCCGGGGCTGGCATGCCTCAGGAGCCAACTGATTCTTCATCATGTCTGACTATAATCTCTCCTGCTTTGCCTTCCCACCAGGTTCCCAGCATTGCTCCCCCTGGACCCTAGACACCTAGCCAGAAGAGGGCAGGTTCCTGGCTGTACCCATCAGAGTGACCTGGGCTTCAGAGAGGGGAGACCTGTCCCAGCTCCACATCCTCCCCACCCCCATTCCCCATGCACCCCCAGGCACCTGATGAATTATTCATCCTGATCAACCTCATTATGTAAATGAGCTCAGAGCCCAAGCATATGCACTCTATTCTCCCCCAGGATGGGACAATATGGTGCTGAAGTGGGAGGGTAGAAAAGAGGCTCCAGACACCTTGCTCAGGCCCTAGGGGCTCTGCAGGGGGACATCACAGTAGGGTCTATACTTTTGTGGCCTATTGAGGGCAAGAGTGGGCCACGGGTTGGGGGAGTTGGGCTGGGGAACCCAGGAGGATGCGACTCAGGGTGTCTGGACAAGCGTGGGGGTGGGGACAATACGTAAGCACCAGGCCACAAGGAGAGCTCCAGCTATGCACTAGCTGCGATGTTAGATGAGGAAATGAGATGAGGTCTTCACAGGGAGTGCCCACATGCCACAGAAGTATGCCACAGTTTCAACCTGCAAATGGGCCAGCCTGCACCCAGCCATGCCCTCATGGGGGTTATGGTGAGGTCAGGAGGAGGAAAGTGCCAAGGCAAGGAAAACATCCCCAAACGCTACTGTCTGCAGTTTCTGCACTCTGGCAGCTGCCAGCCCTCATGGCTCCAAGCTACTGGGAGTGGGGCAGCCTCTAGGATGGAGGCACGCAGGCTGGGCAGCCTTTGAGGGGAAGAAGGCCAAGGGGCCTGGATGCCAGATCACCCCAGCTGTTTGGGGGCAATTCAGAATCAGCTCAAGGAGGGCTGAGGAGGGGCAGCCCCACTGGGGGCCAAGGCTGTCAGCTTGGCAGAGCTGGTGCCAGGGTCTGCAGCAGTATCACAGCTGGGCCAGGGCTTTTCTCCAAGCATCCTCCTGACCTATCAGAGCCAGGTATGGGCTGGGTACATGGACCGTCTTCGTGTGCATTTGGAGAGCAATGGTGGCTCAGTCGGGGTCAGGGGTGAGTTGTGGAGGGCTAGGGAGCAAACTGGTTGGCTCCTCCTGCTCCCACAGGGTTGCCCTCTTCCTCTAGAACTCTACACCTCAACCCCCAACCCCCACGCCCACCTCACCAGAGTGCCCCGTGCCAAGAAACAGCCCCAGAGCTGTTGGCAGGAAGTAAGAGGCTGAAGAAGCAGAGGAGGAAAACTAGAGCAGGACAGAGAGCCGCTGGAGCGCTGGCAGCCATCGGCAGGCAGAGACACTCCACCAGAGTGCCAGGAGAAGCCGGGGATGCCAGGTCAGCACTTCTCTGCCTGCCTGCCTGCCACGCTGAGCACGGCCCTGCTCTGGCCCAGCTCCCTACTGCCCCAGGCTCATCTTGTCCACCCTACCAAGAGGGGAAGTGGAGCCACAGCCGGAGCTGCACGTTGGAACAGGAGTCAGGAGCCCTGGGTCCATGCCCCAGCTCTGCTACAAGCCAGCAGCATGACCACCTTGGTGACTGCTGGGAGGGAGAGGGTGGGGGAGACAGGCTCACTGATGAAAGTGTCTAGAATCTCTCAAGTCCCATGAGAAAGGAAGGGAAATTATCCCTGGGAGTGAAAATGATCAATGAGGGAAATTCAAATTTGATTTCCAAAAAAGGGGCGTATCTGTATCAGCCTGTCCATTGCTGTTTTCACCACTTCATCCTCCGGTCAGACTTCCCAGCTGTGTATGGGTCAAGAATGAGGATCAGAGAGGATCCAGGCTCACCCAGGGGCACATGATGGTACGCTGAGCTGGGATTCCATCTCTGGTTCTCAGAATCTAGCAAGCTCACTGGTCCAGACAGACCTCGGCCATGACGTATGAACACTATTTTCTCATTGCCAGACATTCAGAGCCTGAGTTGCCCGTGAATATAAAATAAACAACATCTTCAAGCTAAAGGTTTGAGGCATGAAGGATTATTGACTGGAGGAGTACCGTTAACTCCTGATATGTGGTATAGCTTATGTCCCGATATGAAACTTGGAAAGGTGCTGGCTGCACACATCAGGGAGCTATCATTCCTTCATTAGCCCACACAGCTATCCTTGGCAGTGGCTACTTGGAGCCTGGTTAGTGCTGGGTGCTATTCCTGAGCCTAAATTGACTCCTGTTCCGGAACAGCTTTTTCTACAGCACTTTCTCTGGAAAGCTCTGCTGGCCTCCAAGTGCGGCTGAGTCATTCAGAGTTCACAGGAAGACAGTGTGATGGAGGCTGCTGACATCCAAGCCCAGCAACCAGGAAAGGGGTGTTTAGTGTCGCTGGGCCACTGGCAGGGAGGACACAGACCTCCAGACCTGGACTCTCCCTTCCCACGGCGTTGCCACGTACTTAGCCACCCATGACCAGCCCCAGCCTGTGCCAGAGGTCCTACATTCACACCCAATGTCAACACACTGGCTGCCACCCCCACTTCCTGGGCACCAGCTATAAGCTAAGCATGAGGAAGGGATTGAGGACAACCCCTACGGTCCCTGCCCCACCGAGGTTACATCTGCTGACCCTGGCCCTGACCAACAGGGACAACAGGAACACAGTGGGTATATAATCTCCAAACCCTGGACCTGGACTCCTGACTGAACCAGCAACAGTAGGTTGGCTTACTCTGCTGTTCCCGAGCCAACTCTCAGTGGGAGACCCCCATTTAATCCCCTGCTCAGTTCTGGTCAGTACCTCCTGGCCCAAGCCCCCGGCAACAAGATCCTCAAAGACTGCACGTACCCCGAGAGTCGTAGCTCCATCACTCCAAGAGCTCGGCCCTCCCAGCCTCTGCATCTCCACGTAGAGAGCAATGGCTCAGGAGCCCGGGGCCTGACAGCAGCACATTTTGCAGCTTCCGGGGGTGATGGATGGCCTGCTCTTCACATCACTATTTCAAACATTAACATAATCTCCCAGGATGGATGTGGTGGCTGGTGCCTAATCAATCACCCCTCCCACACCTTGATCCCTCATCCCACCAGGCATGGGATTTCCACTGTCTCCTGCTACAGCACCTCAAGCACCGCTTTCGGGCTGGTATGGACCGGCCATCCCGTTGTTTCCTGGATCCCTTCAGCTCCTGTGCACCCCTGCGTCCACTGACCCCTCCTGGGCCTGGGCTCCCACCCCAGGTGTCCCTCAGACACAGACCTCTCCCTCCTGAAAGCCCAAAAAGCTCCAAATCCCTTTCAGCAACAGGGTCATCGTCCAAGCCGGGTGGTGGCTCCGATCGTTGCCTCAGGAAGAGCAGGCCAGGCCCCAGAGGAGTGCTGCCCATCCAGTCATGTCCCACCTGCCCCCACGGGCCCATCAGGTCCCACCACACCAGGACCTCCATTAAACCAAATCTTCCTCACTCCTTATTTCTGAAGCTTTTCCCCTTCCCTTGGAAGAGGGTCCCTGAAGAGACAGCAAGTGGCACCGGGCTCACCTCACGGAGCTGCTGGACGCCTCCAAAAATCCGCATCACGCCGTCGACCTCCTGCTCCAGACGCCGGGCCCAGTGCTGCATCCTGTATGCAGAGAGAGGAGAGAGGTGTCAGGAGGGCCTGCCCAGAGCTGCACAGCCCCACCCCAGCCAACCCGGGGGCACTGGGGGCAACTATCCACTCACACCCCAATTTTCACTAGAGGAGGACCCACAGCAAGGAACCAGCAAGCACCTGCGATTCCCCTTTGAAGTCCAGACCCAGTGGCCCAGGTGCTCCTCATGCACTGTGGGGTGGCGAGGAGGAGAGAGGATTGCATTGTGGATGTGCTGAGGGAGCTCAGCAGCTCAGAGAAGCCTGCAGTGAGGCTACTTTTCATTGTGAAGAGCCAGCCCTTGATGTAGCTGCTCTGAACTTGGGGACTTCTGGACACCAGGGAGGAGGGAGACATGAGGGAGCCTCAGGGAGTGAGGTCTGCTGGATCTTGGAGCCTCCTGTTCCCAAGGCCAGGTGGGGCCTAGAGAAGGGGACGGAACACTGCTGTCACCAAGTCATTGTGTAACTGGGCAGGTCCCTGCCCCTCTAGGTCTCACCTGAGCAGTGGACGTGGAGAGTTCCAGATTAGGCAGCCCTTGCCTATCCAACACCCTGGTAGACAGACGCTTACCCGAGGCTCATTGCTGGATGTCCAGCAGGAATCACCCACTCAGGAGTCCACTGCAGACCATCCTGCCTCACAATCCACCTGAGCCACATCCTGAGCAGGTCTCCCTCACACTGGTACCACCCTGGGATTGCTCTTTGTTTCTTTTTCTTTTTTTTTTTTTTTTTTGAGACAGAGTCTCGATCTGTCGCCCAGGCTGGAGTGCAGTGGTGCGATCTCTGCTCACTGCAAGCTCCGCCTCCAGGGTTCATGCCATTCTCCCGCCTCAGCCTCCAGAGTAGCTGGGACTACAGGTGCCCGCCACCACGCCTGGCTATTTTTTTCTATTTTTAATAGAGATGGGGTTTCACTGTGTTAGCCAGGATGGTCTCGATCTCCTGACCTTGTGATCCGCCTGTCTCAGCCTCCCAAAGTGCTGGGATTATAGGCATGAGCCACCGTGCCCGGCCCACCCTGGGATTGTTTTAACCCATTTCCATCTCAGCTTCCTTCTCTGGAATACGGGGATAATTTGGGGCCACCTTTCAGGGTGTTATAAGAACACATGAGAATAGGTAAGTCAAGCGTGTTCGCTGCATGGGGATCTTTGTGAGTGGACAGGATGGACAGTTGGTCACGTGGCCCTCTATTCTCAGACCCACAACCTGGAAGAAGGAAGGAGTCTGGGGCAAGGCCTTGCCTGGGTTCAGATACATGACCCACTCCCTTAAGCAGAGCCAGATCAGGCGAGCAAAACCACACTAGACCTTGCCAGAGGCCAGCCAGAGAGAACCACACAGAACCACAAAGGTGCTCTTTGCCCTCATGCATTTGAAAAGGTATCTCAACTTCTCCATCCCACTTGACACACTCCCATTTTACAGACCAAGACCTTTCCAGGAAGGGCGCACAAAAAAGTTACCATGAAGATTTAAATAAGCCATGGGTCAAACACAGCCCACAGGGTACAGTAGGGGCAGGGTGATGCCAGCCCCCCAGCCTCTGGAGGTACCCCGGGAGCCATGGGGTACAGGAGATTGCATCTGGTCCCAACTCCCTGGGCCTGCTGCCTCCTCCAGTGCCACTTGGGCCAGGACTGTTCTGGCTCCATGGATCAGAAGAGCCCAAGCCTCTACCTGGCCTCCTGCCCTGCCTCCTCCACTCAGGCCTGTGACTAAGGGGCTGGGCCCATGCAACTGTATGTGCCTGGGTCGGTTGGCATGGGAACTCGGAGCAGGAGGCAGGCAGATCACTAATTGCAATTTGCCAAGCTGAATGTCAGGACCATGATGGAAAAAAAAAAAATCAACATCAAAAGAAAGAGGTATTAGCTTCGGCTTGTTGCTGGCTGAGCCACAGCCGGATTCCCTCCTCCGCTCCCCACCACAGGGGAAAATCTAACCCTGAGTGCGGGTGGAGGCCAGGCTGCAGGCTGGGCTAAGAAGGGCAAGCAGGCCTCAGCTGCCAGCCTGGGGAGGGCAAAGGGCAGCAGAAAATTGACAGCCTGCGTGACCCCTGGCCCCTGTCCACCAGGGCCTGGTTGTGGGTGGACAACATAGCGGATGGCTCCTTTGTGCTCCTGCGATGGAGCCCTGGGGGCTAATGTTGGGATGGGCTATCACAGTCAGCCAGGCAGGGGGCAGACAAATGGGCAGAGTGAGGATCTGATCCCCAAAGGGAACCATTAGCTCTGCCCTGGCCCTGACCCTGACCTCAGCCACTCACTGGTGTAGAGAACAAAATGCCAATCAATCCTTCCTGGGACTCATTATGTGCGAGGGCATCCACTACGTACAAGGTGCAGTGCCAGCATGTCACCTACTTTCTCGCTTCAGTCCTTACAAAGAAGCAAACATTATCATCCCACCTTACAGATAAGGAAACTGAGGCATAGTGGGTTCAACTGACCTGTACAAGGTCACCTATCCAGGAAGTAGTGAACACAGGACTTGCCCTAGAAGTGTGCTGGAGTCACAAAAGCTGACTCACAAAAGCTGATTCTGTGCACCTCTTTCCAACTCTGCATTTGGTACCATCACCTGAGGAGCTTGAAATAGGTCATGGTGGGAATATTTACACCACAGGAATTGGCAAATGCTAGAAACCATGTTTTTCCCCCTGGAGAACAAATTGTAAACATTCAGCAGCACATTACTGATTCCACCCCAGGCTGTTGACTCTTCTAGTATGTCTATAGGTCCCTGCTTCTAGGATTTCACAGTTAAGTAAAAGAAAATTAATTGGGAGAAGAGACATGGATGCCAAGTTTTATTTTGCTCAGACAACACATTATTATAATCATCATCATTTCATCTAAAAAGGCTATTTCAACACTAAAATAATTTTTAGAAGAGCCAAGTCTTAGGATAAAGTCCAATCCTTCCCCAAGATATACACGCTCACTCTCCCTCCCTCCTTGTCTCTCTCTCTCTTACGCACAGTCTCCTTACTCCCACCCTGAGGCTGAGTAGCTCTAGACTCTGCTATGGGCTGCAGGAACTGGCCTGCTATGACACAGCAGGCCACACACATGTCCTCCCAAGGTCTAGAGGTGGCTCCAGCCCTTTGCCTGGCATCCTGGACCTGCTGGGCAGACCCCAAGCCCTAGCACATTGCCCATCAGCACAGTGCCAGGGAAAACAAGTTACTTTGATTATTCACTTAAATCAAACTCAATTAGGAGGCAATATGTGTGTCTCAGAGTTAAAAGAAAATAATTCATTCCATTGTCACAGAGATGTGACTTTGTGGGTTCTAGGACTTCGCCAGTGTCCCAGTGCCACCTCCAAGGGGTGACACAGAGGCCCTGAGGGGGCCAGGAGTTGACTATGCACCTGCACTGTTCCTGCCTTGTGGACGAGAAGCCACCCACCAAGCCAGGTCCAACCCTGGCCAGGGAATCGTACTCACTCCAGCAGAAGGGAGGGGGCCTTGGAAAGACAACGGATGCATGGGAATGTCCCTGCCCCCACTGGGTCAAAGATAAGCTGATCAAATCCTGCCCAGACTTCCCTCTGCTTGGAATCAAGTGCCTGGCTCAGCCAATGCCTCCCTGACCAGACAATGTTGCCCACAGGCCACACACCCAACACGGAGGTGGACCTGCTGGCTCCCCACATCTTTGTAATTTTCCATGCTTTTCATTGAGATGACACTGCTTATCCCTAATTGCTTCTAAGTGCCAAACTAACAAGGCAGTGAGGGGAGAGTGGCCAGGAGGAGATGTAGGCATCTAGGGGCTGCAGTGGCTTAATGACTGGTGTGGGCACAAGAGACTAGGGATCAAGTCACGTCCTCCAATGTGCCCAGCCCTAGGGAGGTGAACACATTGTGGCTCCATTTCCCAGACAAGAAAATTGAAGCCCCTGGTAAGGATGGGTACAGGGTCACATACTTAAAGAGAAACAGACTTGTCCTGACTCCATCTATTCCATGATCCCATCTTTCCAGGACATTGTAGCCTTTGGGAAGCCTCAGGGGAAAGGCACTTCTGCCGCTGTGTGACCTCAAAGAGTTCTGTCCCTCAGAACCTCAGCTTTTCCATCGGTAAACAGGGGTAATAATGACTGGCTGAATAGTTTTTAATGGTCAAATCCACAGGCTTTTACTGGACAGTCCCCTGAGGGCTAGCAGCTCATGCAATACAGCCCCTCCCCTAAGACCTAAGGACTTATTGAGGGCTCAGGACATCTTCTATGAAAGCTTGTGTGGGGGGTGGGGAGGCTTGTGGGGAGGGGGCACTGCAGAAGAGGCCTAGCAGGCTGAGGCAGCTCTGCAGGTAAGAAGATGACACCCTGAGTTGCAGGATGCCAGGCCTTGGTTTCCAGGGCATGGTTCAGAACCAAGAGGAGTTGGGGAGGGAGAGGGGATATCACTAACAGGCAAGGGAGTGACATCATCTGTGCGTGGGGTGAGAAGCTGCAGCTGAGCACCCCTTTAGCAGACAGGATCATTGAGACCCCAGCTAGAAGGCTGGGGGAGGCTGCATGTCAAACTGCATCGCATTCAGGTGGGGGCTTCCAGCTTAGGGGCAGCTGCAAATGCTCAGGGGAGGGGGAGGGTAAAGAGGAAGGGGGTTGGAATGGGGAGGAATGGGTACGGGAACGGGAACAGGGAGGAACGGGAGGAAAGGGGAGGAAGGGGGAGGAAAGGGGAGGAAGGGGGAGGAAGGGGGAGGAAGGGGGAGGAGGGGATGGGGAAAAGGGAGAAGAGTCCGTGTGCAGATGCAGCAGCATAGATTAAACTGTTGCCAGTTGTTAATTTTATATGTGGAGTTGTTGATCAGAATGTGATTTAATTGTACAGTATAATCCAGGCTTTTGGAATAAATTATGCAGAAAACTCATCTATAATTAAACAAATCAAAAAACCAGAGACAGGTGACACAGCAGGTTCACCCTCAGAGGGCACGGGTGGGTGTGGGCAGCTGGACCCAGCAGAGGGGCGAGAAAGGATGGGGGAGGGGCTCTGTTCAAGAGCAGACAGGGGCAGGCCCCGGAAGGGTCAAGGCCTGGTAGGGAGCAAGGGGCTCGGAACACCCGAGCTCTGCCTCTGTGGGCCTTCTTACCACTCACACGGAGGCATTTTTTGTCATCAAAGCCCTGCTGCCTCTCCCAGATGGCCTGTCTGGATCAACCCTGTTCCACTGGGCACCTATAATCAGTCTGTGGCCTTCCCTTCAGCTTGGCAGTTCAGCCGCTGCGCTTCGTGAGGGAGTGAGGGGTGGATACTAGGGGTGGGCAGCAGGGGAAGCAGGAGGGCTGGATGACAGGACAGCAGGAGGCTGGGGCAGGTGAGCAGTGTGAGGGAGCAGGCACAGTGAAGGCCACTGCTGCCAAGTGCACGGTGAAGCAAACTTGGCAATGGCGGGGCCCCACGTCTCTTGCTTCTCTCATGATAGGCTGGCCAATTATTCTCCCAGCTCTGGGGAAGGCAACAATTTAAAATAAAGTGCAGGCTGGGCATGGTGGCTCACCCCTGTAACCCCAGCACTTTGGAAGCCCCAGGCGGGCAGTTTGCTTGAGCCCAGAAATTTGAGACCAGGCTGGGCAACACGGTGAAACCCTGTCTCTACAAAAAATACAAAAATTATCTGGGTGTGGTATCGTACACCTGTAGTCCCAGCTACCCGGGAGGCTGAGGTTGGAGGATCGCTGAGCCTGGGAGGTCAAGGCTGCACTGAGCCAAGGCCATGCCACTGTATTCCAGCGTGGGTGACAGAGCGAGACTGTCTCAAAAAATAAAAATAAAAACTATAAAATATAAAGTGCTACTTAATTATTCTGGTTATTTCCACTGGCCTGTTACCTCCCACCTCAGCACCTCTGCAGTCTTCTGAAGGGGAAAGACAGGGTGGAGAGGCAAGCAGGCCACTCCCCCATCCCAGCCTGGAGAAGGCGTGCTTCCCCCAGCAGTCACTCCAAGCTCAGAAAGCAGCTGAAGCAGGGCTTGGAACAAGGCTGGTCCCTCCCCTAGGCCCTCGCCCTGCTGCAAACAGCAGGAAGTTCAAGGGTGCACTCCAGGACGGTGGCATCTCCTGGGCCACCTTCCCTGGGGAGTCCTCTCTGACCACTCGGGTGGATGTCCCTCTATACCTAGTGCCTGAGTGTACTGAGTGTACAGTACCTAGTGTACTGAGTGCCTAGATCCAGCCCTGGCTTTTGCAAGACCTTGAACTAGACCTTTCCTGTTAGGCTTCCATTTCCACATTTGGAAAATGGAGATAAAGTTCACCATTCCTTTTACCTCCAAGGACCCAAAGAGGAGCTAAGTGGAAACCACAGCCCCACATGTGGGATGCTAGCAGTGACGGCTGCCCCACACACTCATGGCACACAGGTCCATCCAGAAGGTGGGACTGCTCTCACCACAGTCCAGCCTCCCTCCTCAAGCCTGCAGCTCCCTAAACATGGGATGGTTGTGCCTCCTCCTTAGACTGTGGCCTCCAGGTGGGCTGCAGCCCCTCTCTGCACTGCCCCCAGAGACCCAATGCAGCAGAGACCTGGTGGGGTGCCTTGTCCAAGGAGCCCTGGGGAAGGGCAGGGTTTCCTGTGACCAGACCTTCCTTCTTGCTTGTCCATGCAAAAGAGAAGACTCTCAGGTTTCAGCAGCTTTGGGGGCTCAAAGCCCAGGGCAGGGCCTCCCAAGGATGATAGGGCTGGCAGAGGGCAACAGTCTAGCCGAGATCACTCACTCCCCAGAGGCCACCTGGGCCACAAGATTACAGTGCCTTCAGATGTGGTGGCAAATCAGCACTGGCCTCACACTACAAAGACCACAGAGGGGACACTGAGCCCAGAGTGAGAGGGAAGCATGCTTGCTCAGCTGATTCATGATAGAGTAAGGCTCCCCAGCTAGCCACCTACCACTTCACAAGCTGGCACAACCAAGGCACAGAACTCAAGGGGGGCTGGCCCATCTTCAATCTATTTGTGATTCAGTTGAAGGGACCCTAGAATGAGCAGCATGATGCCTCCAGGAGCACCGTCCCCATCTCACCCACTCATTGCATGCACACAGGAACCAAGGCAGCCCAGTTAGCACAGGGACCTTGGAGACCCTGAGGAGCTGGGGAGGGGCAGGTGTTGCCAAAGCATGAATGGGTCCAAAGCCATCTCTCTCGACCATGTGTGCCTTGGGACCCTGCCCAGATACTTCCTGGTCCTTCATGAGGTTATTAATTACGGGGCTATCCCTTCCCTTTCTTTGCCGAGAAGAGCTTTTCCTTCTAATTGGTGCTCTGCTGGGAGGCAGCAGTCTGTGCCTCCCCCTCAGACTAACAGTGAGCCATCATCCGGCATTAATTAGGGCACCAGGTCCAGCCCAATATTTACTCATAGCAGCCTGCTGGGTTGGGGGGAGTGGAGGGAAGCAGCACAGCCTGGAGCCAGGTAGCAGCAATACCCAGCAATACCCAGGTGGCCCACTCGGCTCTGCTTCTTGGCCTCTGCGGGTCTCAGTTTCCCTCTCTAACCAAGGAGTGGTAGCCTGAGGCCTCCATGGACCATTTAGGGATCCATATCTCAAGGGGTCTGATGGGGGCCCTCCCTGCCTGAGGCCTGAGCCAGTGGTGACAGGCCAGGGATCTCACTGCACTGCCTTAATTCATCTGCATAGCAGCCAGATCACTATCCGCAATCCTCAGAGGGAAACCGAGGCACAGAGCAATTGAGAGATGTGCTCCAGGTCACAGAGGTCACAAACACCCGTCAGGCCGCACATACCTCAACTCAGAACATCAGTCTTCAATGCCCAGCTGCGGGTGTGGCTAAGGGGCCTCTCAAACTGAAAGTGTCCGAAACGAGATCCGAGATCCTGACGGTCCCTTGGGATCGTCTCCACCTCTTCTCCCCACTCCCTGCCTCTGCTGATGGCAGCTCCCTCAGTTCAGGTCAAAGACTCTGGGTGACCTAGAACCCGCTTTCTCTCACACCCACATCCAATCTATCAGCAAGTGCTACAGGTTCCACCTTTGCAATAGGCCTGAATCCACCCACTGCCGACTGCCTCCTTGGCCGGGCACCCATCAGGGTTCCTGCACCTCTGCAGCTGCCAGCTCACTCACCGGCTTCCACCTTCTGCCTGGCACCTGCCTTCCCAGTCTGTTCCCCTCTACACACGGCTGGAGTGCCCTGCTGTCATGTCCCTCCTCTGTCAACTCCGTCGCACTAAGAGAAAACCCAAGTCCACCCAGTGGCCGCACCCCCAGTAGCTTCCCTGACCTCACCCCTCGGTGTGGCCTGAACATGCCCCTATAGTCCCTGCACAGGCTTCGGCACATGCTGTTCCCTCTGCCTGAAACTGTCTCTCCTCAGAAGTCCAAGGGCCTCCCACCTCCCTCCGGTCTCCACACACACGTCACCTGCTCCGTGAAGACCTCCTTGCCCCTCCATTTGAAATTGCACCCCCCCCAGCAGCAACTGATCTCCACGTCCCCTCCTGGGGTGATTCTTTTGGCTAGTATTCCATCAGACATCCTCCCTCTTGCTTGTTAGCCTCTGCCTTGGGCTGTGAGCCCTGAGCCAGGAGGCTCCTGCTCTCCCGCCTGGAAGAACAGGCCATTTGCTGAGTGAATATACCTCCCCAGAGTCCTGCTGACGTCCCAGCCCTCCTGTCCAGCTTGTGTGTGGCCGGCCATGGGGTAGGCAGGTGGGGTGGGCAGGGGGAGCTTGCGGAGAGGTTGGCAGCATGGTGGCTGCCCCAGGGCTGGCCCAGGAGGCCCTCCCTTCCCCTGGCTTCTTTCCATATGAATTATTAAGGCTCGTTTATGATGGGCCCGCCCAGGCCTGTGGCTTCCGTGCATAATTCATGGCTCTCCCAGAAGGCCCTGGCGCTAGAGCAGCCACTTCTTCCAGGAAGCAGGAAGAAAGTGCTGAGGAAGAGTGACCCAGAACTGGGCTGTCCTCCACTCTATCTCTGCCACCCTGTCCCTAAACACCAGCCACCCAGCACCTGCACCCACCCCTACCCTCACCCCCATGGAGCTCTCTCCTGCACACTTGGGTTCTGGTTCCCGGAGCCAGACTCCATGGGCTCTGCGCAGGCTCACTGACTCCCCTGTCTGTGGCTTGATTTCCCATCTGTGGACTGACAAAACTGAGCCACCCTAGTGGTTTTCAAACTGCTCCAGCAGCAAGATCATTCACCTTTTATTTTTCCAACAAAATCCAATGTGGAACCCTAATATGTAACTGGTGAGGTAGTTATAAATGTATTTTAGAAGGTAGCGCTGTAAAACATGACTCCGTATTGAGTAAATAATCATTATAAACGTTGAGGCTGTTCTGAAGCATCTGGATTCGGGGCCCATGGGGGCCTCAGCAGCTCCCACCACCCAGCACTCAGTTTATTCCTGTGTTTTGCACTCTGCTGAGAAACTCCTAGGATACGGAGACAGGCAGGCACACATGGTAACAGTCACTTACAGCTCA
Organism: Homo sapiens; assembly: GCF_000001405.40. NCBI lineage: Eukaryota > Metazoa > Chordata > Mammalia > Primates > Hominidae > Homo > Homo sapiens. Next base: position 50,485,689 of record NC_000003.12, read on the forward strand.
CTATGCAGGGGTCGGGGGAGAACCCTTTCCTGAGGCCAGGGGTAAAACCAGCAACTGCCCTGGTAACTGAGGCTCAGGGGTCGCCAAGGTGCCAGCACCAGTTTTCACTGTTTGATAATTTCTCAGAAGTCTAGAGCTGGGATATAGCAATCAGCGAGAGGCACTAACAAACAAGCCCGGGCCTCCCAGGGGCAAGGCAAAGGGTCCAGACCAGGGGCACGGGGACAGGAATCCAGGAGGTGGATCCAGGGTTCTCCAGGAAGCCTGGAACCACCCACCCCGGCCACTGACACAGACTATGGGCATTTTGGGGTCTGCGACACCTCCTCTCCCCAGCACATTCCCCAGGTAGTCAGGCACGATGGGAACAGAAGTCCTGCCCGGGCCCATTTCACAAACGGGTAAGCTGAGGCTCAGCATGATCAGCCCTCAGGAGGTGAACACTGCTGCAGTCCCTGTGTGCCCAGCCAGTGCTGAAATGGGGGAGCCACGCCCAGGCCTCACCTCAGAGAGCACAGTAGGGTTGGGACACCTGTGGAGGTCACCAAATGGGTCAGGGAGGAACCCAGGAGCTACAGCCTTCTGTTCCTGCCCCACACCAGGAGCTGAAGCTGGACTAGAGGTGGCAGGACAGACCCTGTCCATGTGTCACCAACCATTCTGGTCAGATTCTGTGATTCACACATCCCCATCTCCCCTCCTGCACATCCTCCCCACCCCCCAGCATGAGTCAAATCCTCGCTAAGCCACAAATAGCTGTCCTCTGTATGAGTCCTCAACATGGCCTCCTGCCTTGAAGAAGACAGAGACCCCCTCAAGGTCCCCCTCAGAGCAAAATCCTCTGTGGAAGCTCACAGGCCCCCCGAGGACATCCATGTACAGAGGAGAGGCCAAGCGAAGACAGAACTCAACCCATCAGGGCCAGCTTTGTTCTCTGGGCTTGTCCTTCCTCTACCTGGCCAAGTCACCTCTGCCAGGAAGCTTTCCTAGGTTTCCCCTACCCTCTTCTCAAAGCCACAGTTCTCACCACACTTTACCAAGCCTCATCTTAGGCTGGGGCTGCAGCCTAGTCCCATCATCAAGCTTCCTACAGAGCTTAGCCTGGAGCCTGGCCAAAAAGAGTTCTGGAAACACTTGGAGATAAATTTACCAGAACATCTTCCGCCTACCAGACTGGCCTGCCCTGACCACCTCACTCTGCAGTAGAAGACAGGCTGGAGGACAGGGCTGGGAAAGGGGCCCCCATTTCAGCAGGCAGCCAAGCACCAGGGAAAGGCAATGCTGACGCGGAGGGCCTGCGTGCTGGGCACTCCATGTGATTTCCACTGCAGCGATGGTACCTCGGCCAGGCGCAGGCCAGTTCATGCCCACTTCACGGATGAGCACTCTGAGGCCTGTGGAAATGGTGCAACTTGCCCGAGACCACACTGCTGAACCACAATCTGAACCCAGTCAACTCAGCCATGGCCCTGTCCCCTAGGCTGTCAGGCCTCCTTAACCTCAAGGGGGACTCCAATGGCCAAATAGGAAGTAGGTTGCAGGTAAGAGCCGCCCCTCGTATACAGCCTTTTCCAACTTTGAGAAGGGGGCTACCTCAGGAACTCACTGCCTCCACAAGCAAGCCAAAGCTGAGTGCAATGGGGAAGTCCTTCCTTATACCCTATCAGGGCTATCCTGCAGTAGGAACGTTGGCCAGCAGGGCAGAGCCCCAGCTCCCTCCAATGCCCCCACCAGGGAGCCTGAGCCAGGTATGGGGAGAATGCCCACTTCCTCTGGGATCTGCTTCTTGCTAGTGCCTGGACCCTTAGAGTGCGCCAAGCTGTATGTAAATGGAATGTGAGTGTTCAACCTGCCTTGACACGCCATGAACCTGTTACTCTCGGGTGCTCTGTGGTGACTCCTTTAGCAAAGCAAATCCCCTCTGCAGGCTGTGAGGGATCCACAGCTGCACAAGCAAGGGGCTTCTAGTGCAGCCCCAGCTACCCCACCTTTCTAGCCTCCCCAATCCGAGAGAAGCCACCTTGCCTGGTGAGCCTCATGATTGGCTTAAGGAGAGGCAGGTGGCTGAACCAGCAGGTCAAATTACTGGCAAAATGCTTTGCAGGTGCTTCCAACTTTCTGTAAATTCCCAACTAGCTCGCTCACTCCCCACCTAGTCACTCACTCACTCATTCATTCATTCCGATAGTAACCATGTACCTACTATGGGCACCTGGGAGGGATTTGGCAGCAAGCAGGGCAGATGCAGGCCTGTCCTTGGGAGCTTGGAATCCAAGCAGAGGAAGCTGATACCTGATCCGGATTGGGGCCTGATGAGAAGAAGAGTCCAGCAAGCCTTGGGGACAGGATGCATGGGATGCATGGGATGCATGGGAAGGGGCCTGACCTGGCCTAGGGACTGGCCAGGTGAAGGTGGCACCACAGAGCAGGAGGGCAATCCAAATGGAGGGCACAACATATGCAAGGCCCAGCAGTGGGCTCCACACACAGTGATGCCCCGTGAGCACCCACAGACCGACCGTGGGCACCAAGGCAGGCTGCTCCCACACCGAGGCCTGCAGAATTCCTACCCTCAAGTACATGGGAGCACCTCCACACACTGGATGGAAGGGCAGTGAGACGGCTGTGCCCAGGGAAGCTGGGCCTCTTTAAGTGGGAGCTCAGTCTCTCAGGAGCTGATTTCATTCATTCATTCATTCATTCACTCCACAGAAACAAACCAGTACCCATCACAACTGGGCCCGGGTGCAGAGCCTCTTCCCCCCGGCATCCTGACACTGCCCTGTACTTTGTATCTTGCAATCTTGACCCCAGGGTGAGGGCAGCAGAGAGTACTGAGGCTCAGCACAACAAACATTAGAGGCTGGGGATATTGTTATTACCCACCCCACCCCCCACACCTCTTCCCCCAGCTCCATGGGAGCTCCCGCCTGCTGCAGCCCCTCTACCACCCCCCTAGCAAGAAGTGCCCACAAGTGCAAAGCTTTCGCCATTTTCCTGGTGTTTTTTTTTTGTTTGTTTTTGTTTTTGAGACAGAGTCTCGCTCTGTTGCCCAGGCTGGAGTGCAGTGATGTGATCTCTGCTCACTGCAAGCTCCGCCCCTCGGGTTCATGCCATTCTCCTTCCTCAGCCTCCCGAGTACCTGGGACTACGGGCGCCCACCACCACACCTGGCTAATTTTTTTGTATTTTTAGTAGAGATGGGGTTTCACCCTGTTTGCCAGGATGGTCTCGATCTCCTGACCTTGTGATCCGCCCACCTCAGCCTCCCAAAGTGCTGGGATTATAGGCATGAGCCACCGCGCACGTCCTTCCTGGTGTTTTCTGACACAGATATTGTCACTAGAACATCATCTCCTGAGAACAGCACCTGACAGGCAGAAGGTGCTCAAAAAATGCTGGCTGAATGACTGGATGTTCCATCCTTACAACTATGAAACATAGGAAATGTGATCCCATCATAAAGATGAGGTAACTGGGGCACAAACAAGGTCACATATGGGGTTCCCTTTATAATCCCCAGAACCAGGCTTTCTACCACACAGCAGGCATATGCATCAGGGCCCACAGCTCCAGGGCCTTCTAGATGGCCCCATGAAGTCCCCATCCTTCTTCATTGTAGAGTAATGGCCTCCTCCATATGCCACCAGTCTGGAAATCACCTGTGAAACATACTTCCCCCCGCGCTGGCTCAGGAACCGTGTAAATCACTAGGCTTAATGGCCTTTGGGATTGTTCCCCACAACCCCCTCCCCAGCTGTTCTGTGCCAGGGAAGATGGGGCTATGGGGCGCCAGACAGGCAGGGCCATAGTCATGAGGTCTGGGCAGCCCAAGGCATGGTAAGTGCTAGGAGGCACTGCCCAGGGGAGCAGCAGCCCCGGAAGCGCATCAGAAAGACAGCGGTGGGGCTGCCGGGAGCCTCCAAAACTGGGGCTGGGGCTGGGGCTGGGGCTGGGGCTGGGGCTGGATCTATATGCAAGGCAAGCCTCTCCCCTACTCAACTCCTGCCCCTTACCTCGTCCCCCCATCAATGGCTTATCCATGGAGAAAGATGTGTCCAGGTGATCTCCCCAGGACCTCCACACCCTGACTGGGGAGGCCCAGGGCCATGGGAATGGCAGGGGAGCCTGGGGGCCTGGAGCAGGATGTCTCATGGCCCCTTGGATGCTGCTTGGAGCACCAACCATGCATGGTGTTATTTATTTGGCCTCACTCCCATGTCTTCTTCACTGTTTATCTCCCCCATGGACTGAGTGTCCCAAGAGCAGGGACCCAGTTGGCCCTTGGAGACCCCAGAGCCCACTCAGGGCAACACACAGCTAAGGTGTGGGAGTGGATTCAGGTGGGGAAGGGATGGTCAGGAAGCAGGTCCTGAAAGATGGGCAGGCTGTGGAGTGGGCGGCAGGGCAGATGGGGCATGGGCAAATGTCTATGCAGAGGAGCGGTTTGGAAGGAGCGGGGCAGACGGCTGGGAAGCCAGGTGATCTCCCTGGGACAAGCTGCAGATTTTGGCAACTGGCTGCATGCACAGGCATTTGGGTTCAGCTGGCTCCCATAGATACCATGGTTAGGACATTGCTCAGAACCAATATACACCATCCCCCAACCCTGGGAGCCTCAGTGCCCCCTTGCTGGGCAGAGGGTGAGGATCCTGTGTTTATCTTCCTATCCCCTAAGGCCACAGTTCTGTACCTTGGCTCAACTTAGGGGGAAGAGGGGGCTCTAGAAAACATGCTAATGCCTGGACCCTGCCTCCCACCCCATTAAATAATACAGGTCAGTGGGTCTCTGGACACCCCCTTTACTTCCCTCCCCAGAGCAGCCCTTGGTGGCAGCCCCTGGGCTGGGAAAACTCCTTGCAAAAGCCACAGGAAGATATGTGGGAGTGGCCTATGCCCTCTGGCTCCAGCAAAGCCAGGCTCTGTCCCAGGCTGCTGTGTAAGAGGCTGCTCCATTTTCCACAGTCATGACGAGCTTGGCTCTGTGGACACCTGCACAGACCATGGGCTCCCTGTTCAGCACATATGGATTGAGTACTTGGTGTATGCTAGCTGGGAGCTCCAGCCAAGGGCAACCAGCCACTGCCCCCACCCCTCCCAGCCACATAGTCCCTGAGCAGCCAGGCAGCAAGGTCTATTTCAGGACAAGAATAGGGAGGACAGGGGCTTGAAGCAGGCTAGGAGGCCTCTGACCCAGACAAGGAGGTCAGCGAAGGTTTCAGGGGACAGTGACTCCAAGCCAAGCACCGAAGGACAGGCAGAGGTCAGTGGGACAACAGGTGGGTCCTGCCTGGGGTTGGCAGGGCCCTCGGCAGCCCATCCAACCTCTCCCCAGCTTCCTCCATGCTGAGTGCTTGCAGGTGCTTGTTAAGCCCCCATGGAATGAGATGGCTTCTGTTCTGTTGGGCACTCAGTTCTGAGGGCAGAGATCCCACTCTGTGCCCCTCCCCGTGCCCATCAGAAGCAGCCTCCTTGCTGAGGTCTCCACAAGCACCGGTTACAGGAAAGGACAGAACAGAGATGACAGTTATGCAGATGAGGTGGCAGGGGGAGCACCACTGTCAGCTGCAGAAGGATCCCTTTCTATGGAGGGTGCTGAGAACAGTGAGGACACTGAGGCTCGGAGGAGGACGGCAGGAGGCTTGCCCAGACTATCACAGTGAGGCTAAGGCGGGTTAGGAGGAGACTGGAAGAGGAAGGGCCAAGGGGAGGCCCACAGACCCTACTGTACAAGCCCCTAGGGCTTCTGTGGCCTGCGCCAGCCAAGGTGTGGCTTAAACAATTAAACATGCTGCCTCCCTCCCCTCAAGTTGCTCTGCCCACGTACTGCTAGGCACAGCCCAGGGGGTGAGGTGGGCATGGAGTGGGGCGGAAAAAGGAGAGTGAAGGATGGAGAGGTGGGAGAATTGAGAGTGAGTTCAGACTGCCCTGCCTGACTACTCTGTGAGAACAGGCGACAGCACCACCAGTTCCAGCATGTGACTGGGAGAAAGCCCCAGAAAGAGACCCGGATCAGGGGAGGACTATCAGTCGGGGGACTCACAGCCGTGGCCTGTAGAGGCCAGCTTCTTCCTTTCCCTGACCCTTGGACAGCCCCAGAGATCCCTCTTTCCTCATGTGACAGGTGGGGAACACTGGCCAGAGGGGTACCCAATCCAGAAGCAGGACAAAGCCCAGGGCTTACCCCAAGACCTCTGCCCTTGGCTGACTGGCTCCTGGACACTGTCCAGCCCAGACCCAGGATTGGTGCAGGGAACAGAGCCAGAGAGTAATGGGAAGGGCTAGGTTCCTGGCCACAGTGGAGCATGGATCTCATCATATTCACCATTGGGTGCTGACCAATGACACCCAGTCCTCTGCAGTGAGTAGGCAAAAGTATACCCCCACTATAGGCAAGTACACCCCACCCTGAAGTCACCCTCCCCGCAAGATGAGAATGAAGTCTCACAGGCAGCACCCAGCCAAGTCTGGGCCTTCCCCACGGCCATGTCTATGCGTTACGTCCGTGGCTGTGGCCCTCTAAGGCCAGGTCAGCTGCGCTGTTTCACAGCAGCAGGACATGCCCCTCTGGCCATCCTCTTAGCCCACTCATGCCAGCACTATCTTCAGACGTCATCTGAACCCGCAACTTGCTGTTGTCCTAAATAGTCTGCCTAGGCCCTGCCTGAGACAGGACGTGGCCTGAATGGCCTCCTTCAGGCCTCTGACTGACCAAACCTCACTGGCACAGCACGGCAACTTGAGGGCAGTGGCTGCTCCCCCAAACCCCAGGTTTGGGTCTAGTCTATGCCTCAAGTGCTGAGAGGCCGAAGGAAGTGTCCCTCTCCAGGCCTCGGTTTCCCCATCTGTACCACACGGGAGTTAAACGGGACCAACTGGTCCCACAGTTCTCACTGACCCACATCCATGACACAAGTAAGGGTGGGGCTGTTCTACTGGGAGGGGGATTGGGAGCCAAAAATCTCCTACTTCTGGTCCTTGGGTGGTTCCAAGGAACCTGGAGGCGCCACAGGCCGAGTGAGAAATAAACCCTCCAAGGACGTCAGCCTGGTCAGTAGGGCAGCCTCTGCAGAGGGAGATGCATGGCAGAACATCATGGGAGTGTAGGGACACCCTGAAGGTCCTGTGGCTAGGGGTTGCCTGGAGGAGGTGAGATGCAGGAGGGATGTGTGGGACAGGGCTGAGTGCTTGGACCCGAGCACTAGGGGGAATCCTGCCCCTGCCACTTGCCATCTGTGTGATTTTATCATTTAGCCTGGCTAAGCCTCAATTTTTCTCATCTATGAAAGTAGGATAAAAATGGACTGACCTAACATGTGTGAAATATACCACCGGGGGCCCAGCTTGTAGTGACTGATGTGGTTAAAACAACTACTTCCTTTACAAACACTTCCTTGGCATGGTCACCCATCCCCTTATCTCCTGCTTCTTCCTTGGCCCCAACTCCCACCCTCAAGCCTCTCCTCTGACCCTGCAGCCGACACTGCTTCCCCATCCTCCATCACTCCCTGCCTTCTGCAGAATCTCCACCTCCAGCCCAAGGTGACCCCATCCTCGGCTCAAGGGTAAATCCTGATTAGCCGGAACCAATCACAGTGTACTGTTTAGATTGCCAGTGATTGGTTCAGAGTGGGCATGTGACTCAGTGCCAGCCAATGAGATGTGAGAGGAAGTCGGCTGGGGGCTTCTGGGCAAGGTTTCCTCCCCTCTTAAGAGAAACCCAGAGGAGACATCTCTTCCATGCCTAGTACCTGGGTCTGCAGATGATGCCTGGAGCTGTGGCAGCCATCTTGTTGCCATGCAGTAAGTTGGCCAAGGACAGACAGTTACACCAAAAGCGAGGCCACCAGGCTGAGCACAGGTGACCACTTGGTCTTTGCCAGCAGCCGCATCACACACCTGTTGGCTCCCTGTCAGGGGATAAAGGGCCCACCATGAGGAAAACCCACCACACATGATAAGCACAGAAGCAGCCTCTTGTTGGCAGCCAAATGCGCTCCTCAGACTCAGATCTTGAGGGGGTCGCAGTCAGCTCAATGCCTACTCCTCAAGGGCCCCATGACCCGGCACAGAGCTGGAGGCGGGGCACGGGTCTGGAGGAGGGACTCACAAAGGGCAGGGAGCCGGAGGAGGGTGTTGGTCAGGAAGGCTCCTGCCCCAGGGCCCTGGGCGAAGCCAGCAGCCTGGAGAGGGACACGGTGAGCAGTGAGCGAAAGCCAGAGGTGCGGAGGCCAGAGCTCTTCCCAGGACCTTCAAGTGTCCCAGATAGTCCCAGGGCCGGAGGCTGGAGTCAGCCCAGGCAAGGCCTCAGGGGCTAGCCAGGGAAGTGGGGCTCTGCCCATGGCAGGTTTCTGGGGTGCAAGGTCCCAGCTAGCCCAAAAGGGAGACACTCCAGCAAGCCTGGCGGGGGGTCCAAGGAGAGATACAAAGACTCCCAGGGCCCTAACACACCCACCACGGACTCAGCTCACAGAGAGAAAGGAGAAATGCCCATTTGCAAGGGCCCTTAGCACAGAGGCCTGCTCTGCCAGCTCCTTCTCTTTTCTCATAACTGAAGTGGGGGCAGGGCGGGGGTGGGTTGTTTAGTTGTTTGTTTGCTGGAACTGGTGGCAGCACCAGACCTGACCTTTAAGGCTTCAAATGCAGCGTTTTAGGCGGGGCCAGCAGGAGGAGAACACGGGCTGTGGAAGGAAGTGATCAAGACTGAAATGCCACGTCAGGCTGGAAACTCGAGGCAGAGCATGGGCCTCTACCATCTCAGGAATACGCCAGCCCCTCCAAGCCCACACTGCCTGGTGACAAAGTTGTCCTTCCCAAGGGGACCCAGAAAGCTTTTATGTCTCTGAAACAGCACAGGGACATCAGAGTTTGCCCCACAGAAACCCAAGGAGTTGGGGCCTCACACCACATAGACATCTTGCCCTTCGAGTTTGCCAAAGCAGACCTCAACTTGCCCCCCGACCCATGCCATAGATTTTATTTATTTATTATTTATTTATTTATAAATGACAGGCTCTCACTCTGTGTCCAGGCTGGAGTCCAATGGCACCATCACAGCTCCCTATAGCCTCAACTTCCTGGGCTCAAGCCATCCTCCCACCTCAACCTCCTGAGTAGCTGAGACCACAGGTGTACACTACTACACCTGGCTAATTTTTGTATTTTTTTGTAGAGATGGGGTTTTGCCATGTTGCCCAGGCTGATCTTCAACTCCTGGGCTCAAGTGATCCTCCCACCTCGGCCTCCTAAAGTGCTGGGAGTACAGGCGTCAGCCACTGCACCCGGCTGGATATTTTTATTTAAGAGAAACAGCTGTACATCAGTGCGAGGAAGGCTGCATAGGGAGTCGCCCTCCCCGCAGTCTGTACTGAGCATTAGGGATGAGGGCTGGGCCCTGCCCACAGAGTATGTGCAGCCACAGATATGTGGGGCTTGAAGGTTCCCTTCCCCCATCTTGGGCCTCAGTTTCCGTGTCTATATGATGGTGGTATCAGGACCTCAGGGATTTCTGTGGCTGTGGCATGTCCTTTCCAAGTCAGGGACGCATGCAAAGCCCATAATGCCCAAGGAGACGGTTGCACCCAGGCTCCCTGCCCCCACAGGAACCCCTCCTGGCCTGTAGGCTCCTGAGCCCCTCACAGCCACTTCCCAAAATCCCAAGGGCCCTGGGCCATCGCAGCACTGACAACACACAGGCGCGTCCTGAAAATGCCAGGAAAGCAAAACTCTCAGACAACAGAACCCACGAGAACTGGGTCCACACAGCTACTGGGGCCAGGGCCCATCACAGGGCATCACTGGACAGCCTTATTTATGAAGACTCAGTAGACAAAAATCCATCCTTGAAGGAAGTGTCTTCGCTGGAGATGCTCCAGATGGAGAACATGTGGAGGAATCATCCCTCCAGATCATCAAGGGATCATCAAGCCAAAGTTTTTACAGCCCAAATCGTGCCCACAGTGTCTTGCTGCGGGGAGGACCCAAACCCACAGCAGATACTCAAGGGCTGCCAGTCTCCTGCCCTTCAGTGTGCAAATGAGAAGCACCCACTCTGAAAGGGAAAAGTGCCAGCCCAAGGTCACACAGCAAGAGCTTCCCACTCTGCCTGAGCCCAGGCTCCACGCCCACCCTCCAGATTTTCCACGCGGGGAAGGGCTGTTTGCAAAGATGCTTCACTTCACAAAGGACTCACGGAGCTCCTCTGAGTCCCAAGTCCTCCACTGAATGTAAATACCATTCAATTTGCAAAAATTTGAATTACAAGGACGCAGCCTCTGTTTCCTTTGCAGACTGTCATCACGCCAGTTGGTAGAAGATCAAACTTTCCAGCTCAGCTTTAACTCAGGCTGTTTCTAACATAAAAGTTTGCAAAACACTGGCCCTAACAATCAGGATGCTTTATTTCCCACTGCCAGTGTTTGCCCAGCCGAGCCCTGGCATTAACCTCAAAGGCAGGTGGTGAAGGTGGGCACTAGGAGCCCATTCTGGCTGCAGAGATAAACCACACGTGTGCTTGCACTACATAGGCTCCCAAGCACATGCCCGCATTTGACTTCATATGCACATACACGCACACACCTACTGCTGCCTACACACGAGAATGCCCATGCACACACATCTACACACATGCATCCATGTGTGAGTACAAACACACGCACACAAGTGGGTATACGCACAAGCATGCTTAGATGTGAACACGTCTGACACATGCACACATACATGAACACACAGGTGTAGACACGCCCACATACAAGCTGACATGTGCACACAGGCAAAGGCAAGAGCCAAACACAAGAGGAAAGACTCACAAACCACAAGTGGGTCCCAAGTGCCTGTAGGGCCTGGATGGGTGCTGGGTGCTATGGATGAGGGGATAGTGGCTGGCACTTGGAGTGCAGGCCCAGCTAGACTGCAAATACCCCCTAGATCCAGTCGGGATCCACATGCCCTTATCACAGACTCCCTGGGGCCAGGCCCATCCCTCACAGTCTATCACACCCCAACCCTATGTGGCAGTACAGCCACGGAAGCCCTGTTTTACAGATGAGGCTCCAAGACCCTGAGAGGCTGTGGAAGTTCCCAAGGTCACACAGCTGTTGAGAGGTGTGGCAGAGTCTCAGTGCACACGAAGAGGGGGCTTGTTCAGAAAGAACTAGCCATCAGGGAAGGCAGGCATCAAAGGGGAAGAAAGGGGCCCAGGGTCTAAGAGGGGCAGGGAAAAGACAGGCAGAAGGAGTGACTTCTCAGCCTTTTCACCCACCTCTTCCCCTTTGTTGAATGAGGATCATTTCCAAGGTGGGAAAGATGGATACTGATCAGCAGGAAAGGCTTCCCATGCCCCTCCCCCTCTGCTAAACAATTAGGCTGATCAGAACTCAAAGGGGGTCAATCTGAAAAGCAGCCATGAGACACCCAAGGTATGGCCAAAGGAGGACGGGAGGTCCAGGCACCCTCACACTGGAAGAGACAAGGCCCAGCGGCCACAGCTAAAGCAGGGCGTGGAGAGGAGCAGGAAGACCCCAGATCTGTCTTCTTAGGGCATTGGAATGTCAGAGTTGGAAGGATCCTGGAAGAAAGGAAACTGAGGCCCAGGGGGAGGAGGGGTTTTGTCCAAGGTCACCAAGCAAGCTACCCAACTGAGAAGATTAGGCTGGGCTTGCCCTTGACAGAGGCCTCCTCACCTAAGATGGGGGCTTTCAGAACTCCTTTGTGAATATTCTCCCCACCTAATCCCAGCTAGACAGTCTCCTGGTTTGTGAGGCTCTCCCCTCACCAGGCTCAGTCACGGGTAACAGTGATGGCTGGGGACCCAGCAGGTCCAGACCAGATGCAGAAGGAAAAGCACTGTGAGGGCCCAGGTGAGAGGAGCGGGACCAGGACCGGGGACACCAAGCCAACAGCCTGAGTCTCACAGTGGCAGGGCAGGGCTTGGCTGAGTCTGCCCCTTAGGTCCTGACCTTATGTAGATTTGAATGACAGAATCTTGACTCCTTTAGGGAGGCCCCAAGAGACCCCTGTGGGGACCTGCAAGCCAGCAGGGCCATCTCAATCTCTGTGGTCACCTGCACTGGCCCCCCTTCTGCCCTTAGCCACAGGCAGCTCTGGAAGCTCTTCAGGTTCCACAGGACAAGAGAAGAAGGGAAGCAAAAAAAAGCAAAAACCACACACACACTTCCCTTGGGGAATACGAATATTGATTCTGTAGCTTCTTGTTTAGACAGTAGGCACCAGAAGAAGAAGAAAAGAAAAAAAAACCTGACATGAAGAGAATCTTCCCAGTTGGCTGGAGGGCTGTAGCCAGCAATGGGAAAGCCCCTCATGTCCTCCCCAGCATGTCCTCCCCAGGCCTGAGGCCCACAGCCCAGTCACTTAAAGACACAAGGCACCAGGTCTGGAGGCAAATCTCCGCACGGGAGTGGGGTAGGTGGCTGGAAGGGGGAAGAGAGAGAAAGACCACTCCTATCTTACAGGCAACATCGCCCTGCCAGACAGAGCTCAGCCCACCTGCCTTGACTCCCAAACCTCCAGCTGCCCCTTGGAGAGTTCCCTAGCAACAAGCCCTTGAACGCTGGTTCCCAAACCCCCCAAGTCCCACCCATCCGGATGGCATGAGGCTCCCCCAGCATCTATAAGATCCTAGCCCTGTGAAGTCCCCTCAGACCTGGCAAAACTGCCAAGGGACTAAAGGAGCCAGCCTCAGGTTTCCATGAACAACCCCCAGCCCCACCCCCACCTCCATGACCTTTCTCTCCGGAATCAGACTGGAATCTGGAGAAGGAAATGGCATCTCATCTCCAGATGAAGCCCCTCCTCTCCTCCACCCCTCCACACAGAGCAGGCCTGGCCCATAACTCAAAGCTGGGGGAAGGAAAGCTCTGGGCTGGGGGTGCTCCATGATGGCCTGTGTATACGTGGGAGGTAGATGGAGGTCAGCACTGGGGCTATAAGCACTGGGGCTGGCAAGGCAGCTTCATGCCAAGGAAGGCCCCTCAGGGTTGCCTGAGACCCAGAGGAGGAAAGAGAGACAGACAGGGCAAAGTTACAGCTGGAAGTCCCAGGCCCAGCTCTCATATCCTAGGCCTCTTCATTTTCTTCCCAGAGATTCAGGCTTCAAGCCCCCCTCCACTTCCTGGGCCCACTGCCCAGATGTCCCCAGCCCTCTGGCTGGGCAGCCAAGTGTCTGACAGATCTATCCTTTCCCCTGCCCTGCCTCTCATGGTTGTGGGCTTTAAGCAGGTCCCTTCATTTTTCTGAGGTCAGTCTCCCCATCTGGAGGATGGACATGACCACGGGCTCTGAGGTCAAGGCACTAATGTGGGTGAGGGGTCTGGCCTGGGCTCAGTAAGGGAGATCACCATTAGCCTGGAGACGTCCCCCACCACAGTCAAGCTGTGTTGCAGGGAGTGAGGGAGGGAGGTGGCCCAATGTCTTCCTCAAGGAGGTAGAATCTGATGTGGGTGGGCACAGCCTGAGAGAGTGGCACAGCCCAGAGCTGGGATGGGAAGGCCTCTGGAAGGTTCGGGTGTGAGACCTTGAAGGAGGGGATCTAAACCTGAGAAAAGAGCACAGTCATGGCAGGGCAGCATGAGCAAAGTAGAGAGACAGGCGGCCACCTAGCCCGTGGGAGCCCTGGAGACTGGTGGGTCTCGCAGTAAGACTGGCTACCGCCCGGCTGCAACATCTGGGCTTAATGCTAATGTTAACAGTGGCAGCCATGGCACCTGACGGAGCCCTCCCTGCCCACTAGAGGCGGCATCCTCTCCCGTTAATTCTCACCACCAGCCTCTTAAGCAGATTCTATCATTTCAATTGTGGAAACTAAGGCAAGGTCATCCCAATGGAGCCTGCAAAGTCTACACCTGACACCCAGCATGTCCCCAAACTACATCCTCCCAGGAGCTGGCAGTGTCCACCCATACACATCTGAGATGCCAGGAGCTGGCAGTGCCCACCTGCACACAGGCAGGAGGAGAAGGGGATACTTTCTGCAGAAGTCCACTTAGAGGCCAGCTTTACTCTGGAGTCAGTCTCTCCATGGGGACATGAGTGTGACAAAGAATCTGGAGTGAGATTCACCTGCAGACTACGAGGGGACTCATCCTAAAATGAGTTTCCTCCTTTCTCAGGGGTTAACCTGGCACAGCTGACCAAAAGGAGGTGCCTGATAAAGATGGAGTCCAGGGGAACAGCAGCCAAGGGTCCCCCCAAAGTCCTCCACACCAGGAGGGCTGTGAGCACCTGGCAGCTCTGCATCTCGGTGACAGCAGCAGCGGCTGGGAAGCCTCATCCCTCCCTCCTGCAAAAGCTGAGGCAGGTTTTTGGGAAGATGGGGGACCCAGATGAGTGATGCTGCCTCCCTCCAACAGGGAGAGCCACAGGGAGATGGAGACAGGGGCTGGAAGGCCCAGACAGACACACGTCACCCACCATTAACCGTAGCTACACTGACGCATGCCCTGTTGTAGGCACTGCTCCCCATGTGTCCACTCAGGAGAGGAGCACGTACTCTGGTTGTCATTAATCTGCTGGTGGTCCAAACCCCTCAGGCCCCTCACTGCTTCTGCCCACCCTCAGAGGAAGGGAGACGCTGGCCAACACCATCGCTGGAGCAGAGCTGGGCTAAGAGGGTGCAGTCAGGTGGGCCAGCTCAGCCGGGTGCTCCACCCAGCACTCAGCCAGGACTCCACAGAGGAGGGGACAGAGAAACCTGGGGGCACTGGAGAACAGGGCACAGAGGCCCAGCAGAGAGGACAAAAGAGGCGGGCAGGGAAGGATAGGTACAGCTCGATGAAAGACCTGAAGAAGGGGGACAGGGGAAGAGGGAGGGAAAGACACAAGGGGAGGCAAAGCAGTGAGGGCTGCCCCTCAGCCGGCGGTGGTGGCCTGATGCTGGGGAGGGCATAACTGGAAAAAGGAGGCAGGTGAAAGGTGTGCTCGGACTCAGGTCCCCCACACCCAGCCGGACAAGTGCACATACATGTGCATACATGTGTGCAAACATGTAGCCTCCTCCTTGTTTGAAACTCTGATCCAGGTCCAGGTAAGGTGAGACAGCCCAACCCCCCCACCCCCCGCCCAAAAAAAAACCCTGAAGCCCTGTCCTCCCTTCAGCAGTAACCCCTCTGCCCTTCTCAATCCAGCAGCAGCCTTGGTCCATTTTGCCTGGTGGGCAGAGAGCCATGCTGCCAGAGCGATTGCAGAAATCATAGCTAGCAGACCCCAAACCCACACTTGCTTAAAATCCAGCAGCTTGTGAAGCTGGGCCCCTGTGCACTGGCAGACACTAATGAGAAAATGACTTGCTCATCAGGGGCCTTCCCCACTGAGGGGTTGTCACTCCAGTGCCATGAAGCTGGGTTCCACTCTCCTCCTTGGAAATCCACCTGTATCAAAGTGTCATCCCAGCCTGGCCACACTGACCCAGCAGAAGGTTCTGGGAGGTCACCCATCCCTGAGCAGCCCCACAGAACCTTCTGGCCCGAACAACAGCCTAAACCTTTCTTACCAGTTCAACAAAAGCACCAATTCCACTGGCCATGGTCATGTGTGGGCCCCTTCCTCCCTCCAAGGATCAATGTGCATCCTCGTCTGCGGGACCAGGGCAGCTGAAGGGCACTGGCTGTCACAGCAAACCCTCTGTGTTGTTGTACCATTAGTCACCTCCCCCTGGACCCTCAGAGCGGCACAGCCCCCACCCCACCCCCACCCTCATTCTCTAATTACAGTTTGCAAGACATGTCCCAAACCCCCAAATTAGCTCCAACTATATCGACAACAGCGTCCAGCTGGAAGTGTGTCGCTGCCGTCACACCCGCCTCGCCATCTTCTGGCTGGGGACAGAGGGATAGGTGCCTACTCTGGTCAGGTTCTCACATCGGCCTTCTAGAGGAGACTCGTGCAGGCCCAGAAGCCATCTGACCAACTGCACGTTGCAGGGAAAGGGAGTGAGGTCGGGAGAGGTGGAAAGAGACATCCACTTAAACCTTCACTCAAGGAGCTATGAAACGGCTAAGAAAAAAATAATTGTGGCTTGGCTCGTGCTTGGCTTTGAGGAAGAAAGAACAACAAAAAAATAATGCTTTTGCTTTTTTTAAGCACTATGATTGAAGTCCATTTCCATCACGGCAAATGAAAGACAATAACGCATCCACCAGCCCTGAACTTCCATTCGATTCTTTTCTCCCTGGGCAACCCCCAAACACACATGTGAAAAATCCAGACGGTTGACAGAGGACACGTCCGTGCGGCACTTGTAATTTGCCAACTGATCACCTGCCTGAGCACAGCCAGGCTGTGCAATGAGAGAGACGACAAGACGGAGAGAGAGACCCAGAGAGGCGGTTTTCCTGAGTTTGTTTTTCCCTCATCTTAGAGAGCCTACGAACTGGAGTCGGCAGGTTTTGTGGCAGAACCAGGGGCTCTTACCCTTGGGCAGAGCTGGTTTAAATGACGCAGAGCCAGCCTCTCCCTTTCCCCGAGGCCAGACCCTTCCCCTTGGCCACCAGCAGCCCGACGACTCATGCCCCAGTCTCCAGGCCAGGACACTGGTGAAGGAGTCCAGGGACAGGTGGCTCCTCAGACCCGGAGACAGATAACAGAAGCAAGGTGGTCACCGTGCCCCAAAGGGGGTCTGGGCACTGACATAGGGCTGAAGCACAGTGTCAGGAAACTGATACGTCCTAAAGGCCACATGCACTGAACATCCACTCCCAGCCCCAGACACATCTGGCTAAGCTCACCCGTAGGAGGCAGCCCGAGTTTGCTGGCTCTTGGGGAGGAGGAGAAGGCTCAGAAGGACCAAAAAACCTGCGGAGGCTGGCAGAGCCAGGAGAAGCTATTACTCTGTTGGCAGCAGCAGCAGGCGCAGGCAGGGGTCCTTCCCACCATTCACCTTCTGCCCGGACCCCAACGCCTTCACCTCCCAACTGGGCTCTCCAGGGTACTCTCTCCTCAGGTGGAGGGGGGCCAAGAACAGGGGACACTGCCTCTGTGGCACTGGCCACAGCAAGAAGGTGCTCGCATCATCAGCATACAGCTCCCCACTAAAGGAAAAGGCCCTTGAAGGCAGGTGTGGAGATGTCCCTCACCTCTGGCTGTAAAGCGCCGGATTCCCACCAGGGAGGGAACGTGGGGCAGATGCGCGGCTCCAACTCCGCCGGACAGGGGTCGCTGGCCGCCCCTCTCACCCAACCCGGGTTTCCCTCTCACCGGGTCAGCGGCAGGGGAATCAGCTGACAAGCTCGGACCGCCCCCCCCCAACTCCTCCCGGGGCTTGAAGATCTTGCCTTGCCTCATTCGGGGGATTTGGGGGAAGCAGGGGCACCGCGGGGAAGTTTCGCGACGCAGCCAGAGCGCCGGGACCGCGGCTGCCAGCCTTCGGGGCTTGGGGCCGTCGCCCCCGGGCGCAGCGGGCAGCCGGACCCAGCGCCTCTGCCCTGGCGCGGAGCGCAGGGAAGGAGTAGCGCGGACCGGGGGCAGAGCGGGGCGCAAGGCTCGGCCGGGGTCTCGCGGCCGGCCGAGGCCACTTACGTGTGCTGCTGGGGGAAGCTGTAGGCAGAGGCGCCGGGGGCGGCGAGCAGCGGTAGAAGCGGCAGCAGCAGCCACAGCGGGCGCGGGGGCCCGGACGTCGGGCGCCGGGTGCCGGGGCCAGGGTGGGGGCCGCAGCCGGGCCAGGGGCGCGCAGTCCGCGCTGGGCCGGGCCGAGAGGCGCCGCAGGTCCGAGCCGGCACCGCCATGTTTCCATTCAAGATGCGGCGCCGCGGGGAGGGGGGGCAGTGGCGGCGGCGGCGGCGGCGGCGGGGTTGGGGGGGCGCGGGCGGCGGGCGGTAACTCGGCCTCTCCTCCGCCGCCGCCTTCTCCGCGAGGGGCCTCCGGGGCTGCACGGGCCGCAGCGCCTCTGCGGGCTGCGCGCTGCTATCTCCCTGCAGCGCTGGCTCCAAGCGCTCTGAGCGCCCGGCCCGGGACCTGCGCTCAAATAGCAGCCGCCGCCAACCTGCCGGCACCGCCCTCTTCTCTCCCTCCCTCCCTCTCTCTTCCCGGGCTGGCCCGCCCCCGCGCGCCCCCGCCGCGGCCACGCGCCCACCCGTGCCCGCGCGCCTCTCGTCCCCGCGCAGCCCGAATCCTGCCCTACTGGCTCGGGCGTCCTGCGCCCCAGCTGCTACCCGAGCGCCCCGGGTGCGCCCCCGCCCCCACACCTCAGACCCTGCCGCTCCTCCCCACCCCACCCGCGGGAAGAGTCCCGGGCCCCGCGGCCCAAGGCAGGAGCATATGTGACCCTTTTGGGGGCTCGACCTTCAACAGGCTTAAGGCCTAGAGTCACAGGTTTAATGGTGGAGTGACAGCTTCAGCGGAGACCAGAAAAGGAGGCATGCTGAACTTACAGCCCCCGTGGCTCTAGCTATCTTTAAGATTTCTCTCTGTCGGGGGCTTGCACGCCCGGCTGCTGGCAGAAAGGGCCTGGACCTCCTGGTTCCCTAAGCGGAAACCTGGGCACGGCTGTACGGTTGTGGGGGGCTGGGGACGGCAGGATGCAGCCCTCTGCAGCCACTCGCTTCGCTTCCCTGGGCTGAACAGGCACTGTGTGCAGGCCTGTCCCAAGCCCCAGTTCCCGGAGTTTGCACAGCCTCTGTTTAGATTCTTCCAGAGCCAGGAAGCTCATCTCTGCACAACCCAGTCCTTTCTGTCCTGGAGGCCCCTGGCTCTTCCCTGCTGTGGGCAGAAGACTGGGGCTGGTGTCAACCTTGACTCCACAGCTTGTGGCCCTTTCAGAGCCTCAGTGTCCTCGCTTGTGAATGCTTGTGTGGGTGCCCACTCCCATTTCCAGGATGAAGTGAGAATGGGGAGAATCTCTTGGTAAACTGAAGCATTCACAATGAGGGGAGACCATCCCTAGGATTCTACTGAAGTTACCCTGGAACCCAGCTCTGCCTCTGGTGCAGATAGGATGAGAGAATGCTCCCCACCAACTTGACACAGGGCAGGACCCCCTCAGCAATAACTGCCCACAGACCTGGCCTATCACGAGGAATGAGGGATAGTAACCAGCTGGGCAGGATGGTTCGGAAATGTCCAGATGCCCCACCTCATGGTATCAGTGGCTCTCCTATCACCCACTCACAAGTCAGCCCAAGGAGGGCTTGCAGTTGAAAGGGAATAGTAGCCCCTGGACTGAAAAGGGTAGGGGTAGGGGCTGGAAATAGGGCCTAGGACAGCCTTCCCTTGCTGCCTAGTCCTGCCTTGGCTTCTCCAATCCCAGCAAACCAGGGCTTGACAGGGAACAGTTTCCTTCATTTCTTGAAGTGTCCTCCTCCCTTGACCTGAATGAGCCTTCAGGGGCCAGACAGGTTTGCCAGCAGATCCCAAACCATGAGACCCCAAAAAAAGTATCAGAGGAAGGCAACGCAGGGGCCAGGGGCCTGGTGGACAGGTGGGACCTGATGGACTATGGGAGACGATAGTCCAGCTCTTTGGGGGGACAAGCAGGGTCCTCACTGAGCCAGTTGCCCCCCTGCCACCTCTGGACACAATGGGAGGGCAGGGGGGCAGGGGTCCTGCTCAGGAGTCGACAAGCGTGAGCTCAACAGCTGCCTTCCCAGCCCTGCCTGCTGAGACCTGTTCCCAGCATCTCTGTCTTCCTCATGCCCAAGGTAGGGCTGGCCTGTGATATCCTCTCTTACCTGTTTGCTGGACATATAATACCTGTGCCCATGGCCCCAGGGGACCATCATAAAGGACATCATTCCTCTTGGGTGCCCTGTCGGGGGTGGGCGCCTTCCCAAGGCAGACTCTGCAGTGGCCTGAGAAATGTGAGGGCCAGCCTCCCTGCCCTCCAACACCAGGGTAGCAACGCTATCCCCAAAGTGCCCAGGCCGTCAGGCACATGAAGTCAGTCTAGGTACAGTGGGTGGGTTTTGGCAGTTGGGTATTTCAGTTCTAGCCTCCACAGATGTGCATCTAATTGAGGCTGCTGGCACCAAGGGAAAGGCGGGAGATTTTGGTTGACAGGCCGTTAAAGGAAGACAAATAAGGAGGGGGGGGGTAATTAAGAGTAAACAAGTGGTAAGTGTTTACGAATTATAACTTTTGAGGCTTACAACATCCTCAGCCCTCTTGGTGGCTGGCTACAGCCACACGTTAAGATCTTGGGAGAAAAATTTGAGCCTTCCCAAGGAATAGGGGGACTTCCATGGCAGGCACATTGGTAAATGTGGGGCTGCCCACCTGGCCCAAGTTGCCTGTGCTGGAAGACGTAGGGTGGCAGGGGCAGGTGAAGCTACCCTGACAGGGGGCCTGGTAGGTGCCAGTTCTGCATGGGAGGTCAGCTCAGCAGGTCAGAAGAGACTGATAGAGCCATAGGGAGAAACTACTATGTGCCAAGCAGGCCATGGGCTCAGTTGTGCCACTCGAGGCCCGTCCCAAGCCCCAGCTCCCGGGGTTTGCACAGCCTCTATTTAGATTCTTCCAGAGCCAGGAAGGTCATCTCTGCACACCCTAGTCCTTTCTGTCCTGGAGGCCCCTGGCTCTTCCCTGCTGTGGGGAGAATACTGGGGCTGGTGTCAACCTTGACTCCACAGCTTGTGGCCCTTTCAGAGGAAGCCCATCAGGAACATCCAGGACGCCTGTGGTGGCAAGATTTTCACCCTAGCCTGCCCCGCGCCCAGTCTCACCTTTTACCAACAGGCTGGACAGCTCCTTATTCAGAGAAAACTCCTGCCTCGGGCTTTACTCCTGCAGTTCCTCCTGCCTGGAACACCCTCTTTTACCTCTACCATTTGAACTCAAGATATTTATGAGCCCATTAATACCACTTATACCAGGAAGCCTTCCTGGGGTACTACCACCCCCAACTGGATGGGCCTCCTCCTCTTGGTCCTGTCCCTCCTGCTTCCTGCCCCGGCCAGTAGTATGCTGTGGCCTCTGCCTTGGGTTCAGAAACACACCTGCACTCTGGCCTCTTTTTTTTGAGACAGTGTCTCACTCTGTCGCCAGGCTGAAGTGCAATGGCATGATCTCGGCTCACTGCAACCTCCAACTCCCTGGTTCAAGTGATTCTCCTGCCTCAGCCTCCTCAGTAACTGGGATTACAGGCACGTGCCACCGCACCCAGCTAATTTTTGTATTTTCAGTAGAGACGGGGTTTCGCCATCTTGGCCAAGATGGTCTTGAACTCCTGACTTCATGATCCGCCCGCCTTGGCCTCCCAAAGTGCTGGGATTACAGGCATGAGCCACCACGCCCAGCCCATTCTGGACTCTTGTCGAGCGGAGCCCTGAGGCTCCCTAGTCCTTGTCACCCCTTCCAAGCCTCATGCAGTGCTTAGCCATGGGAGGGCACAGGAAGTATTAACATATAGAGTCATTTGGGGCCAGGCATGGTGGCTCATGCCTGTAATCCCTAGCATTATGGGAAGCCGAGGTGGGTGGATCACCTGAGGTCAGGAGTTCAAGAGCAGCCTGGCCAACATAACGAAACTCCATCTCTACCAAAAATACAAAAAAAAAAAAAAAAAATTAGCCAGCTGTGGTGGCCGGCGCCTGTAGTCCCAGCTGCTCAGGAGGCTGAGGCATGAGAATCGCTTGAACTTGGGAGATGGAGGTTACCATGAGCCGAGATCGCACCATTGCACTCCAGCCTGGGTGACAGAGCAAGACTTTGTCTCAAAACAAACAAACAAAAACAAAGAATCATTTGATGGCATGTCAAGGGAGCCCAGGGATGTGCCCAGGAAGGGTGGTCTGGCCTGGGCATGAGGTGTGTCAGCTTTGACATCAGACATCACAGGTTGTGTAAGCAAGTGATTTTGCCTCTGCAAGCCCATTTCTTCATCCATATAGTGGGAGACACCCCCATGTGGCAGGGATGGTCTGAAGACCCAAAGCATCTAACACCCTGAGGGAAGACTTGGTACTTCAGCAAGGGCTTAGCGAAGGGGAGACAACAGACTCAGCCATCCCCAAGAAGGGCAGGCCGTGTATGCAGGCAGACAGGGAAATATTCCTGGAAAAGGGGGAGGGATTTCAGCTCAGTCTTGCAAGTTGAATAGGTTGGGATGGGCACATTAGGGAGAGGAGGAGGGGACATTCTTTTGGGTGAGCATGACTTGAGCCAACATTTTCCCTTCTGAGCCCTGTTTACCCAGCTCTGCCTCCACCTGGGTCCGTTGAGCTGGCCCCAGCCTTGGCCAGTGTTCTGCTGTCCCTGCCTCATCCAGCCCACTCTAAGGTACCTATTCTCTGCCTGCTTTGTGCTGGACTTGTTGGTCCCCAAGGGCCCCCAGCTGGGATTCATTCCACGTATGGGGGACTACCAGCACTTGCACCTGCCAGTGGCTGCCATGGCTCGCTCATCAGTTCCTTGGGGATACCCAGGGATGCAATGTTCCCCAAAATGCCCCTGTCTGAGCATGGTACAGATGCTCAGTGGCCTCCAGATGCAATCAGACAGGACCCTACCTCTGGACACGTCAATAATTTTTCAAGGATCCTTGGCGCAATATCAACCGATGGTCAGTTTAGTACCATTTACCATAATATATGGAGGGGGCTGGAGTTTAACCCTTTCAGACATTGCAAGCTGTCACTACCTGCACATTAAAGTTAGGGCCAAGTCCCAGGTCATAAACAGTCAGAACCTATAGGACCTCCTCATTAGAAAGAGGGGAAACTGAGGCCCAGAAAAGGGAGGAGACTTGCCTGAGGCTGCCTGCCCAGTGGTTAGTGCAGATCAGAGTGTGGAGCTTTGAGTCTGGACACCTGGGTCAGCATCCCAGATCTGTCTCCCTATGACCAAGGATGAGACCAGTCTCAGAGACCCCAAACCATGGGTCTTGATGTCCCCATCCTGGCCTCTGAAGGGAAGCCCATAAACCAGCATTGGGCCATGGAAAAATCATGCCTCCCTGTACGGCAGTGGAAGCCCCCTGGTTAGACCTCCATCATCCCAAGAGTCTCTGAACTGAGATTATTTGACTGAGCAAGGGAGGATGCTGGTTAATTGAGCAGGTTCTGGCAAGTATAAGAGGCTTGATCCTTGGCCCCTGGGAGCTCCCCACTTGGTGGGGGAATGTGATACACAGGAAAAACATGGTGAGTACCTCAAACCACACATAATTACATCATGTCGGTGAAAAAAAGCAAGTGGTCCCTCAGTGTTCTGAGGAGGCCCAGGTGATCAGGGAAGGCTTCCTGGACAAGGGGACCTTGAAGCTGGCACAGAAGGGTATGAAGGGCTTGGACAAATGAATGGCTGGAGGTGGGAAAAAAGAGTGTCCCTGGCAGAGGGTCTGAGCAAAGGCCTGAGACAGAAGTGAGCTGGCCCTCTTCCCTGGGGGCAGGCACAGCTCCCCTGGGGGGTGCATGCCTGAGTAAGTGAGCTCCTGGCAGAGGCAGGGAGAGAGGTGGTGTAGCCTCACAGGCAGCATGGGGCAAGGCTCAGCTGGGCAGTGACAGGACAGGACAGCCTGCTCACCCCTGCATCCGGGACTCCAGGACCCTGGGTGGCTTTGTCCTTAGAGAAGGAGGAGAAACAAGTTGATCATTGGTTGTGTGAGCACAGGGAAGCTCGGCCTCACCTTCACTGCCTCAGCTACCCTCACAAAACTCAGGTCCTCCCAGCTTCAATAGGATGGAGATGGGCGCAACTGCTCAGCTAGAGGGTCTGCTCCCACCAGGAGCCCCTGCCTCAGCTGTCCCCATTGCCACTGGCAGCTGCTCCAGACAGTCTGGAGTTTTCTTCAGAGAGGTCGGGATCAACCTGCTCATTTTATAGATGAAGAAACTGAGGCCCATGGAGGGGCAGGGCTGGTCTCAAGCTTCCAGTAAGCAAAGAGACAAAGGCTCCAGGCTAAGGTCTAAGTTCCGTCCTCTGTACCTGCTCCCAGCCACTGGGGTCCTCAGAACCCTCAGAACCCTCTTTGAGAGGACCCTGGCCCAAACATCTGCCCAGGGGAGTAGGAGGCCCCTTGGTGCCACCCATGTCCCACGTGCCTTGATGTGTGTAGTGCAAGGGCCCAGAGCTGGTTTGCCCCTCCCCTAAGGCCTTCATCCCACTCTGGCAGCAGAAAATGAGGACAAATAAAAGAGAGAAATTCTCCCTTCAGAAGAGCATTAGGTGTCTGAATGGTTTCCGAATAAATAAAAGTCTCCTCAGAGCCCCTGGCCAGCACTGACAGCAGCTCTAACTCTCCACAAGATGTGTTTTTCTGCCTCTAGGTGGAAGTGAAGAGTGTCGGTGGTAGGCTAAGCCGGGCTGTGATGAGGCAGCCTTCCATCTCTGCCCAACATCCCATCAACACCTCGGCGGAATGGCCATGGCAAATTGTCTCCTCTGATAGCTGCCCTTCCAGGCCAGTCAGAGAAGGGTGAGAAGTGGGCCCAGCCTCCCCCACCAAGGGGGTTGGGGGAGAGCTTCCTGGGCAGTTCCCTTCCCTGCCCATGGTTGGGATCCGGTTGTCAGTAATTCTGAAGACAACTGTCCCTAACTTACTTGCTCATTTTGCAACTGAGAAAACTGAGACACAGAGGATTTTGGCGACTTGCTGAATGAAACGAGAGGGCCTGGGATGCATCTCATGAATAAGCCAGCTCTGCCCACTGTGTTAGGAGTGAGGGGTCTGCTTCCTCAGAGGAGGCTCTCTGAGGGCAGGGCCATACCTCATGCCATCCACCTTCCTGTTGGTAACAACAGAAGGCACTTGAGTGACTGCCCTAAGTGTAGATGGATGTGAAATGGCAGGAGAGATCAAGGCTGTAGACCCAAGGAAGTATTTTCTTCAGCACACAGGTCGGGGAAGCACCCTGAGGAGAGTCCTCAAGTCTTCTGCTTCTGCAAAAAGCACCTCTTGGCTTCTGCTCATCAACTCCTTAGGGAATTAGCCTCTGCTAGGCAGCTGTGGGGAGGGCAGGACCTGGCTCTACCGTCACTTAATTTAACTGATGGCTGCTGTTCCTGTGAGGGGCAGTTAGCACTCCATTTGTTGAACCTGGAAGATGGATGAAGCTAGGTGGTTCTTGGAACCTACAGGGGAGGATGGCACTGTATGGGGTGGAGGCAGGGCCAGGAGGAGCATCATGTCATGGGAGTCTGGAGGGCTTGAGAGGCAGCCCTGCTGCATTTGGTGAGGCGCCTGCCTCCTTGGGGTGGTGCTGGCACTCAGGCCCCTCCACCTGAGTTTCTTGGACACCGGGCAGGGAGGGGAAGGGATGCTCTCAACCTTATAACCAATCCAGCTTTCCTATTAGCACAGGTGTAGATCTCTCCACCCCAGCATCATGGCCCCATCTGCAGTCTTCATTGCTCTCCCTAAAGCTGGGGCCTTTGAGACCTCTGCCTGTTTCCAGGCCTGAGGTGAGCTAGGGTGGGGGAGCAGAGAGCAAGGAGGCATGGGGCTCCTCACCAGCTGGTTGGAGTAACCTAAGGATGTAGATGCTGGAAGAGCCCCTCTCAGTCTGGATCTATTGCCCCAGAAGCCAGGCTGCCAGCCTTGAACATACTCCAAATGGAGGAGGGCATTTTCCAGCCCAGGCCTCCATGAAACCTTCAATGCTGCTGACCCAAGGGGGAATGGGTAAGCCCCTGCTGCAGAAGGTCATTCTGGATTGGAGGCTACTCTGCTGCCTCGGAGGCACAGTCAAGAGTTGGGCCCAGGCAGGGCTGGGAGTTCTCGCTCTTCAGGCCACACAAAGGGCAAAGTGAGCAGGGCTGTCCCTCCCCAAGCTTGGTGGAAACACTCCTGTCTCTCTTCTGCTAGCATGAAGTAGTACCTAGTTAAGCAAATATAAGGAGCATCTGCTCAGGAGGGAGGATGCAGGCCATGTCGTATGGCAGGAAATGGGGACAGGGATGGGAGTTGCGGGGGATAGACAGGACAGGGGCTGGCCTGGGACCATTGCCCCCAGGTGGGCTAGCTGAGGGAGGGGCATCATTGCCCCCAAAGGTGTGGGGTGGGGAAAGGGAGGCTATCCAGGGTACAAGTCCAGAAATGACTATGGCTTGTCGGGATTCTGGGTCCCGTTCCACCTGGGCCCTGAGTATGGGCAGATAGGAAACATCCTGGCCACTCTGGAGATGACTGAGCCACAGAATCCCTTTCAAAGGAAAGCAGGATCTCTGTGGACCCCTTACTGCATTCCATAGTTGGGCAAACTGAGCCTCAGAGGTTTGGGGTAGGCCCAAAGTTACCCAGTAAGCAGTAGAGACCAGGTCCCAGGTCCCCCTGGGTCCTTGCTTGGGGCCATCCATGGCCTTGTCTGATGGTTAGAGCTGGCCCATGTTCCCATCTTGGGTGTCTGTTTTCCACTTGCTGATAAGGAGCTTATACTGAGGTCGGCAGAGCAAGGCAGGTGCCAGGACAAATGCAGAGAGCAGAGGGCTCCTCGGTGGCCTAGACAGACCCTAGAGATCTGGGAGCCCCCAAGGCAGAACTAAACCCTCTCTCCTCCCAGAGAGTTTTGCTGGGCTCCAGGCCCCAGAAGGGGTGCTTGGGAGGCTGTACCTGCACAGGCTAGTGAGAGTCCAGAAGAGAGTGAGGAGGCTCCTACCTACTTATGTTCCCACCAGCTGGAAGCCCCTCCCCTCCCCCTGCCATGGCCTTGCTGAGCCCTGCTTGGCAGCTCCAAAGCACCATCTTGCTGAGGTCTTAATTTCCAAATGAGTGAGGAGGAGCTTCAGGGAGGCAGAGGCGGGGGGAAGGCTCACTGAGAGAGACCTCAGGGAGGATCGCCATGTGGACTCAGCAGTTTGCAACAAGCCACCAAGGTCTTACCTGAAAATCTAAGCTGGCTGCTGTGGGGTGGCTGGGAGCAGGCCATGGACAGGAAAGACTGGCAGTGAGTCAGGCGTGGGGCAAGAGTGGAAGGTAGAACCCAAACACCAGGGCAACGGGTATGCCAGGCATGCTCACCCCTCAGAGTGTAGGGCATTATCAAGTGTTGATGAATGAATAAATGACTATGTAATCATATGTCACCTCCATCACGCTGAGGCCTGGGGTCAGGCCTGGCATGTGTGACCCCTGCCAGTCCTGCAGGTCAGATCCCTGGGAATAAGATGAACGCTGGCTGGGCACAGTGGCTCACACCTATAATCCCAGCACTTTGGGAGGCTGAGGCGGGCGGATCACCTGAGGTCGGGAGTTTGAGACCAGCCTGACCAACACAGAGAAACCCCGTCTCTACTAAAAATACAAAATTAGCCGGGCTTGGTAGTGCATGTCTGTAATCCCAGCTACTCAAGAGGCTGAGGCAGGAGAATCGCTTGAACCCGGGAGGCAGAGGTTGTGGTGAGCCGAGATTGCGCCATTGCACTCCAGCCTGGGCAACAAGAGTGAAACTCTGTCTCAAACAAACAAACAAAAAAAAGTTGAACCCTGCCTTCAGAACTCCATGTAACCTCCTCCCAGGCTGCCCTGCTGTTCCCTGCCAGCCACATCTCTCTGATTAGATTCAGAGCTCCCTGTAAGCCCCAGGCACTCAGTGGTCCCCTCTCCCAACAAACGCACACGCACTACTGCTGTTCTCCTGGACGTGCCAGGGTAGCTGCTGCCCATTCAGGCTGGTCTGGCTGTCGCATAGAAAGCTGGACAGCTCTAGGGTCTTCTTACCCCAGGCTCTGCTCACCCCTCAAGCCCCTAAGCCTGTTCTTGGCACAGGCTTGGGACCACAGGGACCACACTGTGACCTCACTGAGTCTTGCTGCGGTACCCATAAGTAGGCCCCGAGGGGCTAGACCCCAGGCTGGAGTGCCCCTGTTCCTAACCTCCCCTGGGGACTATATGTTCACTGTACAGATGAAAAGGGCTTGCCCCAGGTCACTGGGGCTTGTGATTTTCAAGTAAGAATTCCTGATGTTTCCTCCAGAATAATAACCCCCATCACCACTGCCTCCTCTTCAACCCCTTCATCCCCACTTCCTACCAGGCACTGGGCCAGAAGGATGTCTAATTCTCAAAACAGCTTTCCAGGTAGGTAGCATTAGCCCCATTGCCCCATTGGGCAGATGAAGAAACTGATGCTCCAGTAGTTCTGAGTGGCTTGCTTAAGGCTGGCTGGGAAGCAGCAAAGATGGGCTCCAACTCCCGATCCAGCTCCTCCTGGGTTGATTCATGAGGAGCATATTGTAATCTTTTTTTTAAGTAAGCCCATTTTATCTCAATATGCAAAACTATGCACATGGAATGCAAATTATTAGAAAAGCTCCCAGGGTGACAGTGCAGCCTTTGGGTTTCACCAATGATCCAACAATTCGGCGGCCTCTCTCTCACTTTAGCTGAGCCTCTCTACTCTGCCTCCCCACCAAGGTATCTCTGGGGAGGGCTTTGCAGGAGAGAGTTGAAGATTTGTTGACACACGGCCAGTGAGGTGAGCAGCCTCAGACCCCATGAATGAGGCAAGGGTCCTATGCCCAGCCCCCTTCCTGCCTCCCCTGCCCCTTATTGGACTCCTTGAGGCTTAGAGTTGAACATCTGCACTTTGGTGTGCATGAGGACAGGGGCTGCTTTCTGCTGCCAGAATATGGGAAGGCTTTCTGGAGGTGGAGTAGAGAAGGACATTCCAGATGAAGGGAACATTGGAGAACTAGTAAAAGGTGTTGAGGTAGGATCTGCTCCAGGGAAAGCCAGTGAAGCATTGAAGGTCTGCTCTGTTTCGAGGAATGAGGCTTCTCCATGATGAAAGAGCCCTTTCCATCAGAGCAGGCAGGACAGGAGGCTGGGAGGCGGGTGACCAGGCTAGATCCAAGCTGCGGCCACAAATCATGGGAGAAATGTCCCATGAGCACAGGGTGGAAAGGACAGTCATCCAGCACCTTGGCCTGATTCACGGCTAGAGAGGCAGCAGACATCCACCGGGCCCAGGTAACCTTGAGCTTGTTAGCTAACGTCACTGCATCTCAGTCTTCTTGAAGGTAAAATGGGTTCAGTAAACTCCACTCCTCATCTTCCTCTCAGAGCTGCTGGGAGGCCACTGGGGGCTTCACCCATTGCTGAATCATAAAGCATTTATGGAAAGGCTGTACTCGTGGTGTCCTCCAGACCTGCAGAGGGAGGCAGGGCAGGAATGCCACCACCACCCCTACACACACACACTCCCCGGTGTCTGGCACATGCCAAACACCCCCACTCAGCCAGCTAGGAACAGAGCCCCAAGCCAAGGTTAGGGCCAGGCTCAGGGTCCATTTCAGTGATAGGTCAGCAAGGAGGGCAGCACGTGGAGGCCTCCCTGCCTGTTTCTGAGGTGCACAGGGAAAGTGGCGTGGCCTGCGGTGAGCAATGGTGGAAGCAGAGTCTCAGAGAGAGAGACTCCAAGACAGACAAACAGAAAGGGCCCAGAGGTGGGTGGCTGAGCTCAGTATGGAATCTTACCTTCTGTTAGAAAGGCCCCGAGAGGGTCTGGTAAATTGATCAGACAGGGGCAGCTTCCAGGCAGGGAGGGGATCCATGGAAGCTGGGTCTACCCATTCCAGGACACTGCATTTCAAACTGATTTTAAAGCAACAAGGAATTATTTTTAAACTAAATTGGATGCAGATCCCTAATATATGCCAGATTGAAGTAGAGTTGTTGTGATGGAGGGTGGTCAGGGGGTTGAGAGGCTCCCAGGACAGAATCAGGGTGCATGCCCTGCACTGGAGGTGGTACAGGTGCTGGGCAGAGGCTTCTGCCCCTGACACGGTCTGGACTGTGGTTTCCACTCTCCTAGGATCACCTTGTGAAAAGCCTTTTACAGCCGTGGGCTTCATGTTCTCATCTGCAGAACGGGAGCTCTTGGTACCCCGGCCCAGCTTGCCCCTCAGTTGCCAGAACAACTGTGGGGGCAGAGAGCCCTCTCTCTCAGGCTGCCCCACTTCATGGAGAGGGGGGCAGGTATTTATTCATCCTCCCTAAGAACTGAGGTCTTGGCGAACTCATCTGCCTCCCAGCTCAGCTAATTGGAATCAGTTCCCCATTTCTCCTCTGCCTCTCAGTAAATTATGCGAATTCCCCCAGTCAGAGGCCTGGGTGATGGACAGCCCTGTCACAGCAGCCTAAGTGTTTAGAGAGCAATTGTTCTGGGGAAGGCTGCCATTCCTCAAGCGTGTGCTGTGCGGGGGGCCACGAGGAGAGCCAGCCCGGCCCTGCTGCTGCCCCTGTCCCTGCCCCTGTCCTTGCTCCTCTGCCCGCCCCTTTCCCCACCGCTGCCCCTGCCCAGCCACCAGAGCCTGCTCCGCCCAGCCAGCCAAGCATGGGCTTCCGGTACGTTATCCTTGTCATAACAATCAGAGCAGCCGAGAGGTATTGCTCTTAAACCCTCAACACACATTTTTATAACCTTTCTGTTTAATAAGAAAGAGACAGCTCCAATTAGCTGGGAATATTCTGCCGAAATGGGATTATTTTAAAAGCTCTGGCAATATTACAAAATAGCTTCAGTAAGTGAACAGCTGTTGCCGGGCCCCGCCTGCCCTGCGCACTGCGCCTCCCGCACCCTCCCATCAGGGCCGGGCCCCTTGCCCCTCCCCAGGGGCTTCAGAGTCCCTGAGAACTGTGCTCTGGCCAGCAGCCAGGGGCCCCTCTTCAGGCAGCAGGATGTAAGTTGTGGGTGTGGAGCACAGAGTCTCCATGGCCCGGACTGGAGGGGAGGGACAGTTCACACCGTGCCCTGAGGCTGGACTATGGCCTTGCTGGGGTCCTGCTTGTCCCAGAAAAAGTCATGTGGGGACCCCAGCGTCATCTCTAAAGGGCCTGCAGCCTGCTCTGCTGCCCCTGTAGCCTGGACATGTTCCCTACTTTTAGCAGGACTCCCGTCTGCTGCCCAGGCCTTCGCAGGCTCTCTGGCTCTCCAGTCAGGGGGGCAGGGCAGGGCTGCTTGTGAATCCATTTCTCCAGATTGTGAGTTCTGAGTCCACTCCCCAGGCCCACCCCTGGGCCAGGTAAGGATGCTACCTAAGGGGTCCCTCCCTCTCCTTCTTGGGGCCAATGCTCATTTCCTCTTTGGCTCCTCTTCCACTCTCCGCAGGGCCCTCTGCATTCCTTCTCTCCAGGAGGGGCTGTCTTTGTTTCCTTGCCCATTGCAGCTGGTAGTGTTATCAGTAACTGTGTCTAAGTCCCCAGGGCTGAGGGGCAGGGGCCTGGAAGTCCTGGCCTTCCCCCTTTTCCCATGCCTGCTGGCAAAGCTCTGCAGAAAGGAGGCCTCCGCTCCCACCTCCTAAAGCCCTGGGGCTGGATCTTACCCACAGACTCAGCATTGGCAGCTGCTTCACCTGGGCCATCTGAGGCAGCAGACTGATGCCAGCTCCTCCAGGAGCCAGCTCAGCCTCTGTGGGGAAAGCTGGGGCTGGGGCCTTGTAGGAGGCCCTGGGTCTTTTTTGGCCTGCTGCTTCTTGCCCACTCTGTCCACTTGCCACTTGGCCCACAGCTGTGGTGCCCCCATGGTGCTGGGTCCCCCAGAAGG
The DNA here is from genome assembly GCF_000001405.40 of Homo sapiens. Lineage (NCBI taxonomy): Eukaryota > Metazoa > Chordata > Mammalia > Primates > Hominidae > Homo > Homo sapiens. The sequence goes on from NC_000003.12 coordinate 50,517,113, forward strand.
CTCAGGCTGAAGAGTTGATGATGTTTGAACAACTTTCAGGGAAGGATACAGTTGAAAAGGACCTCAGAGTCTGGCCCATGGAACAGGTCACTGTATAGTTGGGGAAACTAAATCCAAGTGAGAGGAAGCTCTGAGGCTATATTCTAAGACAGGATGGGAAGCAGGACTCAAGCTGTCGGCTTCAGCCCTGGTGTTTGACCCTTGTTGGCCCTGGCACTGGTAATGATGGGATTTGAACTCTCGGCCCTGGTGTGGTGGAACTGAATGAGCCCTGCCTCAGCTGCACAGGTGACCAAAGGCAACTCCCTTCCCTCTCTGAGGCAGGAGTGGGTGAGGCCCTGCTCTGGGGCTGAGGGGGTGCAGATGGGACTCTGGGTCAGGCTGCTGGACAGGGAGATCCCTGTGGGTACTGTGTGGCAGAGCCAGGGCAAGGACTGGGCCAACGGGGGTGCATTGGGGTGCCCAGATACTCCACTCATTCATCCTGCCAAGTCCCCTCCAGGCCTGGCTGGAAAATATGGGGATTCAAGGTCTCCCTTGATGCTGCCAGGAAGAAAACCTCACGGACAAGGGAACAGCTGCTGTGGCCCCAGCCTCACCAGGCCTAGGTCTTAGGGACCCTGCCTGGGGAATGGGAACAATTTTGGGACATCCTTGGGAGGAGATCACAGCCTGGGAACTGCAGCATGATGCAAATGCACCATGTGCTAAATGGGGAAAAATGAATTTTACACCCAGACAAAGTGACTTTTATCATGTTAACGACCATGGTTTGCTCATCGTGTCTGGCGCAGTGAAATGGGGCCTGTGGATGTTTTTCTTTTAGTTCTGCTTTTAAATGGAAGCATTTTCCCCCTCAGAGCAGACAAGCCAAGCCCTTCAGATTGGGATGACAGAAGTGCTGATTCAGCAAAAACAAAACAGAGGATTTTTTTTTTTTTTTTTTTTTTTTAATCTTCATCTGTGCCTTCCAGCAAAAATAGAGCTCAGAATGAGGAGGTGGGGTGTGGCGTGAGGAGCCCCAGCCAGGAGACAAGATTGTGGCCCTGGCCCAGCTCATCCTGGTGTGGCCTGGGACCTACCTCACCCATTCCCAACCTCAGTTTGCCCATCAGTATCAGGAGTGAGACGGGCTGGAGGCAGAGGCTTTTAGGATCAGAGAGCTGCTCCGGCCTGGCGCTTGACTAGATGTCCATGTCAAACACATCGTACTGGGTATGTCTGGGTCTGGAACTGCCTCCTCTCTCAGACTGGGACTCCCAGGGGGCAAGGCAGGGTGGAATCATTGCTGAATCCATGGTGCCCTCAGCGGCCAGTGCAAGGTCCCTCATGGAAGGGGCAGAGATTTTTGCTGATGGAGCCAAGGCTACTTCCACGACATCTATAAGGAGCATCCAAGGGTGGACTCCGTTGGCCACGTCCCTGAGCACCCCACCCCCAACAGACTGCACCCGGCGCACATCACTGGCACATGGCAACTCCATATTGTGCTCATCAAGTTTCAGGAAAACACCATCTGATGCCTTGTATAGTTGCCCAGCACAACACCCAGCTTCCCAGAAGGAGCCTGCATTGTGCACAGTGAGGGGCTGCTCATCTAAGGCTAATGAAGAGGACATGAGGCTGGCATATCTGGAAAAGCCCTGCCCTGATGCCATGCGGTACTGCTCTGGAAGGCTCGCCCAGGTCAGGCAGACAGGGCAGAGATCAGTGGACAATTAGCCAGCTCCAGCAGAGGTAATTAATCAATGTTTGGGGCCTTCCATCTGGGAATGCTGTGATCACTGCCGTGCCTGTGCCCTGGTGGAAGTCAGGACCTGGGCTAGGCTGACAGGCAGGGACTCAATTGCTGTCAGCACCCTCACTGCCAGCACAAACACCATCACCAACACTGCCTCCAGCAGTTCAGTGCTGCTGTCCCCATCATGGTCACATTGCTGTCACCCTTATAGTAGCAGCGACTCCCTCACCCTGCCCTGCCCCACTGGGACTCACTATCACCATCCCCATCCACAGTCACCTGTGCTCACTCTTCCCCGACTCAAGACACTTTTACACTGTTCCCACAGTCCCAAAAGATATACAGGCAGCTTAGTGGTAGGGAGACCAAGGCACAGAGAGAGAAAGGGCCATGCCATCTAAACAAGAGAGAGAAGCCAGCCCCCTGGCATATAGACTATGGTCGCTTCCATCCCTCCCCTCCCCTGTTCCAATACCAGCTGCTCACAGCGAAGATCCTTCCTCCTCGTACCAGTCAGGATGGGCTCAGTTAGGTTGCAATGACAACAACCCTAAAATCTTACTGGTTTAAAATAATGAAGATTTATCTCTTTTTCCTGCTCCCTGCTCTTCATGGGTCAGCTGAGGCTCTGTTCTGTGTCATTCTCATACTGAGCCCCGGCTGGCCAGATAGCCAAATTCTGGAAAACTGACTGTTGTCATGGTGGAGGGAGATCCGGCCCCTAAAAGGTCTCACACCAGCAATTAAAAGCCCTGTCCTGAAAGTGCTGCCTCTGCTCACCACTCATCGCCGGAACCAGGCACGCACCCCTGCATGACCACCAGGGGGCAGGAAGGTGCAATCCTACCTTTAGCCAGGAAGCAAGGGGATCAGGTGGATTTGGCACCCACCAACAGTGGAGATCCGATTTCTCTTCCTCTCCCTGCCTTCACTCCTTGCCCCACCTATCCATGTCCTCCAGCCCCCTGGTCCAGCAGGATTGTGAGGGTTCAGGTGGGGCTTCCTCAGTCTTCCTGGGATCACAGGCTGTGCTTCCTGTGTGGGGAAAAGCAAGAGAGATCAGATTGTCACTGTGTCTGTGTAGAAAGAAGTAGACATAGGAGACTCCATTTTGTTATGTACTAAGAAAAATTCTTCTGCCTTGAGATTCTGTGACCTTACCCCCAACCCCGTGCTCTCTGAAACATGTGTTGTCAACTCAGAGTTGAATGGATTAAGGGCAGTGCAAGATGTGCTTTGTTAAACAGATGCTTGAAGGCAGCATGCTCCTTAAGAGTCATCACCACTCCCTAATCTCAAGTACCCAGGGACACAAAAACTGCGGAAGGCCGCAGGGACCTCTGCCTAGGAAAGCCAGGTATTGTCCCAGGTTTCTCCCCATGTGATAGTCTGAAATATGGCCTCGTGGGAAGGGAAAGACCTGACTGTCCCCCAGCCCGACACCCGTAAAGGGTCTGTGCTGAGGAGGATTAGTAAAAGAGGAAGGAATGCCTCTTGCAGTTGAGACAAGAGGAAGGCATCTGTCTCCTGCCTGTCCCTGGGCAATGGAATGTCTCGGTATAAAACCCGATTGTATGCTCCATCTACTGAGATAGGGAAAAACCGCCTTAGGGCTGGAGGTGGGACCTGCGGGCAGCAATACTGCTTTGTAAAGCATTGAGATGTTTATGTTATGCATATCTAAAAGCACAGCACTTAATCCTTTACATTGTCTATGATGCAAAGACCTTTGTTCACGTGTTTGTCTGCTGACCCTCTCCCCACAATTGTCTTGTGACCCTGACACATCCCTCTCTTCGAGAAACACCCACGAATGATCCATAAATACTAAGGGAACTCAGAGGCTGGCAGGATCCTCCATATGCTGAACGCTAGTTCCCCGGGTCCCCTTATTTCTTTCTCTATACTTTGTCTCTGTGTCTTTTTCTTTCCTAAGTCTCTCGTTCCACCTTACGAGAAACACCCACAGGTGTGGAGGGGCAACCCACCCCTACATCCTGCTCCAGGCCCTGGCTCCCAGATGCCAGAGAGCCTTTCCTCAGGAGGCAGATGGGCAAGGCTCTGGGACTCCAGGAAAGAATGCCCCCGGAGATGAGGCTGGGTTAGCCAGCAGCACGTGGGAGCCTGTCCTGTCCCAGGGGAGCCTTGTGGAAAGGGAAGGAGGGTCTGAGCTGGGCCTTGGACAGTGGCTCTGGCTATGGGTGTGGTGAGTTGCAATGGGAGAGGCTGGGGCAGGAAGCAGCTGGGATTGTCTCAGGAGGGTACAGAGAGGGAGAGGATGGGCCAGCTTCAGCAAGAAGGCCAAGAGAGAGGAGGAGGGTGAATGAGGTACGCAGAGAGAGGAATGAGGCCTTTGGGTAACAGTCTGGAATTCTGGGGTTCAGCCCCAGGGCTCCAGTCCCCCAAGGCATGTCATCTTGGCTGCCCAGGAAAGGAGATGTCAAAGGCAATGGGTATAGAATGGCTGGTGTGGGCTGTGAGCCTCCGGGTCTGTGCAAGCATCTATCAGGCACCAGCTGGGGCACCCTAGTCTCATGCTGATCCTCCAAATTCAAACCTGGCTGAGGGTCCCTGCAGTCTGGTCTAGCCCCAGGGTTTGGGCTGTAGGAGGAGATCCGAGGCTAGGGATTGCAGGGAAGGAGGAAGATGGCTGCCTGAGGCCTCTGGGTAACAGTCTAGAATTCTGGGGTTCAGACCCAGGGCTCCAGATTCCCAATTTGGGGCTCATTTTGCTCCATCATCATAGGCCAAGGCCAGAAGAGGGGCAGTGATGTGTCAGGATGGGGATGGGTCCAGGCTAGCCCACGTCTGATTCTTCCGGTACTGGGGTGCCTGTGCCCAGGCAAGCAGGGCTCTTCCCACATCATCCATCACTAGGCCACAGAAGGCTGGTCAGGATCAATAAACAAACAATTATCCTGTCATCACTGATTGTAGGCCTGGGGCAGGGTGGCAGCTAAGCGGGGAGCACCCGGTAAACGGGAGTTTCTGATGAGAACAACCCACACCTCAGGGGTTGGCTCAGGATGGGGGTGCAGGGGAAGAGGACTGTGGAGGTTGCCAGGCAAGGCTGCCCTACAATGGGGGCAGGGCCCAGGAAGACTGAACTCTGTCTGGTAAGCCACCCCAGGGGGCTGCCTGAAGGAAGCTGGAGGCTGAACTGGACCCACCCCCTCACCCTCTCCCCTCTTTCTGATGTTTCCCTCTTCCCTTTTTCCCCAGCCACCTAAGCTGGGGGCAGGGGCACATCAGGAAAGTTAGTAACTGAGCTATTCCAGTCACAAATTAAGAGTCCTTCTCTGCTGGTCTATTGTACTTCCCTCATCTTGGGATGCCTAAACAGTCAACCAAAATAATAATTTGTCACTGCAGTCCCCCAAGGTATGTCATCTTGGCTGCCCAGGAAGGGAGATGTCAAAGGCAATGGGTATGGATCTGACTGGTGAGGGAGGCAGGAACACCCACAACCCTGGAGTCTGGGTCCCAGCTCCTGAGAAATGTTTGGGGTCTGACCTGGGAATAGAGGAGTTGCACCCTGAACTTCTTGGTGGGTGGGGCAGGGCCAAATCTGCAGACTCAACAGAGAGGAGCCAGAGCTGCACATCTCCCCCAGTTCTGTTCCTTGTCCCATTCCCAGCCCCATGGAAGGGAAATCTCTCTCCATCAGAGGAAAGGGACAAAAGGAGAAGTGATTTATTATTCTATTCCATTATGCCTGTTTCCAGAGAAACTAATTATGGTGCATTGTTGTTTTAGATACTTTCAGAAAGATTACATTTTCTTACTTTGGCCGATAAAAAAATTAAATCCATCACTTTTCCTAAACACATTACAGTAAAGACAGACTTGCTCCTTGTAATTATTAATCAGTCGGATTTGGGGACGCAAAGCGTTTGACTTAAGCTCAATACAGTCATGAACAATGTCCCGGGATCGTATTTGGTATTGAAACAATTTTTCAATTTATTAAAAAGTCATTAAGGCAGTTGGGGTGGGAGGTAAGGAGAGCTGGACTAAGCCGCTGAGTCAGGGTTGTGGATTGGGGGTGTAGAGTCATCAAGGGGCTTCTGCAAGTGGGAAGAAACGCAGTGTGTCTTACTCCTACACCTGGCTCTGAGGGGCCTGCTCAAGTTGAGATGGGACCCTAAGAAGTCAGCCTCAAGGCTGGGCACGGTGGCTTACACCTGTAATCCCAGCACTTTGGGAGGCCAAGGCAGGCAGATCACTTGAGGTCAGGAGCTCGAGACCACCCTGGACAACATGGTGAAAACCCATCTCTACTAAAAATACAAAAATTAGCCAGGCACGGTGGTGCATGCCTGTAGTCCCAGCTAGTTGGGAGGCTGAGGCAGGAGAATTGCTTGAACCTAGGAAGCAGAAGTTGCAGTGAGCCGAGACTGTACCACTGTGCTCCAGCCAGGGTGACAGCTAAAAAAAAAAAAAAAAAAAAAAAGAGTCAGGAATCAGGCCCTGCCCCCACCTCAGCAACCTCATACTATACTCATTCATCTGTCCACGGTCCACTCCTTCGGGTTGTGAGCTCACCGCATGGAACGGTGACAGTAATGTAGTAATGGGTCACTCAGGGGGAACAATTTGCCCTACGGAGCCCTGAGCCCACTCTCCAGTGGTCTTGCACCAAGGACTGACAGTCAGCCTGACTCCCACCCCTGGCAGGGAGAGAGGCCCCTCCTACCAGCTCAGGCCCTTGGAGCCCCCAGCTGGGGACATGTGGCTATTTGGAAGGACACCTGGTGTGGCCGAGTGCCTTGTTCCAGTCGCTGGCCTTGCTCACTCAATCATTTAATTACTCCTCTGACACTTCCTGCTCCCAGGAGGGATTTACAGGGGTTTAGGAGACTGGCAAGCTACAAGCCCAGCTTAGCCTGCGTCCTGGCTCAGGTGGGAGTGGAAGGGCGGCAATAGGACCCAGGCTCAAGTCATAGCTCAGCCACTTGCAAATTGCTGACCTTGGACAAGTTAGTTAAACTCACTGAGCTTCAGTTTCCACTTCTAGCGAAAGGGGTCCTGTCTCCTCACACAGGACAAGGAGGTCATGAGACCTGTGTCTGCCCCTCCTGGGCGGGAGCTCTGTCACATCACCTGTCTCCCTCTCTGCCATCAGGGCAAAGTCTGGCTCCCCGTCAGGGGCTGCTTCTTTTGGTTCCCTCTGACTGGATACCTACCCTCTCCCACGAGCCTTTCTTCTGAATTCCACCCACCCTTCTTCAGGCTTCTGCTTTAATGACCTTCCCCAAATCTGGGTGGGGCCCTCTGGGTATTCCTGCCCAGACTGGGGGAAGATCATTAAAGTAGAGGCCTGAAATTAAATCCACCAGTTTTCCTAAACACATTACACTAAAGACAGACTTGCTCCTTGTAATTATGAATCAGTTGGATTTGGGGATGCAAAGCATTTGACTTAAGCTCCACAGAGTCATGAACAATGTCCCGGGAATGCATGTGGTGTAAGACATGGGGTTCAGAAAAGCCAGGTCTCGTCTCTGACATCCCCCAACAGAGCTGAGACCTGGTACCCCCAAGCCCCATCCACACGAGACTCCCACGCGAGACTTGGACCTTGCCGGATTGGGCAGGCCACTCTTTCTGTGGGTTTATTGGGAGGGTCCAGGACCTCAGAGCCAGAGGACCAGGCAGTGCTGAGCCCTCATAGGATCTCTTGATCCAGCACTGAACGACCCCATCCAGTTTAAGGCCATGCCACCCTGAACGTGCCTGATCTCGTCTGAGAGACCCCATCCAGCAACAAGACCTGCCAGCTCTGCTCTCTGCCCCCAGCTGAGTGCCCTGCTCTGGACCTGCTTCCAGCCCCACTCTTGAGATGCCCACACCCTCCAAGAAACTCAGGACGAGGCAGGGGCTGGGGGCCAGGGCTTGCATTGCCAATGACTCCTGGGTGACCTGAGCCAGCTCTGCCACTGTGTACCTTTGTTTCCTCATAGGTACGATATCCCCACCCCCACCCCATTAGCAGAACAGAGATTGCGCTGGAGATCAAATATCTGAACAGAGGAGAGGACTCCAGAAGAGGAAGGAGGCCCTGGGAGGGCTGAGGTTTGAGCATCAACATAATTGGAGGTGACTGGTGAGGTTGGGGCAGGGTCTGAGCACAGCTGAGCTTCAGGCCTGCCCTGCTTCTGGCTGTCACAGGCCACAGGGCTGCAGAGATGGGCTGCTGGGTGCCTCGATCCTTGGCCCCCGCTCCTGCGTCTCTCACCTGTGGGCAGGTAGAATTGAGCATGCTCCAGATACTCCATTTCTGGGGGATTTATGGAGGATTTTATCTTCCCTCCTTGATCACTGGTGAGGGGAAGGAGAGGGAATGCTTCATTCCCTCCCCTTTAGAGGGGCAAGGAAGAGCAGCCTGGCCACCCTCAAGCTTGGAAAATACTGTCTGAACCCCACATTGGCTAACCCTCCTTCCCCCCATGGGGCCTCATCAGGACCTGGCGGGTACCGGGAGAGGATGGCAGCCATTTAAGCTGTCACCAGCTCCATCAGAGGATTTAAATCACTGACACAGAGTAACAGCACTGTAGATTACAGCGTGGGAGCCACGCGGGCACAGCACAGCAGAGGCGGGGGGAGGGAGGCAGTGAGGAGGTGCGGGCCAAGAGGCATCTTCTTGGCACCTCAGCTGGGGGTTTCTCTGCAGCTGAGGCCATCCCAGCAGGGAGTCCCTGAGCATCCCACCTCCCCCTCCACCCAGACTAGTTCCCCACAGAAGCCCCCACACTACTGGGCTGCTTCAGGGCAGCTGGGAACCTATTCTTTGTGTCCTCCAGATAAGGGCTTGAGGTCTTAACTCATGGACTCTGTACCCAGAGGCCTCACAGTCACGGGCACCCCTGAGAGTGGTGGTGGGGGCAGGGGCACCTGGCAGGGAGCCTGCCTGCTCTTGCTCACAGGCACCCAGCCATTGTCTCTGATTGCATGGTATTAGCCATAAATTACAGCCTTTGGGAGGCCGCATGTAAAAATAAAATAAAATAAATGTCAAAAGACAGAGAAAATGTTGATTCTTCAGGGAGAAGAAAGGATGGCTTGGATAAATTAAAACTTTGAGAGGAAGTGGAGTGTGGGAAGATGGTCCCTGGGACCCAGGAGCTGCTGGGGCATGGTAGGGGTAGCCTGGAGAACATCATCCAGTCTGTCGACAAACACGCTGGTCCTTCCTGAGGTCTTGGCCTATCCAGGCCAATGTGGGGGAAACACAGGAACCATGGGGCCCCACCCATTGTGGGCAGCATAGCCATGAAACTCCGCAGGAGGAACCCCAGGCACTGACTCAGCAGACACGTGGCTGGGCTCAGGCTGGGGCCTGGTAGGGTTGTGGGAACTCTCCATGGTGCTGAGGCCCATCTACCAGGTGAGAGGGCTGCTACCCATCCTGCCCTCCCCGCAGCAGGGTCAGGGGCCCCTCCTTCTTTACCTGAGTCTGGGACCCAGAGAGAGGCCAACAGCCGACATAAGAGCCCAGCTTGCCCCACCCTCTGTTTCCCCTCTGCAAACATTCCTCTTCTGGTCCCTCCTGACCCCCTTCCTTGCCTCTCCCACCAAGAAAGTTAGGGAGATTTTCCAAGGCTGCCTCAGCCAGGGCAGTGGAAAGAGAGACTGATGGATAGACAGAGCCCCTGACTGCCTGGCAGACGGACCACCTCCACAGTGATGTTTCCCCAGTGGGTGGCATTTCTCACTGGAGTCTGATTCAGACCCCAGACCCACATACCTGAAGGCCTAGGCCAGGAGTACAGTCAGCAACCCTGTACCCCTGGGCCTGCAGGGTTGAACTGGGGCAGGGAAGACACTCAGAGCATAAGGGGTGTCAAGCCTAAGGGAACAGATATGAGCCCCTGGGAGGGCTGGCTAATAAGGGCCAGAGTGGCAGAAAATACACACCTCTCACCTCCCCTGCCACTCCACCACACACAACCTGGACCCCCAGGCTGCCCTCTTGGAGGGGCCAAAGCAATTCTGAAGCTACAGCTATTTTTCTAGAGGCTCTGGTTGGGGGACCCATTTGTTTCTTCAATGAGCAAAATACACTAAAAAGGCATCCCACTCCCAGCAACAGCCTCCAGGCCCTTTACTTGACCACCACAGACATGGGGAGGAGGGAGGCTCCAGGCTAGCCATGCTGGGTGCCTATTCCTGTTCTTAAGGGGGTCTCAGCAGGGTCATCTATGGCACACTTGACATGAGGGGCAGATGAACTGGGCGCAGCAAGGGCTGGGTAGCTGGACAGGGCCTGACCTGGCTCCTGCTGGAGGTGGAAGGGGTTCCTGGAGCAAGGGCACCTCCTCACCAGGCCCAGGAGCACCTGCCCCAACCTGCAGCCCCTGGACCCACTCATCAAGCTGCTCCCTCATCCCGAGCCTGCTGCCCAGTCCTGCTTGACCTCAAACTGGCAGGACAGGGCACTGAAGTTGCTCAGTTGGATGGGCCCCAGCATGGCCTCAGCATGGCCTTCACTCTGGTACCTGCTCTTCCATCAGCAAGTGGGCCCAAGTGTACTGTGGCCTGAGCCCCTGACTGGCAACACCTCCTCTGGTGAAGGTTCCCACCTGGCACCAGGCTTCTGGTCTGAAAGATGCCTGCCTTCTTCAAGGTGGGAGGGGAGCTGCCTCTGGTGCCAGGAACCCCCCCAGCCACCGTCCTGCTCAGCATCCCTGTGGCTGGCTATGTTTGATTCTCTACTGGCACTCGAGGCCAAGGTCTAGCCCTGGCCTCTCAACACTTAGGCTTCCCTGAACCTGCAACCCATATCCAGCTGCCTTTGTATGCCCATGCTGAAGACAACTCTAGGACTCAGGAGGTGCTTGGAGTGGGTGTCTCCCCAAGGGCCTCACAGGGACCAGGCCTGGAAGCCCCTTCCTTATTCAATGCCTGCATTCTCCTCAATGTGTTCATCCGTCCCTGATGTCCCTGAGTCATCCTCATCTCCCTGCAACTTGGCCCCCAAGGTGGCCTTTCCCCCACCCCTCCTTCTCTCAGGCTCCCATACCCCAGAGCCTCTGAACCTCCTCCTTTTAGCCCCCTGCCCACTCTGAGCTCCTCTCTTGCCCAGCCCAGGGGCCATACTGGCAGATTTCACCTTGAAGTTCCCTTCTCACCATCTCCATCTCCTGCTTGGCCTTAACTGGAGAAAATCGTTTTCTTTGTGCCTGCCCCTAGCAGTGGGGCCTGAGTGGGTGCAAGGATGGGAATGGGCTATGGCAGGTGGAAATTCAAGTGCTGACGTCCACGGGCCTCCTCTGTCCCCTCTTCCTGCACCCGGACCCCATGCCAACCCCTCCATTCTTAGACCCCAGGCACAGGCCTGGCCTACCCCAATCTACTGCTCATACCTACACTTACCCACCCCTCTCACCCTGGGCTGAACTTACCAAGCAGACCCTCGGGACACCCCCCTACCCAGTGTGAACATACTCCCTACCCCATTGATCACATAACATATGCCTGCATGTCTTTGGACCCCCACTTTGCCTTGTGCTTTACTCTGGGCACACACTCCCAACAAAAATGTGTATCCACAAACCTGTGCATTTGTCCAACACAGGGCTCCAGAAGATCGGAGCCTAGAGACTCCCAGGAGCCTGCCACCCACTAACCCAGTCCGGATGCCTTGCTGTACAGAAGGGAAAGCAGAGGCCCAGAAGGTGGAATGGAAGCAGTCATCCTGAGTGGGAGGTGGAGCTGTCATATCCCAGGGAGGGGTTAGGGGTCCAACTGGTTCCCCTGACTGCTTCAAAGGCAGGTCCCTCTGCTGGGCCACTTGCCTGGCCACATTCCCTCTCCAGCCTCTTTTCCTCTCCAGGGCAAATAAGATTTCAGTGCTCTTCCCTGGGGAGACTCAGCACCCCCCTGTCCCTCAACCTCTGCCCTCCACCAGCTCTCTTTCAGGTCCATCTCATTAGGAAAATCATCTCAGGCCCCAGCCATGTTCCAGAGTCCTAGCTCCAAGCTCCAGCTGTGTGACCTCAGATAGCTCACCTCACCTCTCTGAATGTTCATTTCCTCAGCAGATGAGGAAATAGCAGAGCTGACCTCACATGCTGTCCAGAGGCTGAAAGTATCCCCTGGAAGGAACTTACTGCAGTGGACAGGGTCCTGTAACAACATAATAGTAACACCAACAGCAATAACAAAGCCTCTGCCTTTCCCTACATCCCCCTCTCTGGATCCTCACCTATAAATATCTTTTTTTCTCTATCATACTTCTTGTAAAAGGTGCCTGCATCCTAGCTGCCTCTTTCTGTCCAAGCACATACTCCTACACACTCATGCCTACCCATGGGAGCATGCCCCTCACAGGAACAGGCCACAAATCCACACCCCCGACCTGGCACACACACACATGCTTGAACACATGCATGCACAAACAGTACACAGAATATAATTCATTTGTAAAGGAGACTCCAGTCGTGCTATCCACCTTAAACTAAAATTCAGTACTTCCTGGCGTGGCCCGCTGGGCCTTGATGGAGAGGACAACACTCTGTTCCACATAGCAGGCTGAGCCCCCCTCTCTGAAACAATGGAACGCCAGCCACAGGGGCCTAGTAGGGATGGGTGAGGTGCTGGAGGGGTCATCCCAGCTGTCTCAAGGGATGGATTCTAATGGTCTAGCAGCAGATGTGGGCCCAGAGCAGAAAATGTTCTGGCTTAAGTCATCCCATCTGCAGCATCCTAGAGGGTCAGACAGTCCGTCTCTGATGCTCTATTTTTTTGGGGGTCTTTTGGGAGCAGTGCAGCCTAGGTAGGGGGTAGACTAAGCCACCTCCAACTTCCTGGAAGCCAACCCCCACCTCAATTCCACTTCTCCATCCTTAGCCTCTTCTGCTCAGTCACAGTGGCAATTAAGCAATTCCTTCCCTAACAAAATTTCCCCCATCCCTGCCTGAACTCCACCCCTTTAGAGACTGTGGTCTCTTCCCAAGTACCGCTGGCCTTTGGATAGGCTGTTCTCCTACCCTAAATCAACATTCCTTCCCTTTTTGACCTGGAGAACTCCTCCACAAGATTCAAGGCCCAACTCAAACACTTCTTCCTCCAGGAAGCCAGCCCTGACCCTCCTGGGAACAGCCAAGTCCAGCCAATCAGGGAGGCTAGAGCCATGGGATGGGGCACCCGGAGAGGCCAACTGTCCCTGCCCCACCATGCAGGCCCCTGCAGGCGGGTAGGGGACTCAGATTCAACCCAGGCAATGGTGAGCCATGGAAGGGATTAAGGGGGAGCGGTGTAGTCAATGCAAGGTGCCTGGGTGCGGCTTTAAAAGGACATGCCAGGTCCTTTCCTCACCCTTTCCCTGGGGCTTCCAGTATCACCGTGCTCGGGCCGGCTCAGGGCTCGCTAAGTGAACATTCCTTGGCTGGGGGAGTTTTATGGCCCGTGGTGCTTCCTCTGCAATGGCCTATGCTGTTTACGAACCCCTCTCTGGCTTGGAAATAGACTGTCTTTCCTGAACGATTTTCTCTTTTCCCATTTACTAAACATTGATTTCCCCCCTCCTGCCCCTCTAATAGAGCAGAAACCAATACGTCTTTGTTTGCTTTTCTCGCGCGTTTGGGGCGCGGGCGGCGGCGGGGGGCGCCGGCTGCTGCGGCGGGGCCGGGCGGCTGCTCCGCGCATGTGCACCCGTCCAGGTGGCCCTGCCCTACTCTGCGGCGCCGGCACGGCCGCCCCCGGGCCCGCAGGGTGCCAACATCGGGGCGCAGGGACGCAGGGACGGGGGACAGGGCACGGGGGTGGGGAGAACACGTCGGGTACACAGGGGGGTAGTACCAGGAGCCTGAGTCGTCTGGGGCTGCTGCGAGAGCCGGTAGCAGGGGAAGGCAGCCAGTTCTAGTGGAGTCCCAACTCTTCTGTGCCTGCAATTCCTTTAGTAATGCCTGGCCTCCTCCAGAGCCTCCTTTGAAGTCCAGGTGCTTCTGAATGAGGAGCCCATTAGCGTCTGGGGCTGCATTCAGTAGAAGCCAAGTGGGGCTGAGACATTCATTTCTTCTCTCATGTCTTCAGTCACCAAACATATCAGACCACCTGTTCCAGCCAGGCTCTATGCTGGGGGCTTGGCACGGAGGAGGGGAGCAAGACAGGCGATGGCCCTTCTCCAGGGACTTAACTGCAGGCCCCATACTGCCTTCTTCTCAGAAGGGGTAGGGGTGGGGATAATTCCCAGACTAGGGCAGGCCATCCTCGTTCCTGGAGAAGGAGGACCTCTGGTAGGGGTGAGAGGAGCATCAGATTCCCAAGGGTGAGACCTTGGATGCGGCACTGCCCCTCTCTGAGCCTCTGGGGCTCATCTGCAAAGCAGGATTACAATAGCTCCTCCTGAACAGGGTGGCTTCAGGGATTAATTGTGGCCTTGCCCAGCACTGTGCCTGGCACAGAATAGATGCTCAATAAAAGTTTCTTTCCATCCTGAGCCTGTCCTCCTTTTCACCTCACTGAAGAAGTGAACAGACCAGGGCAGGGAGGAAGGGTAACTGGGTACAAGAAAACCTCAGTCGCCTATGACCACAACCTGATTCATACGTTCCCGGGCTGGCTGGTAGAGCACCCTTCCCCTGCAGAGGGGGGCCTATCTCCCCATCACCAGGGAGGCTAGGGAACCTGGCAGAAGAAGCACTGGGTAGACCAGGATTCACATGTGACCTTGGCGGCTCTCTTCCCATTGTGGGCCTTGGGGTGTCCATCTGGAGCATGGGTCCAGCATGCAGGGGAGCTGACACTGCTGGCCAAGGCTGGTGCTGCCCATCCCAACCCCCAGAGCATCTGGATTCACCAGCATCTACTGACCCCACCAACACAGCCCTGGGTTCAATCAAATCCTACCCTGCCCTTAACCGCTGTGGGACCTTGAGCACACTCCTTTCCTCTCTGGGGCTGCTGGAGGGTTCCTACTTCATAGGGTTGCTCTGGAGATCAAATGGCATGAGGGAGCCCAGTTTCTAAAACCCAGTAAGGACTCCTTTGGTGGAGAGGGTGGAGATGCTCAGAGAGAGGAGGAGTGGGCCTGCGTAAGAAGCCCCAAAGGAAGGGTGACAACTACACCCCTGGCCTCCCTGCCCACTGGTTATGTGATTTCATGTCCACCCAGAAGCCGTAACAACCTCACAAGCCCTGTGAGGAGCCATGCAGAACCTGTGGTTTGTTCCCATTCACAGATGAGAAAAGTGGGAGCTCAGAGAAGGGAAGATCTTGCCCAAGTCACTCCGCAAGAGAGAGGCAGAACCCAGAACAGAGCCCAGGCCTCTGACTCCAGGTTGGGGGTCTGTGGTCATTGGATAGGTCAAGGAGAAGAGAGGGTACATCTGGCAGAGATGCCTGCTGAGTGCAAAGGCCTGGAGGCAGGAATGTGTGTGACATCAGCTGGGAGAAATGAGGGTCAAGTTTAATTTTGAAACTTCTCAGGAAGTTGGCTGTGGCTGGTTGTTTGTGACCAAATAAAATACAGAAGGGGCCTTCGCAGAAGGGAAAACCAGAGGTTTCAAGGCAGACACATGGGAAGGACTGAGGTCAGGGCAGATGCAAAGAGGGACTTGCGGCAAAAAATCATACTAGGAGACTCATAGACAGGCTGATAAGCACAGGCGGGCAGACAGAGGGATGAACAGACAAATGAGTGGATGATGGACAGAGGGATGGACAAGTGGACCGGCCAATTCGAACAGTCAGAGAGCACTGAGCAGGATTCAGCTGAGCCAGGAGGAGAAAGGGAATCGCTAGGGGCACCGGAGTGAGCAAAGGCTTGGAGGGGAGGCTGCTAGTGACCTCTGGGCTAGGGGCAGTAGGGGAGGAGGCTGGTGTCCTATTATAGTACATCGCAGAGGCCCAAGGCCATGAGGAAAGCAGAGCTGGAGGGGCAGGTAGTTGGGAGGTGGCTGTGATCCCCCCCAAGTACCCCCACCTAACACAGGCAGCCCTCCCACAACACAACAAAGGCAGTACTCAGGTAGGTCTGGTCATTCACATCCCCCAAGGATCACTGCACCCTGTACAGTCAGTGACTAATGTGTGTTTGGAGCATGAACTTGAATCATGATGCCTTTGTTGCACCAGGGGCCAGGTGTGCGGTCTGCCTCTGGAGTAAGGCTGAGACCGACTGGGACAGAGGGGGGGCAGGCGGTGGGCAAGCCTTGGCTACTAGGAGGGAACTGGCCACAGCCACAGGCACAGGGAGCCTCAATAGGGGCCTGGACCAATTAGGATGGAAGGGGAGGCAGCAATAATTAAAAATTAAAAACCAACAAGACAGCAGTTTAAAAATGAAAGGACTGAGTAAAAACAATTAGCAGAGATGAGGCAACGGGGCTGGCATGATACAAATGGAGCCGATCACAAAGCACTAATGACATCGGAAAACCCAATTTTTACAGTGTCAGGACTGAGTGATTAAAGCACTGTGCCTGCTCCCCTGAAACAGGCCGCATGCTCCCCTGAGGCCGGTGGGACTTTATCTCCCTCTATACGTCTCAGAGGAGCCAGCAGGCAGGTGCAGAGGCTGGTGGGAGAGGCTTGGAGGCAGGAGGCCTAGGAATGGCGCTGGGAGGCTGGGAAACCAAGGCAAGGGCTAGAGGGAGGCAGATACCGCCCCCTCGGAGTGTCCCCACCAACGAAGGCAGTGGTGGTGAAGTCACAATCCTAAGGCACCCGGTTGCCGCGGAGACCAGGCGACCCTCCTGGCAGGGGGAGGCTGAGTCAGTTTGAGTAATGGCGGAGAACGTTGCCGCTGATGGGGAAAAATACATCTTCATAACAGGGTGAACCTTTTGGAAAATGGAATAAGTAAAATAATTGAGAGAAAGAAAATTGAGTTTTTATTGCTTTTTAAGTGTTTAAGTGGAGGTTTCATTTAGGGAAATTATCGTTGCTTTTATTTTTAGCCACCCGGTGGGGTGGGGAGGGGTAAGGAAGCATTGATTTAGGGAGGGGCTTGGGTGTCCTGTCCCTCCCCCCAGGAGTTGCAGGGCACCCTCATTTCACAGAAGAGAGAAGAAGCCAGAGGCCAGCAGAGCACCTGAAACTGGCCACAGAGCATGGCAGAGTGCCCTCTGGATCCCCCTTGCCTTCTGGGGCCTCCTGGGCCTGCCGTCAGGCCAACCCCTGGGCCTCCTCTCTCATCAGTCCCCTGACCCAGCCCAACTCCAACTCATTCTGTGCTTCTGCCCTTGCTGTGCTCCCTCCTCCCTGGAGCCTCAAGAGCTCTTTCTGCCCTGCAACCCCGGTCTCTCTCCCCAGCCTGGGATGCACCTGGTCCTCCCCCAAGCTCCATGCTCCCCTGAGTCCCCTGACACTTCTCTTAGGATTTCCTGCCCCTCCTGCCTGGTCCTGTGCCTCCTGTCCCCAGCCCTGGCAGCAGAGGTGGGGAGGGACTCTCAGAGAGTCCGCGGAGCACATGTCCACGTCCGCAGTGTGCTGTTCAAGCCTCCCAGCCCCCTCTGCTGAGCCCCGGCGTCCTCAGCCTCATCCATACTTATCCCATTCTTCCTCCTGCCCAGCCCTGGCTGTGACCCTTCCACACCCCAGAACTGGCTCAGGCCAAGATCACCAAAGACCCTACTGGGCAAATTCCATGATGGACGAGGTGAGCTGCTTCTCCAGACCCCACTGCCCTCCCCCAGCTCCATGTCTGGCAGCTACCTGGGGCTGTGTCCTGAGCCTACTCTCGTACTCCCTTCTTTGCCCCTAGGATTAGCCTCTTCAAGGCTCTGTTCTTCCTAAGGTCTCCTAGACGTTCTCCTGGTCCCAGGATGGAACCCTGTGCTGGCTGCCCCCTTCGTTTTCCGCTGGCCCCACCCACTCCCCCTCTCACACAATCCCCTCTTGCTCAGCCAACCCCTGATCCACTCACTCCACAGACCCCCTCATCTCTGGCCAAGGCAGCTGCTCCGGAAGCTCCTGGCCCGCCACCATTTACGCTTCCTGCCCCAGCAGCTACTTCCAATTCCAGAACAGCAGCATGGAGCTGTTCTCAGTCCGGGGCCTGTGCCCATGCTGTTCTCTATGCTTGGGAAGCCTCAGGCCATGAGTCAGGAGGCAAAGACCAAGACTCAAGTTACTTCAGCCGTAAAATGGAATTTATTGGCACAAGTAGTTTAAAAATCCAGGTCTGTGAACTTGAGGTATGGCTGGATACAGGTGCTCAAATGTTATTACTGTCACTTGGCCTCTTGCCTGAATGTGAACTCCATGCCCAGCCAGGCCTCCCCCATTCTGCTCCTCAAGGCACCTCATTCCCTGACCCCTCAGCTGGAGCCCCAGCTTTGAGTCAGCCACATCCACATGCCTGTCCTGGAAAATCACCATGGGCCTGGAGATGAAGGAAGCTGATTGGCCAGGCCTACGTCAAGAGGGAGGCATGTGTCTGTTCCCAATGCATGATGATGGGGTCAGGGGTTCCCCAAAGACAACTGAGAGTGAGCACCCGAGCATGCCCCGGCTTCTGCCGAGCCTCCATAGTGCCTCAACTCCCCTTCTTTGGTTAACTCCTTGAGGGAGTTAATTCTCTTCCTGTCTCACCTCCCCCTAGGCTGTGAGCCCAGAGGCAGGAACCAGGCTGTCCTGTTTACCACAGGATTCCCAGTGTCCATGAGTGAGGGGGAGCCCTTCATGGTACAGACGGGGAAACTGAGGCAGGGGCTTAGCTGAGATCACACATCCACGTTCATGCCAAGGCGCCCTGTGCTCTGCCCTCATGCTGTCTTCACTGTACCAACCCTCCATCTCCCATATCTCTGTGTCATCTGCCCCTGGCCCAAACCACCCCCATTCCTGGTGTGGTCTCCAGCTCTGCCTGTCCATGTATCCCTCTTGCCTAAACTCCTGTGGTGTCCGCTCTGTTCTCTACCTCCTCAGTGCTGAAGCTGCCTTATGCTAGCCCCTGCCCAGCCCACCCCTGCTCCCAAGGCCCTGGTGGACCTATGGACACTGGCCTCTCTTGTCCCCACAGACAAGGTGCCATCTCTGGGGGATATTCTCGTAGGTTCTCTGCCTATGCTGTTGCCCTCCCCAGGGCCTGAGTACCTTTTCTCCCTGGCCTTCTGCTCCAAGCTCTCCTGCTTCCCAGGTTAGCTGCCCTTATTCTTTAAGCCATAGCTCAGGGGTCACAGAGAAGCCTTCTGTGGTCCCCCACTGTCCCCTCCTCTGCTGTAGGATATCTGTCTGTGTTTGCATGTTCTCCCCAGGGAGGCTGTGCCCCCTCGAGGGCGGCCAGCGTGTGATTCCTCCTGGAGTCGGCCCATGTCAGACCCTGAGCTGGTGCTCAGCAGCTCTCGGTGCGTGTTCATTGAATGAATGGATGACCTTCCAGTGACGGGGCCTTCACATCTGGGGCCAGTTCTGCTGGTGAACAATGGGGCATGGTCAAAGATCCTCCTCGGCACCCCCAGCAGAGCCCACAGGGTCAAGTTCTGTGCACATGCTCGGGGCTAGCAGGACCACAGAAGAGGTTGTGAGCCATCTGGGAAGCTGGGTGATAGACCCATCCTGACCGCTGGCCCCTGCCCCACCAGGAGAGAACCCCTGGGAAGCTGAGGAGACACAAGCTTGTCCTGTTGCTGGCCTTGGTTCTTCCTTACATCTTTCCCATTCTCTCTGCCACCAGCCAGTCCCCTCCTTGCCCCCTTGGTCAGTGGCCTTGGTCCTCGTAGTTCCTTTCCTCTCCTTTTGGCTTCTGCTCCCCTCCGCAGGGTGCATGGCACATCCCACTCCAGCAGCCACCCCCTCCCATCTTTCCCTGCCAGTTCCCCACCCACTCCCTGCTCAGCCTCAGCCTCCTGCAGCCCTGTCTCTCCTCTCCACTAGGCACGGCTGCTTTCCTCCAACTTAAGTTGAATTGATCTCCTGCTTAATTACCTGATGTGTTCATTGCCTGCATGGCCTATTGGCAGAGGTGGGTGAGCTGGTGGGCAGGTAGAGAGCTGGGATGGCTCAGACCTTCAGTGGGCACCTGCCTGTGCACCTGGGAGTGCAGCAGTGTGGGTGTGCTTCCCTGGGATGCCAGGGCAGCAGAAGAGGAGTGCATGCACCCACCCACACATGCATACACACACACACACACACCCTTGTGTTTCCACATGGGTAACACCCTAGCACAGTCACACCCCACATCCCACGTGGCCAGCCATGGGTGCACACAGGCACACACACACACACACACGTCACCATCTCCCACACACACATCTATACTGGCTGACTGTGCTTCCAGCTGCAGCCAACAGCTGTTATTACTATCCTGTCCTGGGCCTGGCATTCAAGGCCTCCATGATCAAACCTCAACAGACCACTCCAGCCACACCTCTCTGAGATATCCCTGGACACAGCAGAGGCTGAGGCACCTTCGGGACAGGGCTGGAGGGGTAGGAGCTGGCCAGCTGCAGGCCTGGCCAGAGAAGTGGAGGCTCTCCATCTCTACCCATCAGTCTGTGTGTCTGTGGGGGTGTCAGTCACCCCGGGGGAGCCCCTGGGGCAGACACTCTGAGCAGGTCTCCCACTCACACATCATCTCCCCTCCTCTGACACCCTGTGCCAGGCAGCACCTGGACTCTCACCTGCCCTGAGCTGATCCCAGGAACTGGAGAAGAGGTGGGGCACAGGGAAGGCACCTCCTGGAGGAGGCAGAACTCAGGACAGTGAGCCCTTGCTGAGTACCTATTATGTGCTGGAGCTTTCACACCACGGTTGAAGTTGGTTGTTATCACAGTCCTTCCAGTCATTCTGTCTCCTGCCCACACAGCCCCCATTTCTCCCTCCTCTTGAACACAAGGAATGAGCTCCTCAGGGAGCACACCTCCCAAGTCACACCCAGCCTGCTGGAGCCTCTTCAGTTTCCCTGTCTGTGTTTGCAAGGTCAGGGGTAAAACCAAACTGCATCTCTTTTTCCGGGGGGTGGAGTGTCATTGTCCTTTCTGCTCACTGCTAACCTAGGTTCATCTTGCTGCTTTCAACAGTGATACTCTCTGGTCCTGGCTCCTATGGGCAATGTCTGGTATACCAGGCCACTGCTGAAGTCTTCACATGCCCTGTGGCAGAGGCATGCCCCATGACCCCATTGAGCAGATGAGGAAAGTAAGGCTTTGGGAGTTTAAGTGACTTACTGGGGAGCTCACAGGTAGAAAGTAGCTGTGGCAGGAATGGATCTTGGTCAGGTCACCAACTGGGCTGGGTCTGCACTCCACACCCTGGTACAGATGGGAGGATTGAAGACCTGAGGCCAAGAAAGAAAGCTGCGTGGTAGCCCCCAGCACTGGGACGCTCCACGGTGTGCGGTATGTGGTATTCGGTGCATGGTATTGTTGGGGCTCAAGCAATACGACTCCAGCCAGACGTGGTGACTCACGCCTGTAATCCCAGCACTTTGGGAGGCTGAGGTGGGTGGATCACCTGAGGTCAGGAGTTGGAGACCAGCCTGGCCAACATGAAGAAACCCCGTCTCTACTAAAAAAACAAAATTAGCCGGGTGTGGTGGCGCATGCCTGTAATCCCAGCTACTCAGGAGGCTGAGGCAGGAGAATCGCTTGAACCCAGGAGAGGGAGGTTGCGGTGAGCTGAGATCGCGCCATTGCACTCCAGCCTGGACAAGAGCGAAACTCCGTCTCAAAAAAGAAGAAAAAAAAAAAGAAAGAAAGAAACATGACTCCAGAATACGGCACCTTGCAGGTCACTCTGCCCTTCTCCAGCCCTCCTTTTTTTCCACTCCCTTTTCTCCCCGAAAGTGGTCATAGGAACTAGAACCCCTCTCCTAGCCAAGCAAACCATAAAACCTAGAAAGGTCACTTTCTGACTTCCTCCCTTCTCTTGTAAAGGTCCTCCTGAGACAGGGGTTCTGCCCCTGGGCAGGGGCGAGAGCACCTCTATCATGGAGAGACCCAGTAAGAAACCTGAACAAATGGGTCTTGCTGAAGCCCTGCTCCCAGCTTATTAGCATTAGGCCATGCCCTTTTGCTTTAAGCATTTCTCCACAACTTCTTTCATCAGACTTAGCATAAAAATATTCTGTTTTCCCAGGTCCTTGGATCTTCATTTCCTCAGGCTCCCCAGTCATTAAAACTTTGGTGAAATCAATGTGTTCTGCTTTTCTGTCAATCTGTCTTTTGTTATAAGGGTGTCAGTCACGACCCTTGTGATGGGTGAGGGAAGATGTTCCTTTTCCTCTCCTGACCTGGAAGACAAAGCTTCCTCCTGAAGCCTTCCTGAGGGCTCCAGCTCCCAGGGAGCTCATTCAGGCTGCCAGGCCAGACACAAACCCTTTGGGTCCCAGCCCACATTTGCAAGGTAAACGTGCCCCTTCCTATACCTTCTCATCTCCACCATAAAACAGCCCAGGGGGCCTCTGTTTGTTGGGTGTAATTAGCTGTTTCTCCCTCACTTGATCACAATTAGATTCCGGTTTAGAAGAAAGCAGCCAAAGGGGTCTCTGTGCTGGGGCCTCTTAGGCTGACCTGGGGTAACTGAGTGCAGTGGCTGCCCCCGACCCTGCAAATCCCTCCTCTCCCCTAGGGAGGACGGGGGAGGAGAGGATGAAGGAAGGAAAGGCAGGAAAGGGAAAGAAGCAGGGGAAGCAGGGGGAGGAAGAAAAGAGGGAGACAGGCAGATAGGAGGGCAGGCTGACTGGGAGTGGGGAGGAGGAGAGGGAAAGGAGGAGGAAGGTGAAGAGAGGAGAGGAAGAGGGAGCGGAGGAGCCCGGGAGACGGGGGTGGGGAGGGGGGAGAGGACATACCAACCTGACCTGCGGGGAGGCTGGAGGGAGGGGGAGCCCGGGCCACAGGGGAGTTGACGATGGCTGCAGGAGACAGATAAGGTTGGGGAGAAAGGCGCAGTCACTGATGGGAGGGCAGGGATTAGGGGCTCAAGGGCCTGTCCTGGGCCTGTGGGTGGAAACCCAGGAAGAAGGGCGGCTGCCCTAGTGAGATGGGAGAAGGGAGGAGGAAGCTCTCGCTTCAGGGTACCGCTGTGCCCTTGTTGAGCCAGGAGAAAGGCCTCCCACACCTACCCATCTCCACTGCACAGTGAGCTGTCTAAGCAGACCCAGGCCTCTGGACCTGGGCAGGGTCAGGAGGGACAAGACAGATTCCCTGAGCTCAGGGCTCTCCTCCAATCAAAGAAGACAAGTTACAACCCATCCTCCACGAGCCTGGAATGATAACACCTCAACAGACATGCATGTCAGCTCACGGAGGCAACAGGGACTATCCCTGCCCTGCTGGAGCCTGGCCCATTGCGCACGTGTGTCCTTTGCAGCCGTGTCCTCACACGTGCTTGGCCACATGTGGTCTCTCAGATTCCCACACTCGGCTTGGTGCCTGTAGCCTCTCACCTGGGGCAGGTAAAGACAGGCCCACACCAGCCTGTGTGGCATGCTGTCATTCTCAGAGGCAGATTTTGGGGACACCCCCATTCTCCCCCTCCAGGGCAGGACAGTGGCCTCTCACGGAGGCCCATGGCCCGTGGGCCTTGGGCTTGAGACAGGCCTGAGGCTCCCCGAGCCTGCACTGGTCATGTGGCTGGGCCTGGGGAACCAAGTCCGTCCTGGCCAGAAGAATATAGCTCTGTGTGGGTAGGGGTGGAACCCTGGCCTTGTTCACCATGCTGAGCCCAGTGCCCAACACATGGTAGGCCTGCAGTGGGCAGTCGCAGATGTCTGGGGTGGATTAACCCTGATGTGTTAGAAGCTGGGTCTTCTGGGGGCTTGGAGGGAAGGGGTCGCTCCTCTAAGCCCCTGCAGACTGTGCAGGGGCTGCCTGATTTGGCCTCCTCCTGGGGAGTCCAGCTGATGAGACTGAGAGTGGAGGAAGGGCTGCCCAGTGTCAACCTCATGGAATGGAGACAGCACCTGCTGGCCGAGGGCCTGGCTGCTGGGAGCAGTTGATGGAGATAAATGATTCCTGTCTGAGGTGGAGGTCAGGGCCTGGCAAGGCAGCCTTGGGCCTGAGGGATGGCTCTGGGCTGGGCCAGGGAGTCAAGGAGACCTCTTGCAGTGGATCTTCCTGGGCAGCTGGGACCCAACTCTCCGTAGCCTATGGGGGCCATCCGCCCACCCCACCCTCCCTGACGCAGGGGCTGAGAGTATCAGCAGAGGTCGGCTGGCTCTGCCCTGTCTCAGGTTGGAAAGCTGAGCCCTGCCAGGCCCTCAATTGCACTGTGGGTCAAGCCTCCGCCAGAGCAAGGAGTGGTGGGTTTTCCCCATTTGTCAAGTGGACCAAGAAAGACCTCAGGGCAAGGACTAGGCTGCTGGAAAGGCCTGGTCCCAGACCTTGTTCATTTCTTCATTCATTCATTCCCACATCTGCCCCTGCTGTCCTTTCTGGCCTCTCCACGCAGTAAGGCCAGGCCCTCCCCTCTGCCCTGGCATTTCCTTGCCCATGCCGCTCCCCTCCTGCCACATCAGCTTCCTGCTGTTTCCCCAAGAATCTTCTGGACCTTTGCTTTTGCTGTTTTTTTCCCCTCATCTGGAACCCTTCTGTCCCAGATCCCTGCATGGCCAGCAACTCTTGACATTCAGGTCTCAGCCAGTGCTGAAGGTGCCCTCCCTCCTTGATCGCCATCAGAATCTGCCCCCTCCATTTTTATTCCCATGCAGTCCTGGTTGGTTTCCTCCAGAGCCTGAAAATGCCTTGTTTTGTTGACACACCTGTTTATTATCTATCTCCCCTTAGCACTGGGGAGCCCCAAAGAGGAGGCACCTCACCAAGCCTTGCATAGGAACCGAGGTCCCAGCTGCTTTCCCCACCCATCCATGAGTGCCTGAGTCCCCATGGTCATTCAGGTCAGCATAAGGCAGGCCCTGGTCATGGACAGGAAACAAGAGGAGTGTTTCCAGGGCAACAGGCTGCCCATCTCTGAGGGACTCCATGTAAAGGCTTATGGGTTTGGATCTAGGCTCTCAGAGGGGGTTCAGATGGCCAGGACCCAAGGACCTTGCACACCCAGAAAGCAGGTTCCTTGAGCCCTGCCTGGGCTGGCCCCTGTGGCTGGAACCCAGAGGGGGGTGCATGTAGATATTAGCAAGTCAGGGCACCTCCACCCCCAATGATGGAGACAAATGAGAGGGGTATGGAGCTGTAGTGGACTATGAGGAGGTTGGTGCAGCCTTATTGATGCAGGGGTTGTGAATGGGGACAAGATGGGGCAGAGGAGGGCACAATATGTTGGGAGAATCCATAAACCCTCCTGGACACCGCCCTCTGTGGGGAGGAGGGGAGGTGTGCTCCACAGGTGTGTGTGGGGTGGTGGGGGGGGTAGCTCTGGGGCCCAGCTCAGCTCAGCCCATGGGAGGCCAGTGCCAGAGCCTTTACCACCACCCTGGTGCTGAGCCCTGGGTGGGTAACCAGGCAGGGGCAGTGGAGGAGCCAGCCAGGTCCTGGCTCCTCTTCTCTCCCTCTACACTCCCTGCCTCCTTGGGCTCCAGGAAGGGTCCTCTCTGGTTGACATCTGAGAATTAGTGGGCCTGGTCAGTGTGGGCATCTCAGGGGGCCTAGACCCTGAGGCTCACCCTAGTAGCATCCAGTCTGTTCCTCCAGCTCAGCTACTGCCCCAGCAGCTTCTACAGGGGTGGGGCTAGGAAGGGAGCCAGGGCCACAGGCCCCTCATTCCTCTGAGATTGAAGGGGTTCCTGTGCCTGGGGGAGTGGGGGGGCATGACCCCATCTTTCCTCAACTCTTTGGAGGACCTCAGAGTCTCTTTGGAGGTTAAATCCACAGCTCCAAGGAGGGGATGGAGTGAGGCAGAGTAGGGCTTGCACTGCTGCCACCTGGTGGCTGAAAGACGTAAAGCACCTAAAACACCTGCTATTCCAGTTCCCAGAAGGAATTGGAGAAGGCAGTGGAGGGAAGGATGCTCCTGAGGGAGCAGAGGCACAGGGAGGTAGAATATGCACTCCTTGCTCCAGGTCAGCATCCTGGCCTGCAACCTTTGCCCTCACTCAGCTTGGTTCAGAGCCTCCCCAGGTGCCATCAGACATTTGCCCACCATAGCCTTCCAGAATGCTAGCAAGGCCAATCTAGCATCAGGGATGCCTGTCTGGCCTCTACTATACTAAGGGGAACAGAGGGCCCAAATGACATCCAGGGGCACACACAATGGGTCTTGGTGTATGGAAGAGAGGGAAGAGTGGGATCTGGGAGGCAGGCAGGGAGAAGGTGGAGCTGGGAGGTGGGTGCGGCCTAGCCGGGCCCTGCCTGCCCTGTCCTCGCCTTACTCACAAATGCTGCTGGTCTTCTTCTTGCAGGACCTGGATTGAGTCCCATGAGGCTCTCCTCCACACCCCATTGTCACCTACTTGTGTCATAATACACCACCCCTAGTTCCAGAGCAGGGGCAGGGGTGGGGGGAAGAGGGGAGGCTTGCTCAGGAACCCCCAGCAGAGGGCCCTCAGGAAGGAATATAGTTCCTTTCTACACCTCAAGCTCAAGATTATGGCATGGGGCCAGGCACGGTGGCTCACACCTGTAATCCCAACACTTTGGGAGACCAAGGCAGGTGGGTTGCTTAAGCCTACGGGTTGGAGACCAGCCCGGGAAACATGACAAGACCCCATCTCTCCAAATAAATTTTTTAAATATTAGCCAGGCACGGTGTTGCATGCCTGTAGCTCCAGCTGCTCAGGAGGCTGAGGTGGGAGTATCGCTTGAGCAGGGGAGGTCAAAGCTGTAGTAAGCCGAGATTGCGCCACCGCACTCCAACCTGGGGTGATAAAGTGAAACCCTGTCTAAAAAAAAAAAAAGAAAAGAAAAAAAAAGATTATGTCAAAGTCACAAAGTCTACTGAAGGAATTGTGATGTGGCAGGCAAAGTTAAAATTGGGTACAAAAATGGACTGCTCCTGGAATCCAAGGGAAAAGTCAAGTGCAGTTCCTCCCATGGACCTTTACCTCCTTTTCCTCAACCTCCAGGAGGTAAATCCCACCCAGCTCACCCTGTCCTACTGGGGATGGTGTCCTGACAAAGTTTGCCCCTTTCCACCCACCAGGCAACAGGATGTGCTATTTCCCCTGTCATACACTTCCTAAAGTCTCAACAACTCAGTCAAGCATAACCTCTGGGAAAATATGGTGTTGAAATCACTGGATGATAATCTGGGGGTGGAAATCCACTTGGACCCCTACCTCACACCTTAAAACAAAAACCAGTTCTAGCTGGATCAAAGGTAGGGGGACTAAAGAATGAAGAAAAAATCTCTAGGCAAAAACAAAGGTTTGATTTGGTCTAGCCTTTTCTAAATATAACAAAAAACACAAAAGCCGTAAGAGAAAACATGGATACACCTGACTCCACAAAAACCAAACATTTCTACACGGAAAAAAGTAATAGCCAGGCGCGGTGGCTCACACTTGTAATCCTAGCACTTTAGGAGGCCGAGGCGGGTGGAACACAAGATCAGGAGTTCGAGACCAGCCTGGCCAACACAGTGAAACCCCATCTCTACTAAAAATACAAAAATTAGCTGGGTGTGGTGGCGAGTGCTTGTAATCCCAGCTACTCGGGAGGCTGAAGCAAGAGAATCGCTTGAACCTGGGAAGCAGAGGTTGCAGTGAGCCGAGATCATGCCATTGCACTCCAGCATAGGCAACAGAGCTAGATTCCATCTCAAAATAAATAAATAAATAAAAGTTTAAAGACAAACAACAAGTTAAGGAAAAAAATGCAAATTTCATAATATATAAAGGGTCCTTATAAATTGATAAGGAGAGGACCAAGAATCCCATTGAGAAATGGGGCAAACAAGATGAACATACAGTTCACACAAAAGGAAATCCAAAAGTCTCAACCACTGAACCCATGCTTACCCTCATTTCTTTAAGAGAGATGCAAATTATATAGGCAAAGCCATGAAAGATTGATGCACTTGCTGGTGACCATGGGGAAAATCAGAAACTTAGAGTTGCTCATTGGAATGTAATCTGTGCAGCCTTCATGAAAGCAATTTGGCAATATCTATCAAAATTAAAAATGCATAGACTATTTGACCTAGCACTGCCCACTTCTAGGAATTTATTTTACAAACTGACACGCATGTGAAATTATGCCCAAGGTGTTCACTGCATGATGTTTCTAAGAGTAATCGATTGGAAACAGCCTACTCCAGGAAGCCTGGCTGAGTGGATAGGGAGCTTCCTCACCATATATACTCTGCAATTACTGGAACCAATAAGGGGGAGGCAGAGCCACACGTAGGGCCATAAGGACAAGGTATAGTATATGTATTGGATGGTGACCTCATGTTTTTTAAAAGGAAGAAGGGTAAGTGTTCCCAAACACTGCCAATGTCCCCAAGGCCTCTTGGCCCCATCTCCCAGGAAGCTGAGCTGCACAGGTGGCATTCGTCTGGCTCTGCCCTCTGGCGTCCAGTTGGATCTGGACAATGGAGTCCCCCAGGAGTTTAGCAGGCAGGATGGGGAGGTTGTGTTTATTCCCTTGGCCCTTTCCAGTCCACCCTTCACTTGATTTTTCTGACCCAGAGATCTGGTCACATCTCTCCCTGTTCAAAACACTCTGTGGCTCCCCATTGTCCTCTGGATGGAGGTCAGGAGGTCAGATCCTCACCACTGCTTTTTTTTTTTTTTTTTTTTTTTTGAGGCAGAGTCTCGCTCTGTCACCCAGGCTGGAGTGCAGTGGCGTGA
Source organism: Homo sapiens (assembly GCF_000001405.40). Taxonomy (NCBI): domain Eukaryota; kingdom Metazoa; phylum Chordata; class Mammalia; order Primates; family Hominidae; genus Homo; species Homo sapiens. Next base: position 50,545,492 of record NC_000003.12, read on the forward strand.
TCTTGGCTTACTGCAACCTCTGCCTCCCAGGTTCAAGCTATACTTATGCCTCAGCCTCTCGAGTAGCTGCGACCACAGGCATGTGCCACCACGCCCTGCTAATTTTTTCATATTTTTAGTAGAGATAGGGTTTCACCATGTTGGCGAGGCTGGTCTCGAACTCCTGACCTTAAGTGATCTGCCCACCTCGGCCTCCCAAAGTGCTGGGATTACAGGCGTGAACTGCTGTGCCTGGTCCCCACCACTGCTTTTGAGGGTCTGCTTCTGTTGGCCACCCATCCTGTAGACTCCCTAACCTTTCCCAGGTTCCTGGTCTCAGCCCAGTTCCCACCATCTGCAACCCTCCTCCTGCCCCCTTTGAGGGGACAGTCTCAAAGGACCTCCTTGTCCTCCCCTGGCTGCTGTGCTCCTGCCCTCAGTGTCAGCCCCTAGTGTGGTGCCTGTCCTGAGACTGGGCTCTACCAGGGTGCTGAAAGCAGGAAGCCCATCCCCCACCCCACCCAGGTGCTCCTGGAATGCAGAGGTTGGCTAAATGCACAGAGGTTCTCCAGGGCTCTTGGCCCTGAAGCCCTCCGGGTTTGTGCTGTGTTGCACAGCCCAGCTCTGGCCCTTCCAGACTTTGGGAAGAAGGTGCCCTGCTTGACTCACCTCTGGGAGGCTGGACCAAAAGAATCAGGGAGGACCCAGGACACTGGCTCCTGGCCCACCAGGACGCAAGGCTCAGGGCACTGGCAGGAACAGCTGTTGGTCGAGGCAGGGTAGGGAGGGGACTGTATGTAATCAGTAAGAAACCATGTTTTTAAAAAATAACTCTGCTGTCAGTAGTGGTGAAACAATATAATAAATATGAGAAATAAATCTCGTTACCATGTAATGAGCTGCCTTATTAATGTGTTAAACTTGTAAGAAATGCTTAAGTGTTTAATTGGCAACTAATGAGGGTGCCAATTAGGGATCATTATACATTTCTTTAAAACTCCTAATTGGCAGGGGGGCATTTCAATCAATGCCATAGGGCTGACTCCACGGGGACCCCGTCCCGGCAGTGCATCTGGTGGTTGTACCTGTAGGGCTACACATCTGGTGGCTAGCCCCATTGGAGACCACAACAAGGCCAGGGCCACCTGGGTTGGACCCGGCCGCAAACCCCACTGGGCACCAGGACTCAGTTTCTCCTCTGCCACTAAATCCTGCTGTCGATCAAAGCCCGCCTGAAATGGTGCCTGTCAGGAGGCTGCACAGTCCGTCTCACCAGATGGAAGGACTTGACCTGTTCCAAGGCATCAGGAGGCTGTGAACTCACTTAGGACCAGGACGGTGGTTCTCCACCAGTGCCCAGCTCCCCCAGGAGCCTGGAGGAAAAGTCACCAGGGGGCTGAGCGAAGGCTGAGCTGGGGCTGGGGCCACAGTGTGGGTAGTGAGTTCCTGCAGCTAGAGACAGGCTGAGAAACAATGCTAAGGTGCATCCTGGGGCACCCTTGGGGCCTCCCCAGAGGCAGGACCTGGGTCTCTATCTCAGCTAAATCCTGGGCTCCTTTGCATGCAGCCCCTGGCCCAAGGCTGCTTCAGGGCCAGGCAATGGGACTCAGAGTGGACCGCCTCTCCTGCCTCCAGGGCTCAACCCCATTTCCCAGGGAAAGTCAAGCCAAGTAGATCTCTATTCCAGGCCTGGCTGGCAGAAAGGGAGCATCCTAAGCAGCAGAAGCATGATTAATTACCAAATTAATTGCCAAATTAATCACCTGGGTAATTGCCAGAGAGCTGGAAAGATGGCAGGGAGGCAAGGCCCAGCCAGGGGCAGGGTGGGAAGTAATCCTGGCACAGGCATGGGCAGAGAGCGCAGAGGCAGGAGACTGGCTGCTGTCTGAGCAGATGGCCTGGGCACGATGGGAGGCAGCAGGTTGAGGACCTTGGAGGCCAGACTGGGGCATTCCATAGTTCAGAAGAAGCCTTGCAGGCCCGAGTAGGAGGATAGAAGGGCATTGGCAAATAGGGTGTGTCTGGGAGCTCGGTAGGGGTGGGTGGGAGGCCCAGGAAAATCTGGCCAGGTGGTACTTATGTCATGCCTATGAGTCTTGTGGGGAGGAGAGCGACTAGCCTTGGGGGCTGGGGGCTGGGAGAAGACCCTGGTTTGTGGCCTGGGGACTAGGAAGGCAGTGAGCATTCCTGAGCCAGACAGAGAACTGGTTGGGGAAAGGAGCCAGCCTATCCCCTGCAGCCTGTGGACCCCCAGCCCTCCTAGGCCCTGAGCCCTTCTGTGGCTCTTGTATTAGGAGTGATTGGGGAAGCGGCCAAGTAGCCTCAGCCACCCACCAGTTTTCAGGAATTTTCAGGACCCAGAGGGCTCACCCCATCCTCCCTGGTGGAAAAATACTCCATGACCTTGTGGCCCAAGGCTGCTGCTTAGAGCCAGGTCAGAGGGTTCTCTGGCCCCACAGCTCAGGCCCTGTCCCATCCTTCTCACCTGCCCCAGCTGCCCCTACTCACCTCTCCCAGGCTGGATCCGAGTCTGGGCTGTGTCTTCAGGAGGCTCCAGGTCAAGCCAGGTGTAGAGCAGGGGATTGCCCCATGACCCTGCCCCCACCTGGCAGTGGGGGACTTGGTGAGGGCACATGCACTGCTAGGTAGAGGCAACTTTAGCACTTGGGGCCACTCTAAGGTTTAGACCTTCCAGACCGTGGAGCCGGGAAGTATAATCTAGAACTGGGTGGCCCTGCAGACCCTGTGGACCTCAGGGCTGCTCGAGGGCTGAGCCTGTGTGTGGCTCAGAGGCCCCACCCCTGCAAAAGCTCTGTTCCCCGTGGGCCACCTTTCAGACCTTTAGCGTGTCATTTACTAAGCAAATATTTACCTAGTGTTCCTACGTGTCAGGCACTGTTCTAGACCCTCTACAAATACGGACTATTTTATTTTATTTTATTTTATTTTTATTTTTAGAGACAGGGTCTTTAAAGTGGAGAATGTGACCCGGGCTGGCCTTGACCTCCCGTGGTCAAGCAATCCTCCCACCTCAGCCTCCTTAATAGCTGGGACTACAGGCACATGCCACCATGTCTGGCTAATTAAAAAAAGGTTTGTTTGTTTGTTTGTTTGTTTGTTTGTAGAGATGGGGGTCTTACCGTGTTGCCCAGGCTGGTCTCAAACCTAGGGCTTGAACTCTTTTTATACTTTTTTTCCCATATCTTGGTACTCACTGGCATTGAACTCTTAATTCTATCAAGTAGGAGGACCTGCCCCATTTTACAGATGAAGAAACTGAGGCAAGAGGTTCAGGGACTTGCCTGGAGTTGCATGGTGGCTGAGCTGGGATTCAGATAAGCTCATTCATGTAGCAAGGGGCACTCAGAAGAATGCAGTTGCCCCAGGGCCCTTGGACAGGGGTGTCTGGGACACCTGGCACCAGGACCCATGGTATTATAGGAGGCAGAGCTGACTCGCCATGAGGCATGCCTCCTCTGGAAGCCCAAAGACATGTGGGGCCAGTCGCAGCTCCTCCCTGGAGTCCAGCCGCCTGCTGCACTGGATCACCGGGATCCCTGCTGCACTGGATCACCAGGAGTCCTGGTTCAGGAGCGGCTTGTTTCCTGCTGTCTGCCTTGCTGGAGATGATATATGCGGAAGAGGTGGTACATCTCCTACCCTCCCTCCCAGTCACAGCCAGGTTGCTGGAGGTGGCAAATGTCCCCATCTCACTTGTTCATGTTGGGGGATGCAGGAGCCAAAAGGAGGGGGCCCTTGGTGACACACTCAGGAACCCACCATGAGGGATGCAGAGGTAACCCAGGCCTGTTCAAGCCTGCTGTAGGAGTTCAACAGAGCTGGGTGCAAATCCTGTGTGACCTAGGACAAGTCACTCAGCCTTACTGAGACTCTGAGTCAGGTGGGGTGGCTGACGGAGCTCATGAGAGCTCTGTGGGGAGGAGCTGGGGGAGAGAGGTTGGCGTCTGGGAGCGGCTTTCTGCACAATGCCTTGGGTGGGCAGGGAAGGGAGCCAGGATTTGAAGTAAGAATGAGACAGGCATTTACAGTGGAGGTCTCAGGGAAGGCAAATGTGTGCAGTGAGAAAAGCCTGGGAGGGAATGATCAGATGACTCTGAGAGCCTGGGCCCTGACCACTGAGGGGCATGCCCCAACCTCACCCTCCCTAACCTCCGGCTAGCTAACCCTGCCAGTGGCCCAGTCCTGACAGCACTTATGGGACAGTAGCAGGTTGGCTCTCCCCCTGCTATGGAAGCTGTGTGGTGAGGCCTAGGGGCCTGACCCCTGTGTCATCCTCAGTGCTTACGACAGGCCCCTTCTGTCCCCCAGCTGCCCACAGGGCTGCTGCATCAAGTGGTAAGGCCTTGGGGTTCAGTCTTTATCCCATGCTGGTGGAGGCTGTCCAAATCCCAGGGCAGGGCCCACAGTTTAGATGCACTGAGCCCAGATAGGTGGGCCCTGATGAGAAGAACCACCCTCCATAATACAAATACAAATAGCTGCACACTTTCACTGATGGCTCTCCATGTGCTTTTAATATATTAATTCATTTAATTCCCATGAGGCAAGAACCACTTATTCAATTCTCCATTTGATAAATAGCCCTGAGCACCCACTATGTGGCAGGCTCAGGATACAGTGGTGACCAGACAGTGTCCCTGACCCAACTCCAGTCCAGACCTGCTTCTGGCAGGGAGGAAGCAAACAGCTCCAATGCAGCAGCCTCCCAGACCCCAGGCCCCTAAAAAAAGCCTCAAGGCCAAATTTCAGGCAAGCCCCTGCTTACTCCCACCTAATAATCTGGGTCTGCACCGCCACCTGGTGTTCACACTCAGAATGGCCCCAAACAGTGTGCCCTTGCCTCCTCCACCAAGGAAACTTGCACCCACCCCACCCACCCAGGTTTGGGATGGTCACCATTTGGGCGATGGGAACGGGCCTCCTGGGCCCCTTTGGAGGGTGTGGAGGCGGGTGCGGTCTCTCTGGGGGAGTCATTCAGCAGCACCTGTTGTCCCAGTGGCTCTTACAGAGCAGCGTCCAACAGATCCACTCCCCACCCAACACCATCGTCTGCAACAAGGGCCCCAGCAGAGCAGGCAGGATGAGTATCGCACATCGTGCTGGCCCAGCACCATGCGGGCGCTCCATGCCCGCAGGACTCACCTGGTGAGGTCACCATCTTAGTGTCCTGGCTGTGGGGAAGTTCACGTCCTTCACCCCTTGCCCCCTGCCCAGCCTGAAACATCCACTGCCACCTTTTATCAAACCCAGCACAAGGCCCAGCAGATGAAAGCCTTGCCTCGCCCCCAGGCAGCGGTGTCAGCTCCTCTGGAGTCCCCTGTCCTCAGCTGCCTCTCTGGTCACTTCCTCCTGAGGGTGCTGTCGTTGCTGTCAATGCTGCCATCCTGGCTCTCCTGCTGGTGGGTCTCTTCCAAGTCCAGAACCGACTGGGTGCCCCTCAGCACCAAAGCCCAGCAGAGGGCCTGCTGTAGAAGAGCTAGGAATGTGTGAAGAGAATAAATGAGTGGTGTCAGGAGAAGCCAGCTCTGTCTTCAGAGAATATTCTTTCCTTCTTTGGGGGTGTGAACTCAGGTTCACCCACCTGGGACCAAATTCAGGCCCTGCCTTGTGCTCAGCAACCCTACTGCCCTGTGCCTCAGTTTCCCCGTCTGTAATGTGGGAGCACAAGGGGTGCCCACTCTGTGGGTTGCTGGGGAATTAAATGGGCTCGGATTCTGTCTGTGAGTGCCCCAGGAGGTCCACACGCCCACAGACTCTGGGCCTGACTCATCTGCAGGGATTTATAGCAGGAATCTTCCTGCCTCCTTCACCTGGAGTTTCAGAGTGTCATTTTTATTGACCCATTATCGAGCCGCTGAGAAATCCCTTAAATCTCTCATAATCTGGTGTTCTCAGGCTCCTCTGGGTAAAGAGCTTCCTGATGAGCTTCAGCTGGGGCAGGGTTTGGCCCACACTCTCATTCCTTGGACCTCTGGGGCCTCCAGCCTGCTAGCAGGGTGCGGGAGGAGGGTAGGGGTTTAATATCAGCCTGCTGGGCCTCAGCTGGGGAGGGGCCTGAGATTCCGGTGAGTGAGGTATCCAGGGCATGAGACTTAAGGAAGCACACACATTAACGTTGGTGAAAGTGCAGTGTCAGTACCCGAAAGTGAGTGGCTCCTTAAATTTTGAAGCCTAGGCCCTTCATTCACTTGGCCTAGTCCTGTCCCTGCCAGTTGATCCCCACATCAGGGCCTGCAGTCTGGGGGCTGCTCTCCATGCCACATGTGGGAGAGGCCGAGTGCAGAGAAGAGATCTGAGGATGGGACCACAGAACCCCTGGGCCACCAGACAGGTGACCTGCCTGAGGGTGGCAGTGCCTGGAACTGCAAGCAGGTGGCAGAACAGGTTGGCATGGAAGGCTGGCGTGTAGATTGGGGAGTGAATTGGATAGTGCCTGCTGGGTGCCCTGTCAGGCCCCTGCACCCCCAGTCTCTGAGGCTTATCTGAAGCTCCTTTCTAGAATGGTGTGGGAGAAGGGCCAGGTTCCTGGCTCTGAGTCTGATGCCCTCAGTCTCTGGGTGCTGGGTCTCCTCCCCTGCAATAGGGGTGATCGTATACCCTCCCAGGGGCTACTGAGAATAAAGTGAGATGGTGCCAGATGGCGCCAATCAAGGGTAACTTATTAGGACCAGATTCTGGCCCTCGAGGTAGCCCAAGGTCCACTACCAAGGCCTTTCTGGCAGCTCTCCGGAGTTGTTGGCTGGAGCCCCTGGAAGTGCATGTATGGAATTGTTATACATGCCTGGCAGCGCTCCTGGCTGGGGATACAGGGGCCTGTGTGCAAAGCCACCTTACAGGGCTCTCAGTCCAGCACACAAGAGATGTCCTGGGTGAGGTAGATAGAATTGGACTGAACTCTCAAACCAGCCTCCATCCCACTAGCATCCAGAAAGGTGCCATGGGAAACCATAGCCAGGAAGAAACCTCAAGGTGGGCAGTACACCAAGAGGGAGCTCTAGGGTCCCAGGATCAGCCAAAAGGTGGTCAGGATGAGGCTTCCTGGGGTGAGGGGCTCTGCTGCTCTTTGAGGAGCCCAGGTTTGGGGAGTCCCATTTGCCAAGTGCCTCGCCCTCCCCACCTGGACCAAGGTTAGCGGTCCTATCTCTTTGACAGGGATCTCCATGAGCAAGACCACTTAGTCAGAAAATGGCCTGGAGGATTGTGAAATTGGCGACATTCCTGGGTGCCAGCTATGTGCAGGGAGCCGGCCCTGTGCTCAGGTTCTCCCCGAGCTCTGCCCTTGTGACCTGCCATCCCTGCCTCGCGGCTGCACGGCCCTGGGCCAGTCTCACTGCTTCTCTGAGCCCCGCTGTGCTTTCTCTGTAAGAGGGGGCTAATGTTTGTCACAGGGATTAAATGAGATGATGGGAGGGGGTACACAGCAGGCAGTAGGTACTGTGCGGTGGGGTAGGAGTAGAGATCCCCATGGACAGCCCCTCTCAGGGTACCAGGCTCAAGACAGGCATAGGCTCAAGTCCAAGTGGGGACTAGGGACTCAGACAGGGCTTAGACCAGCCCAGGCACTTGCCTTCTTTTAGAGTAAAGAGAGAACATTGGCCAGGACAAAATTCAAAGAGAAGGTGAAGATGAAGGGGCCAAGGCTGAGGAGCCTGAGGGATCAGGGAGAGCCACAGGTGAGGGACATCCCGGGGAAAGTCCCCATGAGGGTAGCCTGAAGCCAGGGGCTTTGTGTGTTCTCCGTGCCTTCCCTGCCGATGGCTCTGGCACAGGGGACAGCCCCCCACTTGCCTTGGCTTCCAGCAATGGTGTACCCCAGGTAGAAGGGTGCACCAGGTCCCTGCCCTGCCAGCCCCTCCAGCTGGACTGCAGGCTTTACCCAAGCTCCAGCCACTGGCTGAACTGTGTCTTCTTCTGTCACTAGGACAGATGGGCAGAGGTGGTGCCCAGGAGCATCAGGCAGCCCTCCTTCTCATACCCACGACCCCCTGCCCTCTCCAAAATCAAAGATGTGAGGTCCGCAAGGAGACTTCATCCAAATCCCCCTCCAAGGACCCCTCCTGAGAGACAATCCTTGCCCTCCACTTTAGACCTGGGAGACTTCGGGGCCTGGGAAGCAGTTATATTTGGTGTGGCTGGAGAAGCTCTGAATCGTTGTCTTTTTCCCAGGTTGTCTCTCCAAGATTCCCAGTGAAGGGGAAGCACCTAGTGACTCTGAGCCTTGTTGGAGCTTGGCCAGGCTGAAGGTGGGCCCAGATGACAGCCCCTAACCCCTTCCCGTCTCCACCTAGGCCTTCCCTTTTTAAACCCTATCCAAGCAATTCCTGCCTCCCACCTCCCCGTGCCTGGGCAGAAAAAGGGGCAGGATTGCTTTGCCCATTTTACAAATGAGTCAATGGAGGGCCAGGGGAGGGAACAGATCCTCCCTCCTGGTTTGGTCAGTTCATGCCAAATTCAGGACTGGGGCCTGAACCTTGAGACTGCCGAGGAACAACCCCCTCACCCCCATTTCTTGCTCCCTCTATGGCCCAGGACCTGCTCTTTCTCAAGCTTCCACCCCAACTCCCCTCCCCATTGCTCTGCCTGCTCACCCAGGCTGGAACCATGGGGCCATCTTCTTCTGCAGCCCCCAAACTCCTCAGGCAGGGCAAGCCTGAAGTTGGTACCAAGAACTGTGGTAAGGGGCCAAGTGGCTGCCAACCTCACTTTTTCCCTTGGTGTTGTGGGAAGAGCAGATAGCATGGGGCTCCAAAGCCCCACACAGTGAGGCAATCATGGACACTTCATTCAGCCCCTCTGACCACCCAGTTCCTCATGGGTAAACGGGGCTGGGCAGCTCTTGCAGGTCTGGCCCACTGGGGCCGTCCAGCAGCTCAGGCCTGGTGGCTTCTAACTGGTGACCTGCCCTCTTAACACCCCTTGGTGGGACTGGCTTTTATGTTATTGGGTTCCCCAGGCTGGGAATGAGGGGCTGCTCTGCTGGGCCACGAGCTGAACCCAGCGAAGGGAAGCTGGTGTTGCTGCCACAGGAGGATCAGCCAGGAGTGTGGCACCTCCTGGATGCTGCTGTGCCTGCTGGGAGAGAAAGCAGCACTCCACTGGGTTTCTTGGGAAACCCCACGGGTAGAGAATGTTTCTCACTGGGTTCTGTTGTTCTGTTCCACTGCTAGACAGCCTGTGCCACATCTGTCACAGCGACGGCCACACCCACAGAATGGGCAGCAGAGGCTGCAACATCCTGGCCTGCAACCCAGGTCCTGGTGAGTCAGGCAGAAAGTGAAGGTGGCTGGTGCCTGCTCCTCTGCCTCCTCCAGGCAGGCCTCCCTGAATGCAACTCTTGGAGATTGGGAGCAACTCAGTCAGCAGACTTTCTCTGACCCAGCAGACTTGGCTCTCAAGGGCAGCAAGCCCTCATTCACCTCCAAGCTCACGGTTGAGCGTACAGAAACTGCTTGATTCCTCCTGTGGACTCGGCATGAGGGAGACACCAGGGAGGCCCCTGTGTGATTTTTCACTTTGCTTTCAAGTTAAATGGTGTGATGGGCTACCTGAGATTTTGCTCAAAATGTGAACATCTGGCTCAGGCTGTGATCGACTGATCAGAGCTGACCTGGACTACTGAAGGCCTTGGTATCCCCTGGGTGAGGCCAGGGAGGGGGCCCCCTGGCCTCAGAGTAAAGACTCTCTAGACCTCCCTCCCCTGTCTGCAGATTTGAGTTCAGGGTAACATCTCCAGACAGAAACCTTGGCCCCAGGCTCCCAGAGGATCACCTTCCCAGCAGAACCCTGAGAGAGAGGGGGATCCTTGAAAGCTGAGGGCAGACCTGAGAAGCAGGTCCTCCTCCTCCGCCCAGCAGAAGGTCTCTTTGACACAGACTGCTTTCCCCAGGCCAGGGGCTGGGAAAAGGAAACCCCCTTCCCAGATGGGTCTCAGCTCCGCCCCCCTCTCTGCTTCCCGGACAGACCCTCTCCTGGGCTGAAGGCTGTAGCCCTAGAGTTTTCTCTGGGATGGGGGAGGGGACACCCACTTCTTGTTCCTCCCTGTATGCCTGCTGCCCTTCCCTTAGCTCCCTTGGGTTGGGGGAGAGGGGCAGGGAGTTGTTCCTGGGGAGCAATGACACCTGCCCTGATCTTCCACTTGCAGGACCAAAGCACCTAGGGTGAGGGGGGCAGGGACTGCTGCCAAGGAGCTCTGATGGCTGAGGGGAGGTGAGAGAAGGTGCCACAGGCAGACCCAGGCCCAGGTGGGATGGCATCCTAGTCCCACCCCACCTAAGGGGTCTCCATGCTCTCCCCCTCCCTTCCTCCTTTCCCTGCAGCTGATGTCTACATACTTCTTGTTCTTTTCTCAGCAACTCTGGCCTTTTAGAGTGTCCCCTGGTTGACTAAGGCCCCCTGTCCTGAGCCCTCAGAGGACAAGGTGTGTGGGGATGTCAAAACAGCATCTCCTAGGGTTCCCCCAGATATCATTGACCATGGCTCTCCACACTGAGGCCTGCTGAGGGGTGCAGCTGGGCAGGATGGGGTGGGGTGTCTGCCCTCAGCCTATAAAATCCCTAGGCACACCCTGCCCCCACCCCACCTTCTTTTTCCTACAGATGTAGATATAGAGATATATAGACCTAAACAATGTGTGTTATGTGTGTACACACACATACACACACATCTTTTTTCCTATTTGATATCTGTCTCCTCCATCTAAAATGGAAATGCAGAGTCTAGGTTGGTTCACCCTCAGGACCGTGGTGCCAGGCTCATGATAGACGCTTAGCAATGTTTCTGGAAGGAATCCACAGCAAGGTCAAGCTGCTCTACTGGAGTTTCTGGGCCCTCCCCCGCAAGAACTTTCCTTTACATTCTGTAGGCGTCCCCAGTGTCTGCCTGGAGCCAGGCAATGGGATTATTTCATTCACTTTGGCTCGAAGGTGACATTTCTCTTTATTAAACAAGAAGATGGCCTCTGAAGGCGCCGAGCCGCATCCACCCAGATACCACCTACCGCAAACTGCCCAGCTTCTGAGCCCAAGCCCTGGTTGCTACTCCCAAGGAAGGGTTTTACTTATGGAAGTGTGTGTGTGTGTGTGTGTGTGTGTGTGTGTGTGTGTGTGTGTGTGTGTGTGTGTGTGTGTGTTGTCGGGCAGGGGGCATTTCTCAAAGGGCTCCATTTAATAGTCAATTCCAGGAGTAGTGAGGCAGGCAGGTGACTCCATCTCATTCCACTGCCTGGCTGAGGGTGGTGACCACACCAGCCTCAAGGCCTCAAGGAGGACACACCAACCAGAACCTTTCACCCCAATATTTATTGACCCCACACTCTGGAAGACCTGGGAACTTGCTGGGAACTTGGTTTTCCTGCAGGACTGGGAATAAGAGCTAGAGGGCAGAAGGTGGGTGGAAGGGGGAGAAGGTGCCTGTGAGGGCACAAGAGGTGTGAACATGTGCCCTGGCACCCACAGAGACAGCTGCCCTGTGCACATCGTCTAGCCAAGCCCACCCCGCAGGAGAGGGGCATGGGGCAGGCAGCAGGAGCGGATGGGCACTGGGGTTCTCCTGGAGCCCCCATCCAGGTCCTGGTCCCTGGGAGCCAGCCTTATTCCACAGGCCCCTTTTCTTCAGGATCCCCCAGACGCTGGATCTTCTGAAGCTCCCACATCCCTGGGCTGAAGGCCCACCCAACAGGGTGGGAGGACACAGCCCACCACCGCCTTTCCTCTCACTCCATGCCCCTCCAGATCCTGCCAATCTGCTGAGGGGAGGAGACCTCTTCCAAAGATCAAGGCCATCACTGACAGGCTGAGCTGTGACCCCAGTGTCGTTGGCTCATGGGCACGTGGCCCTCCCCTCACCTAAGGCCCTGTCCCCCAGCCCCTTCCTCTAGCTCAGCCCTCCATCGTGGAACTGGGGGAGTGGGGGCTCGCCCGCCCCTTATTTCCATGACGCTGGCCTGAAGGCTCAGCTCTCTGGGGAGAGCCTAGATGTCACTTAGAGTCCTGGTTTTGTGGGACTTTCAGGGCTAAAACTGGAATAGTCCTGGGAAAACCAGGATGGCTGGTCACCCTAGTGTCATTCTCCCCCAAACCCTTCTGAACCCTGCGGGTGGATTCCACACAGATGACCCTAATGGCTTCCCACCCCCCACCCTTCCCCTGCACCCCTGTGCTCCAGAAAAAGCCACACTATTTTGCTTCCTTTCATGTTTCAGACCCAGCTCCTTTGGGTCCCGAGGTGCCATACCCCCGTCGGGGCCCTTGGGGCTCAAGCCCCCTTCCTCCTCCGGTCTCACAAGGTCCTGTCCAGTTGACCTTTCCACCCTAGGGGGTGACAGGCCTTGGGACCCCAATCCACAGTTGGGAAATGAAGCCCCAGGGCAACCTCGAAGTCAGGGCCAGAGGCATTTCCTCAGACGGCTCAAGAGAAACCTGGGGTGCCACCTCATAGCTGTGATCCAAGCAACTATCCCCAGGCCCCCCACAGCCCCTCACCCATCCTGCCCCTCCTAGGGTTCCACACCCCAAGCGTCACAGGCTCACACACTCTCCATGTAAACATCTTCATTACATCTTTAATGCTCTCACGTGGAGCTGCTCTGGGTTAAATTACAGCTGTATGCATCCTGAATTCCTGGCAGCCTCCAGTCGACTCAAGTGCTAACGTATTTATAGCATTTAGAGGAGGGAATAAATCCAGAACCTTCCCCATGGGGGCTTCCTAGGCCTTTCCCTCCTGACACATGGCATTTGCCCAGTGGAAGGTCTGCATACACTACCCCTGCATCCCCTCCAGCCAGCAGCGGACAGTGACGGTGGAGAGGCTGGGCACGGGACATGCCTCTGTGCATGCTTGTGTGCATATGTATGCCCAGCGTAAAAAAATGCCCTGCTCTTGTGGTCTGTCTCTGCCCAATGGCTTGCCAGGACCCCTGGTATCAGCCCTGACCCTCCAAGGCTTATGGAGAGGCCAAGTGCAGGGACCCATCTCCCCACTCTCTAAACACTGAACGGCTCTTCCCATAGATGGGATGGAGGTGGGGAATTCAAACATAGACTAAGTTTTTTAGATGTTTTTCTGAAGTGCAATCCCTCACCCACTTTCAGGCAGTCATAACTGCCCCCTCTAGCCTGCAGCCTGTGATTACTGCCCTCAGACCAACAGCCTCTCCCAACCCCAGATCCTCATTAGAGCCCAAGACAGGGAGCCGTTTTCAGAAGCAGGTGAGCCCAGTGAAACAATGCAGTGGAGAGAGGAACCGTGCTGTGCGTGCTTCCCTCTTCCCTGCAGTCCCTGAAGATTGAAGGCAGAGAAGATAGCCTACCCTGATGCTCCACTACATACCATGGGGTAGAGGTCGACTTGGAGGGTGGGGCCAGTGTGGACAATCTCATTCTGCCCGCTGTGCTGGGACAGGCACATGTCTGCCCATGGGCACACTCATGCACATGCATGAGGCCTCTCGGCAGGTCTGGGGGGGCTGCATCCTTCCACTTCCATTCCCCTACTTCCTTCCCCCTCAGCTCCCATCCTAGCTTGGCCCCAGTAACATCTGGTTGCCAAGGATGGGTGGCTGGGAGACCTCCTGGACCCTCCGTAGTATGGATGGACCCTGGGTGTGAATTGCCCTTCTCCTGGCATCCTTGCATACTGGACAGTTTCAGCTCCATCTCTGGGCTTCTCAGGGCCCATAACAGATGCTGCCCTACCCTGTCCCTATAACTTGGGTGGTTTCCTCTCCCCACCCCAGAGGAGGCTCCAGATTCCAAAAAACAGGTCTCTCCCTAACAGAGGGAAACCTCCCCTTTCCTCCCCCAATCCCTCCCACTCCGTATCTCCCTCATTTCCTCCACATTAGCGGGGCAGACCCTGATGTGAGGGATCTGGACAGGGGATGAGGAAGCCAGCAGAGGCTCTTGACCTTCTCAGCATGAGGGATGCCCTCTGTGCCAGGGCCCTCAGGTCAGGAGAAGTCAGTGGTCAGAAGTCCAGCCTGGCTAGGGCCCTCTCTTAGAGTCTAAAGTCAGCAGGTGGGTCTGGAGAACAGCTAGGACCTGGCTCAGCCCTCTTGTGTCTTGGCAGGGAAGATCTTCAGAGTAGGTCTTGACAATCAGGGAGTGGGGAGCTCTGTAGGCACCGTGATGGGTCTCTATCAGAAGTCCAGGCTTGTCCCAGGCCACTCACGCATGGATGGCATTGGCCACATCGGTAAACACCAGCCGGCTGGGTCTCTGCAGTGGGCCCTGGGAGGGCAGAGTAGTCTGCAGGAAGACAGGCAGGGGCATCAGAGACCATGGGCAAGGCCATGCACTCACTGGCCTGGTCACCTCCACCCTCACTTCCTGGTGCCTGCTTATGCTTGGCACTAGCAATGGCTTCTGCCTGGAATGCCCTCCCTGCAAGCTCAGCCTACAAATATGACTTGGCTCAGATGACTCCTCCCCAGCTTGCCCTGTCACCTTGGAGGCACTTACTGTGTTGATTTAATTATGCATGCACTGCCTTTTCCCAGTGGGGGATCAGAGGGCTGGACTCTGTATCCCCAGGCCCTAGCACAGGGGCTGGTACAAGGAGGAACATGGGAAACAAGTATCAAGTGGCCAGAAGTCCCAGTGGCTGGGTGGACCAAGGTTCTCAGTGCGAGTTCCTGAATATCCCAAGGGGGCAATATATCTTGACCCAGGTGATGCAGAGCTGGTGGCAAAACCAAAGGGTCTTCAGACTTCCAGCCTGGATTCTTTCTGAGCCCAAGAAGACGCAAAGAGGCTGGATAAGTCAGGGGCAGGCCAGGCCTGCTCATGGTGCTCTGGCCCTTGGGGATTTGGGGAAATGGTGGCAAGTGGTCAGGCAGCCCAGTGGTTACAACAGGATGGCCACACAGGTACCTATCCCTTTGGACACAGGAGGCAAGTTTGGCTGAGATCTTCACATGCCTGGGTCTGTCAGCCACTGGGAATCCACCAGCCTACTCAGAGGTACCGCTGTCCAAGAGTCTAACCCCATCCACAACCCACTCAGGACCACGGACCCTCAGGAAGCAGAGGAACCTGGGGTCCTAGCCGCCAACAGTCTCTCCCATTAGTCCTTTCCTACTTTCCTAACCAGTACGTGGGGGCACATGGGGCAAGAATTAGGATTTTCAATTGTGGAAGAGAACACTGAGGCTCAGAGATGCCAGTGGGGCTCCCAAGATCAGCAGGCTATGGGGCAGAGCCAGGCTGTATCCCAGGACTGCCTTGGCCTGGCCTTGCGCTGTGAGTTTGTGGGTGGCCCCAGAGCAATATGACCACTTTCTGAACAAATCTGGAAAAAGCCGTATACCCAATACCTGCCATCTGACCACAAGGCAGGTGCTAGAAAGCTGCATGAGAAAGGAGGGAGGGTGAGGGTGGAGGACAGAGGATGCTGCAGGCGGGGTGGGGAGCCTGGTCAGTGCCCACCTTGCCCTGCATGGCCTGCACAGAAGTAGCAGCCTGTACAGAGGCGGCGTCCCGCCCATGCTCCAGCAGCTCCTGCTCCAACTCATCTTGTTCCTCCGTGGGGTCGAAGTTGTACATGGGCATGAGCTGGTGGCGTAGCTTCTCCAGCCTGGGGATGGGGGCAAAGGCTGCTGGGGACAGGGCAGGCCCTTCCCCTCCCAGCAGCCCTCCAGGCCCTGCCTCCTGACTAGCTGAGCCACAGCACACAACCATGCTTAGGGCCTTAAGGTTTCCCTTGAAATGGGAAAAAATGACAGACATTTTTGCACCTATAGTACCAGCTCAACCCCTTAAATGGGTAGCCAGGGAGGCAGCAGTTACCCACTCCAGGGTAAGGCCATACGCCAAGTAGCTGTCATCCATGGGCCCCACAGAGATCACCTAGGCTAGGGCCTTGCTGTAATCCACAGCGTCTGAGTCTCAGGTGGGACTGGGGAGCCAGTAGCAGTCAGCTCAGAGCAGCAGGGCAAGGGTGGCTGGGCAGTTGGGTGGGAGTAATCCCAGCCTTCCCCCTCCCTGCCATCCCCAGTCCCAGGATTATACCCAGTTATCTAGAATCCTCACACCTGCCTGCCCTGTGTGTGAGATCCTTGTGCAAGGGGGGCCCTCAACCCTCCCCAAAGGAAAGTGGTCACCCCCAACCATGAATGGGCAGGACAGGCCTTGACTCCCTGATCAGCTTTTCACCCACTTCCTTCGGAGCCCAGCCCAGCACTCCCCATGGCCTCAAGTTTTGGGTGGGATTTGGGTTTGGGTGGGGAATTACCTCTTCTTCTTCCTGATGTACAAAACCTGCAAGAGAAGGAGCAGCATCAAATGGCAAGGAGAGGAGGCCCTGAGGAACCCAGCAGCCCTTCTGGATGGGGACATGCTGAGGCTGATGAACAAGAGACCCGTGGGTCCCCGTCCTAATGACACATACACCACTCCCCCTTCACCTTCATGCCTCTTTTTTTTTTTTTGAGACAGAGTCTTGCTCTGTCACCCAGGCTGGAGTGCAGTGGCACAATCTCGGCTCACTGCAACCTTCGCCTCCAAGGTTCAAGTGATTCTCCTGCCTAAGCCTCCTGAGTAGCTAGGATTACAGGTGTGCACCACCACACCCGGCTAATTTTTGTATTTTTAGTAGAGATGGGGTTTTACCATGTTGGCCAGGCTGGTCTTGAACTCCTGACCTTGTGATCCACCCGCCTCGGCCTCCCAAAGTGCTGGGATTACAGGCGTGAGCCACCACACTGGCCCCATGCCTCCTTTTGACATTGTTAGCTGCAGACAGTGCCCAGACTGAGTCTGGGGACTCAAGAGGCTCCCTCCAGCCTGGGAGCCCACACAGTTAGGCCCGGCCTGGGGACTGGTGGGCCCCACCTATTGGCTGGGCTGCCAATACTAACTGTAGCTCCAGCCACTCAGCACCTGCCTGTGGCTCCCCAGGGCTGAAGAAGAAAGGGAAAACTTCAGCACATTCCCTCCCCTCAACTCTTCCCAGGCTCAAAGCCACATGCAGGCAAAAAGTAAAGGGACCCGGTAAGGTAGCACATGCCTGTAGTCCCAGTTACTCAAGAGGCTGAGGCAGGAGGATCTCTTGAGCCCAGGAGTTCAAGTCCAGCCTGGGCAACATACTGACACCCCGTCTCTACAACATGTAAAAAGAACCAGAGACAGGCAGTGGCCAGACTCTGTAGCGTGTAGAGCAGTGGCTCTAGGCAAGGCCCTGAGCTGGTGGTCTCCGGAGTTCCTATGGGAGGCTGACGGCCCCCAGTGGACTAAGGTAGGGGTGGGGGACTGGAGCCCCTAGGCATCAGCCCAGGTCAACTCCCAAAAACTCTGATGCAAGAGGAACCTAAGAAGGCCCCTAGGTCCGGTCCCCCATTGTACAACCTTGAAGATGAGGGCCTAGGCAGCCTGAGAAAACATCTAGGACCTCTAGGCCAGAGTAAGAAACCCTGTACAATGCCCTGAGGAGAGGGAGGAAGTGGGTAAGACTTGGGGGACCACCTTGGGCGGGGAATCCAGGGACTTCTGCCATCATCCTGCTCTTCCCTAAACTGGCAGTTTCTGACTACCAGGAGCATGACTACCTCTGCCTCGGGGAAAGCACAGCCCTGTGGTTTACCCCAAATCCTCCCACATTCTTTGTGCCCCATTCACAGCTTGAATCTGGTTTGATTTCCAGCCTGGCCCAGAGCTCCTCCTGCAGGACCCCCAAAACCTGAAAAGAAACTAGGGTATCAATCCTCACTCTCCCCTCCTGTCCAGGGTTGCATGTAGGGGTGCTCCCTTGCTCTCCTGTGGGTAGGCTGTGACAGGAACTCTGGGGTCTTCTGGCCTAGCCCCTGCCACCCTGAGCAAGTGGATCCAGCCCCAGCCCCAGCCCCTGTGGTCCCCACCTCTCAGCCCTTGCCCCAAGCCCTCCTCCCTCCCCTGAGACCCTGGGATTCAGAAGGATCTACAGAAAAGGCCAGAACCTTTACGCAATTTCCATGCCTTTTCCCCTCTTCCTCAGCTAACAGCCACCCCCACACCTTCCTTTCCAAATCTTCCCTACCCCTCACTGTCCAGCAGGTGCAGCCCCCTCTCCTCCAGGAACCTCCCCCACCACTGATCCTGGTCTGCCTGTACCAAGCACTTTTCCTTCCTGGGTAAGGCAGAAAGCCTGGTGCAGATTTGCTCCTCCTTGTACCCACGGCCCTGCTTGAGGCTGGCATCGGGGAGAGGAAGCAGCACTCAGTGAGCACCTCTGGGCCTGTCTCCGGTCCCCAGGAGCTATCTTCTGCCCTCCGCTGCCTTTGTCCTACGAGCTTCCTACCTCTGATTTTGGCAAGAGGGGCATCCACCCAGGCCTTCTGAATGTTCCTCTAGAACAAAGAGTAAGAGAGCGTTCTCAAGTTCCAAGGACAAAACCTTTCACTGAAAGTAACGAGGGCAGTTTCTAGGCCCCATTCTGCCCTTAAGGGTGCCTCCATCTGCTTACCCACTGCATGGGTGCCAAGGGAAAACACTGGCATCCTGCCTTACCTCCACCCAGGAGACCTCTCAGGCCCTGGCCTCATTCTGCCTGTGCTGCACCCTGGGCCTGCTTGCTGGCTGGCAGTTGCTCCCTGGCAGCAATCTGGAGCCTGTGGGGCCCATATGGCAACCCTGGTTTAACAGCAGCTCCAACCAGGCCATGATGGGCCATCCACAGCCCTACTTGTCAGAGCAACATGCTCCTAAGCCCAAGGCCAGCCATCAGAGCCTGCGAGGAGCAGTGGGCAGAATCCTACCATTGCCAGGCATACTGGGGAACCTCAGGGGCACCCCATCCTCCCTAGTCTCAGCCTGCACGATCTCCAGTGGTCCCTCAGTGACATTCTGAGTGTCCATGTATCATCTTAGGGGGACAGCCCATATCCTTAGGGACTGACACCAGATCAAGAGGCATCACACTCACTACTGAAGGATACCTGCAGCCCTCTCCCCAGCCCCCTTCCTTCCTGATGGCTGCCACCTCCACCCCTTCTCATGACACGGAGGCCAGGCTTCCACTTTGAGGTCTCAGCTCTAATTTTGCTCCTCAGCTGTTCCTAACCACCTAGTCTGGAAAGCATTCCTGCTTTCCTGCTTGAGTCCCCAAGTCAGTCCCTGCAGGCTTCCCTTGGAACCCTTGGTTTTTATCTGTTTCCCACTCCCTGTAAGAACCACAGGGCAGGACCTTGTCTTCCCAGCCTCTATTGGGTTCCAAAGGCCTGGTCCAGGGCAGGTACTCAGTAAATAATTGCCAAGTGAATAAATGAATGTTCACTGCCAACAGCCTCCCATGCACAGATCATCTTACCCAGACTCTGCAGCCCACGGTCCACATCAACCACCTTTAAGCCTTTTCTTCTATTGCAACCCCACATCCACTGCCCTAACTGTCCTGCTGGCTGCTCACAGAACCCTCTGTCTGCCTCCAAACTTTTGCCCATCAGGACTCTCCACTTGGAACTCCTTGACTACTATGTGGCCTTCATGACCCAGCTCAAGACACCATGTATTCCCAAGAACCTTTTCTGTTGTTTCCAGTTGGAAGCGTAGCCTCTCTGGTCTCTGGGCCCCAGTGGACAAATCTCTGCAGGAGAGGAGGACTGCACTCTCATTAATAGATTGTTGGCGGGCACAGAGGCTCATGTCTGTAATCCCAGCACTTTGGGAGGCCAACGGGGGCAGATCACTTGAGGCCAGGAGTTCAAGACCAGCCTGGCTAACATAGCGAAACCCCATCTCTACTAAAAATACAAAAATTAGCCGGGCGTGGCAGCTCACACCTGTAATCCCAGCTACTTGGGAGGCTGAGGCAGGAGACTCGATTAAGCCCCAGAGGTGGAGGTTGCAGTGAGCTGAGATCAAGCCATTGCACTCCAGCCTGCATGACAGAGCAAGACTCTGTCTCAAAAACAACAATAACAACAACCAGATTGTCTTCTGATTGATTAGGTTCTCTATAAATCTAAACACTGATTATCCTCCCCCAGCCTACCCCAGCTCTCACCAAGGCCACAGCCAGGCCTATCACCGTGATGATCCCAAAGGACAGAAGCATGGTACCCACGCCGGCCGTGCCACCAGCTGCATCAGGGATTCTGGTGTCATTAAAGGTGGTGGCCTCTGGGCTGAGGGTAGTGGTCTCGGAGGCTGGCCCATCTGTGGCAGGTTCCAGGTCAGACTCAGAGGTGGGTGGGCGGCTGCTGAACCAGCCCCTAGCAGATGCGGTCCTGGAGTTCATGCTGATGCGGAGAGGGCCCTGGCTGAGAGGCTGCCTGATGCCAGTCAACCTGCCCACTCACTCCTGACTCCGGAGTGCCCCAGCCTGTGGTTCCTGCCACCTGTGGTGGCCACCTGCACAGCCACCTCCTTGGATAAAGGGAGCCCCCTGCCTTCCTGGGTGCTAGAAAGGAAAGAATAAGAAACATGAGGCTAAGGACAGGGGCTCAGTAGTGAGATGAAGTCTCTCTAGGTTCTGAAAGCACTGGGGAGGTAAAGGTTTGAGGGCAAGAATGAGGGTAAGTTCAGGAGACATTAGGACACATACTTTACGTATCTACGGTGCCCCTGTTTTTGGGAACAAAAATGAAGCCCTGCATCCTCTGTCTGTGGGTGAGATGATCATAGTGATCAAACCTGGAAGATATGAAAGGCAGCGGGGATGTTTGAAAGAAAAAGTCTCCCTCCCCTGATCAAAAACTCCCCTCAACCTGCGTCCCCATATCCCCCACCTCCCCATATCCACCTCCTCATTCCCTGCCTCCCACATCCCTCATCCTGCTTGGGGGAAAAAATACCACAGCTTTTTCCTTTCCTGGAGGGAAACACTTGCCCAAGAGTCAGACAGGCCTGTCTTTGAAACCTAGCTCAGCTGCTTAACTAGTGATCCCTAGAAAGTCACTCCACCTCTCTGTGTCTCCGTTTTCCTGAGTCTAAGGTGGGGATATTGAGAACATCCCCACAGGGTCATGGGGTTACAGAAATGGCAGAACAAACAGGTGTCGAAGAAAGACTTAGCTCAGCACAACCCCCATCCACAGTAAGCATCCACTACATGTTAGATTTTCTCCCCATGGCCAACCCAGTCACAAAGGGGAGCCAAGGGAGCCCCTGGACCCAGTCCACTGTATGGTCCAGACTATGCTTGGAGTGTGGGTGGAGGCTGATGTGGAAAGACCAGAAGACAAGAAGGAGAGAGAGGCTCTGGTTCTCTGGCGGGGCTTCTCCGCAGGCTCTCGGGGACATTGGACTGCCCTCCCCACCCACCAACAATAGAGGGGCTGCTAGGGTCAAGGAGAAAGGCGAGGCAGGAATGGAGCTCCCAGTGTGGGTGCCTTCTCTTCCTTTACCCTCCTCCCCTGGAAGCAGAGGGTGAGAGATTTGCCCAGTGCAGAGGGCCCTGGTTAAGGTGGGGTGGGAAGAGGTGCCAGCCAAGCTGCAGATGGGACGGCCTAGGGAGAGGAGGGATACCTAGCTCGTGGGTGCATACATCCCCCTGTGCTGGTTCATGGGCATTAGTGGGGTTGCCTCCCTGTGCAGATGCATGGGCGTGTGTGAGATGTGTAAACACCTCTGATGGTCCCTGAGGAAGGGGCAAGGCTGGCAGAGGGTTATGGGGTAGAAAGGCTCATCCCTCTTTGCCTTCTCCCTCCAGCTAGGCTGGGCACATCTGGGCACATAGGAAGTCCCGGGTTCTTTTCTTGGCTTTGCAACTGATCCCGGGCGTGACCTTGGGCCAAACCCTTAACTCGTGCCCTGGGGCTCTGTTAACATCGCCTCCCAAAGGAGAGAAGAGGCCCTACTGACCACTTTCCAGGCCTGCCTCAGGGTCCAAAGGGGAAGGGAAGGAAACCGGGGTAAAAGGGGTCGGCACCGCGACCTTCGAGAACCCGCATGCTGTTCTCCACCAGGTCTCTCAGTCCTCCCTGCCCCAATCCCCATGCCCGCCTCCGCGACCCTGTGATGCCTCCCTTCTTGCACAGGAGCAGTGACCTCAGCACTTACTTAATCCTCTCCCGGCGCCGAGCTCAGTTGGAGAGGCTAGGGGTGGTAGTGACTGGCAGGAGGCCGGGGCGGGGGGAACCCCCAAGCCCGGCGTCTGGGGCTGCGGGTCCGACCCGAGATCCGCCCTCCCTGCAAGCCCCGAGCCGCTGGCCAGGCCCGCTACTGCGCACCAGCCGCATCCGCGAGCGCTGGCTCTGCCGGCCTGAGCTAGGGTGGGTAGGGCCGGGACCCACGGCGGAGGTGGGGCCGGGCCGAGCAGCCTCGGGGGATCCCCGAAGCTACAGCGCCTTGCCTCCCTGCACGCTCCGCGCCCCCGGCCTCCGATTGGCTGTCGGGCCTAGAGCCCGCCCAGAATTGGACCGTTCGCTTGTCGCTCGGGTCTGGCTCCACCCCCAGAGGGAGCCTAGAACCTGGTCGCAGTTTTTAGAGACTACCCTCACCCCGTGGCCTGCGCCGAAGTTGGGCGGAGGACAGTGGGTGGCCAGGCCCTTCCGGGCCAGAACTCGGGACCCCTGCCAGCTACCCGTGCCAGGACAGACTCAAGCCCCCAAAACGCGGATGGATGTACAGAGGAGACTTGGGGAGAGCACTGGACTGGGAGTCCTTGGGCCTGCACTGAACTCTGGCTGACTTTGTGACCTTGAAGAAACTGCTTTTCCCTTCCTGAACCTTGGCTTTCTACTCAGACGGGTCCTCTGGTGTGAGGGTTCTAGACGAAGATGGGGAATCTTCGTCTACAGAAGTTGAGAGTGGGGTGGATTTATTATTGGGCACCCCGACCCAGGCAAGTCTACATATACCCTCACAATAGCTTCCATCCACGGCATGATCAGCTCAGGGAAGGAGCCCTCAGATACTCCTGATCCGCCGGTTTTCAAAGTAGTTTATGGGAGTCACCGGGTAGCCTGGTACAAATGCAAACGCCCCTGTGTCTCCCGGTCTGGGAAGGAGGCAGGGAAACAGCATGTTTAATAGCAGTTTAAGGCCGGGCGTGGTGGCTCACTCCTGTAATCCCAGCACTTTGAGAGGCCGAGGCGATGGATCACCTGAAGTCAGGAGTTCGAGACCAGCCTGACCAACATGGTGAAACCCTGTCTCTATTAAAAATACAGAATTAGCCGGTCGTGTTGGCTCACGCCTGTAATCCCAGCTACTTGGGAGGCTGAGGCAGGAGAATGGCTTGAACCCGGAGGCCGAGGTTGCAGTGAGCAGAGATCGCGCCATTGTACTTCAGCCTGCGCAACAAGAGCAAAACTCCGTCTCAAAAAAAAAAAAAAAAAAAAAGAAAAAAAGAAAAAAAAAGTAGTTAACAGTGTTCTAGTTAACAGTACTTTCTGGTGGGGAGATGTTGACAAGACACACTTTGCGAGACGCTGCCGAGTATTTTATAGAAGGCGCAACTGAGGTCCAGAGGTCCCAACACCTGGAGGAGTTGCCAATAGAGTCAAGATTCGAATCGGTAAAAGAGCGGCCCCTGGGGTCTGGCCGCCAGTCGGCCGACCCCCTGGTGGGCTCGGGCCACTGACCTCGGTAGGGTCACGACACTGGGACTGGACCCCAAAGTTGGACCAGCCTTCAACACTGGAACCCGCCCATGCACAGCTCCACCCGGCCCCCAGGCTAAGATAGACCACGCCCCCGGACATCTGGTCCCCGCCGGAACACCCGGGCCCTCTGGTGACACGCCCCCTTTCCGGCAGGCTACTGGGCTCCGCCCACACACCTCCCGGCCTGGTTCCTAAACGCCAGCTCGGAGCAATCCCCTTGGGCTGGAGCCAAATCCCTGCTGTGATTTTAAGGAAGACCGGCAGGTCCGGGCCCCCAAGGGTCAACCCCACACACATCCCCGCACTTTCCTGTATGCAGGCCTGCGAGCGTAGAGGGAGTGGAATTCACAGCCTCCCCACCCATCCGCAGGGGTCTCCTGGGAGGAACCCACCAGCGATAGGAACACTGAAGCTGGGCTACGGCGTCCGCCCGAGCCTTTTCTTAAAGGCGCCGACCCCGGAAGCGGGGCGTCCGAGGGAGCGCGCGACGGGCCACGCACGTCCGGGCGTCCAGTTCGGGGCAGCTTCTCCGGCTGGTGGGTGGGTGGGGCAGCCTTTCAGGCAGGTATGCATGGGAGGTGGGGATCGGAACGGGGTGTTTCGACTGCAACCGCCTGGAGACCTGGCCGGTACCATTCTCCATAGTGCAGATGGGGAAACAGGGTTGGAGAGAGGGGGCCTCATCTGGGTCGTTAACAATGCGGTGCGTAGCTGTGAGGGAGTTTACACTTCTGACTTCGGGCCTTGGCTCCTGGGACGGCGCACTGGTGCAAGAGCCGCTTCTGGAGTCTGGTGGACTCGGGTTCGTGTCTTGCCTGGGACAGTCTTTTTTTTCTTTTTTTTGAGACGGAGTCTCTCTCTGGCACCCAGGCTGGAGTGCAGTGGCATGACCGCGGCTCGCTGCAACTTCCGCCTGCTTGAACTGGGTTCAAGCAGTTCTCCTGCCTCAGCCTCCCAAGTAGCTGGGACTACAGGTGCGCGTCAGTATGCCCGGCCAATTTTTTGTATTTTTAGTAGAGACAGGGTTTCACCATGCTGGCCAGGCTGGTCTCGAACTCCTGACCTCGTGATCCGCCCACCTCGGCCTCCCAGAGTGCTGGGATTACAGGCGTGAGCCACCGTGCCCAGCTTGCCTGGGACAGTTTCTACCTGAGTGACGCTGGGCAAGTCGCTTCCCTTCTCTGACCCTACTTGTATCTGAAGATGTGGCACTTAGCAGGTGCTTAATAAACGCTAGTTTGGACTTTTATCTGGAAGCAAAGGGGACCGCTGATTTTAAACCTTCAGTTAAACTTGCTTGTGACCTCTTTAAATATACAATTGTAAATTTTTTAGTTGGTGGTTTACGCTGATGTCCCGGATTATAGGTTAAATTAGGAGGAAATTTTCAGCATGTACATCCATGACAGTACACACACAATGTCAGATTCAAAGCTCCCAATTAAAGGCAATCATCTGCCTCTTGTAACATCAGTTAAGATCATGTAACATCTGGTCCCTGCTGTGTGTTGAGCTGCCTCCCAGGCCTTGGATATTCATAGACTAATGCATTGCTTGCCATGGGTTTGGTGTGATTTTCCCCCATCTTATGGATTAAGAAAGTGAAAATCAGAAATAATGACTTGCTCAAGATCACACACGCTAGGTTAGACACAGATCTGTCCTGTCCCCACATATGTGCCCTAACCTACCACCAACCCGTTTATTAGCAGAGACTGAGCTATGGGCTCAGCCCACTCCAGCTAAAAATGTGAAGAAAACGTAAGTGGCCAAGACAAGAATGATCAAATAGGTGGGTAAGGCTCTAAATGGAGTCAAGGGGGTGTCAGAGCAAGAGCACAACTATTCTCAGGCAATGTATTGGTAGAAGGGGGGGTGTCATACAAGGCTCACCTGCTTTCCTGGTTCCTCTCACTCCCAGGGTGGCAACCAACTATATCTGAGGACCAGAGCCATTTTGGGGCACCAGAGCTTGTGACCTCTCCATCTCCACCCAGCTGGGTCCAGGGGCCACTCTCAGCACTCACCTCAGCAGCTGACATCATAAAGCAGACTTGGGAACCTGGAAGCACTCTGGAGAACCTTTCCCTGAGACATGGAGCTTTGGGGCCGAATGCTGTGGGCCCTCCTGTCTGGCCCAGGGAGGAGGGGAAGTACCCGGGGCTGGGCCTTCAGCTCATGGCAACCCCAACCACCTCTGGCTGGGTTATCCAGTGCCATAGAACTGGTCAGCCACTGGACTGGGGTCTTTGAGAAGAGGGGTATCCCTGAGGCCCGGGAATCCAGTGAGTACATCGTGGCTCATGTCCTTGGAGCCAAAACAGTTAAGTTTAGTGTTGTCAAGAGGACAGGAAGAGGGAGGAGGGAGGACTTGGGGAAGGGATATCCAGGTTTTCTGTTCACTAAGAGTGCTTAGCTGAGACTGATGGGATTTTTCTGAAGGAACGTCTTAGCGCCTGGCACACACTGTAACAGTTTGTTGGATGAATGAATATATCTCTGCCTAAGTGTTCTGGGATAGACACCTGGAAGCCTGGTGTTAGCTGTGTAACCTTAGGCAGGATGCTGCCCCCTCTGGGCCCAGATGATGAGAGGGTTGGGCCTCCAGACCAGTGCTGGGCAGGCATTATCCACATAAGACACCTGGGTTGGGGGCCTTGGGCCCAGTGAGCCAGCCACTTATATTCTCTGTGGGGACAGTTTCAGAGCCTGAGGCCGGCACTTTGGACCCAGCCCTTGACCTCTCAGCAACTACAGTGTATCCGGGAGCTGAGTAGCCGTCGATTGCAGAGGTGAGCACCCATGGATCAGACCTGAAGGATGTGTTCAGGGAGCAGCAGTCCAGCCTCCCCTATCCCCACCAAGTTCAGGGAGGAGGAGAATGTCCAAGGACTAGGGAGGTGTTGGGGTGCAGGAGTGGCAAGAGTGGGGCCGGGGTACTGAATAGGAAGAAGGGAGGGAGGGAGGGTTTTGCCTCAGGAGTCCCAAGGCCCTGGAGACATGGTCTTGCCTGATACCTTTGGCCACAAGTGGTATCTCAACCCAGGCATGGTCCTGTTGGTCCTAGCTCTGTCCCTGATGACCACCCAGCTGCCCCCTCTGCAGGATGCCGGTGCAGTACATCCTTGGAGAGTGGGACTTCCAGGGGCTCAGCCTAAGGATGGTGCCCCCAGTGTTTATTCCTCGGCCAGAAACAGAGGTAGGTGTGCCACCAGGGCAAGGCAGGATCAGGATGATGGTGGAGTTCAGGGCACCAGTCTTACCCCAGGCTTCCTCCAGGGGGCACTGGGGCCCCATGACTTCAGGGACAGTGCCTTTCTAGACATGTATTTCCTCTCTGACTGTGTTGGCAGAGCCCAGAGGACAGAGGATTCCTGTTGGTCCCCTTGACTGTTATGTTCCAAGCTATCAACCCAGCCTCTAGGTCTGGCAATGGCCCAGAGTGCCTCAAATAGTGCTGCCCAAGTACTTAGCCTGTTCTGCCATTTCTCTGGGAGCCATCCCATGGCTCACCCAACCCACAGGGAACAAATGTCTTCCAGCAGCTTCTCAGGAGGCATGGAGGAAGTGGAGAGGGCTCCAGCCGGACACCTGGAGACCTGGTATCAGCTGTGCAACCTTGGGCAGGTCACTGCCCTCCTGCCATCTCTGGGCCCAGATGATGAGAGGGTTAGCCCTCCAGCCCAGAGAATCTGGTGGCCCTCTTAGGTCTACTGACTGGTCTGGTAATCACCTGTGTTGTCCCTCAAATTACTAGGACTAGGGATGTGTGGCGCAAGTGTGTTATCCCTTGGTAAGGCACCCTGGTCCTGGAAGAGACGCTTTATATGGCCCTTCTTGGACTCCCCTCTGACCTTGTAGATGACAGAGCTGGGAGCCAGAGGGCGCAGACCAGGGAGTAGAGCTGGGTGAGAGCTGGTGGGCAAGCCAGAGGGCGCCAGGTTCTGAGAAGGAGTGTTTCTAGAAAGACCTAGGCACACAAACATTTCTGGGAAAGGTTAGTTCCCATTCCCCTGCTGTGGCCAGGGGGCCCCAAACCCTTCTTTCACTTTCTCAGCTTCTGTCCCCTAGCCAAGAAACTCTCTGACCCCTCTCCTCTCCATATCATGTGGTTGGGAGGCCAGGTCCTTGCTTCACTGCCCAGTGTCAGGGCAGGGACAGTAGGGAATCTGAGGCCTTGCTGAAGTCACAGGGCTGTCAAGGAAGGGAGCATGGGGGCAGCACGTGGACTTCCTGACTCCCAGCTCAGAGCCCCATCCCTCACATGGGGCTGCCCCATCTGGGATTGGCATGACCTAGGACACAGTATGGAGACCCAGAGCAGGGTGTGGCCTGCCACCTGCAGACTTTGGGAGGCTTACCTGTGGCTCCTGAAAACACGTGATCTCTGGCGAAGAGATCATTTGCTGTCTCCGGCTTCCCAGGGTCAGGGCATGGTGACTTTTGAGTTCCTTCAGAGCTGACCTGGCACCAGCCATATGTGCCAGGGTTCTGAGTATCAAGTGTGGACTTTGGCTCCCATGTGGCCCCCTGATTCTTGGATGGGTCTGGGCCAAGAGAGCAGCTCTACTGCAAGGGGTGGGGTGAGGGGAGATGCTGCGATTGGGAGGCCAGGTGCTCATCTTGCTGTGCAGACATTTCTGAGAACTCACCAGGTTCACCCCAATGTAAAGCCACATCGGGGGATGCCTTACCAAGAACTCAAGAGGACGTGGCCTGTGGCAGGGAGTAGTGAGAATGGGTGCAGGGGATGGTTTCTGATGAAAGGGGAGTCTGAAGTGCAAACTTGCAGGAGGCATGTGCCCAGTGAGTTGCATTTTCCCTAAGGGTGAGAAGGTGGTTCAGCCCCTGGCCTGGCAGTGAATACAGTAGGAAACTCAGGGCTGGGGGTGTGAACCATTCTCACCCAGCCTGCTGTGAGGCTGTACAGGTTGTGGGAGGCTCAGTGTTTTGTCTGTGATTGGCTTGAAGGAGGCAATGCCACCTCCCTGGGTCTGCCCCACCAGGGATGCCATCCTAATAGAGGGTACTCATGGGCACTTAGGTTCTGCCCAGGCCTTGGGCCAGCCTCTTGATGGGGTATGGAGTCCATGTTGGGGCAGCAGTTCTAGGCAGAGCCAACAACTGCCTGCCCCTCACCTCTTTCCCGCATGCGTCTGTGCCCCACCCTGTTCTTGGATTCTTACCATATTCACCTGGAGGGGGTGCCCTGAGCCTGTGACCAGCATGGCTTTTAGTCTTGCCGAAAGAGCCACCAGCGTTAGGCTGAGGGAGGCTCTTCACTAGGAGGAGAAGAGAAAGTTTCTGGACTCCTTGGGCTGTTATCTACCCCTGCCCCAGGTGGCTCTACAACCAAGATGAGTTTCCGGTGCTCTGGAGTGTTATGGCAAACAAGAGGCCACTAGTGGTGGCAGGGGCTCAGTTTCTTAGCTTCTTACCCTCCCCAAGGTGGCCATCCACATACGTGGTGTGTGTCTTTGAGGTCTTTGAGTATCTCTGTGAGGTGGCTGGCCAGTGTGGCTGGCTGAGGGGTCATTCTCCAGCCAGAGTAGGTCTGTCTATGACCAGGAAACCAAGAGAGGCTTACACACCTGACAACAACTGGTCACCCTACCAACCTCTCAGCTTGTGGCCTCACCACTGAGACCACAGGCTCTCAGCCACAGCCCTATACTGCTCACTCTGTACCTGGCCCAACCTTGCAGGCTAAGCTTGCCACAAGTACCTTAGTGGTCTCCAGTAGTGCCTGGCACAGGGCTGGTGAGAGCTAGTGAATACACACTCTCTCCTGCTGGAACTGGGCCCCCTCACCCACAGGCAATCATTTGTTAGGTGCAGAAGAGGCTTGGAACATGGAGGGTTGGACCTGCTGGCCAAGTTCTGCCTGCTTTGGACTTGCCACCCTCAGGGTGGGTGAACATTGTTGCTGGGTTTGGGGGCCTGGAAGGGTGAGATGCTTTTTGGAACCCAGCACTGGGGAACTTATGTGGAAAATGGGTGTGAGTGATCTGGAGCCCTCTGCTCCATTGGGCCTGGCTGATGGCATTGGGGTGTGGGGGAGACCTGGGGGTGTGAGACTCAGAGGGTGGTGCCACAGAGAGCTTGCCCATCACTTAGAAAGTAGCCAAGAGGGCCAGGCGCTGTGGCTTACACCTGTAATCCCAGCACTTTGGGAGGCTGAGGCGGGTAGATCACCTGAGGTCGGGAGTTCGAGACCAGCCTGACCAACGTGGAGAAACCCTGTCTCTACTAAAAATACAAAATTAGCCAGGCACAATGGTGCATGCCTGTAATCCCAGCTACTTGGGAAGGCTGAGACAGGCGAATCGCTTGAACTTGGGAGGCGGAGGTTGCGGTGAGCCAAGATCGCGCCATTGTACTCCAGCCTGGGCAACAGAGCGAAACTCTGTCTCAAAAAAAAAAAGAAAAGAAAAGAAAAAAAGAAAGTAGCCAAGAGGTTTGTCTGTGGGCCAAGCCCTGCCAGTGTGGGACACACTGCGATGAGTCAGACCTCAGGTCTTCCTATTATGGCGTCTGGTGGGAGAGGCACACCCCATCCTTAGGCTAGACCTTAGGCTCAGGGTGGAGAAAGCCGTGGTAGAGCCTGGCCCAGGCTTGAGGAAGGCTTTCTGGAATAGGTAGTCCTCTTTTCAGATCAGGGAAGCACCCACTTGCTGCCCACCATCCCCAGCTCCCTGAGCCAGTCTTTCCTGAGACCTGGGGTCCCAGGAGTCCTGACCCTCTGGGGGGCTTCTCTGCCCACATCCAAAGGGATGCCTTTGAGAAGGAGCTACACTGCCCTTTCCTTGTCTCATGCCTGGCTACTCAGGTGTCCCACTCCACTGCTGGTTAGAAAAATTTTGGCCATTGGACGGCAGGAGCCTTCCACCCTTTACCCCTACCCTATGTTGGTTTACAGGCATAGTCCTTGCAGGCAGTGGCTGGGTAGGCAAGGCTTGAAACCCTCTTGTTTCCAAAGTGACAGTGTCTGAAAATGTCCTCCTGCTGCCAGGGCAGGTACAGTGCAGTCAGGCACCTCCCTCTGCACCCATGCCTGTTGACCTATGCCTGTGTATGCCACAGCCCTCAGGTCCTTAGTCAGGACCATGTCCCCCCATGGCCCATCTCCTCCAAAAGAGGGAATTCCCTGTCCCTTTGGCCTAGGAGCCTCCCTGGGGGCCTCTCAAGCCCAGCTCTGTGAGGAGGCTGGGGACACACCAGCTCCTGATTCTTGGCCACCATGAAACCACAGGCCAGGCTCAGGTGGGGCCTTGACCCCAGGCCTCAGTTTCCTCATGGGACACTTGTGAGGATTTAACAGATTAATACAGGAAAAACTCTGGGAGCAGGGTCAGGCCAGAGGGAGTGGACAGGAACTATCAGGTATGGTTCTTAGCTTTTTTCTTTTGAGATGGAGTGTTGCTCTGTCTCCCAGGCTGGAGTGCAGTGGCGCGATCCTGATCCACTGCAACCTCTACCTCCCGGGCTCAAGCAATTCTCCCTCTCACCTCAGCCTTCTGAGTAGCTGGGACTAGAGACATCCGCCACCATGCCCATGCCTGGCAAATTTTCACACCTTTAGCAGAGACGGGGTTTCACCATGTTGGCCAGGCTGGTCTCAAACTCCAAACTCAAGTGATCTGTCCACCTTAGCCTCACAAAGTGTTGGGATTACAGGCATGAGCCACCGTGCCCAGCCAGTTCTTAGCATTTCTGTAAGCACAGAATGGGAGGATGTCTGTAAAGGGCTTAGCTGGGGTTGATTGAACACTTAACATGAAACAGGTGTGGATTAGTGCATTTAATCCCCACCACATCCCCACGAGGTGGGCTATCCTCAACTGGGCTCAGATGTACAGATGGGGAAGCTGAGGCCTGGAGGGGCAGGGTGACTTGGCCATGCCCCAGCTGACATGAAGGTCAGTCTGGCTTTGGCTACCTCCCCTTCCTACGTTCACAAGGGTAACTGCTTAGGCCTCTGTACCAAGACCCCCAGGAGCCACGTTGGCACCGACTCTGATCCAGATCCCTCTGCTTCACAGGAACTGGTTGAGTGGGTGCTGGAAGAGGTGGCCCAGAGGTCCCATGCTGTGGGATCCCCAGGCAGCCCCCTCATTCTGGAGGTGGGCTGCGGATCAGGAGCCATCTCCCTCAGCCTGCTGAGCCAGCTCCCCCAGGTGAGCCCCTCCACCCACTCTGGATAGACTGTGACTGACACTCACTGTCCCTCCCATTAGTGCTTCCCCCACATCCCTCTGCTAGGAGCGCTTGAGGGGAAGCAGCTGGATGAGGGAGGACAGGGCTGCCCCTAGCCCACTGTGGTTCACAGACTCTAACGCCTACCACATCTATCTGGCTAGACTTTGGCCAAGAAGAAAAGGCTGTTGGGTATTTCCCTTCTCTTCTGGTGGGGGGTTGGAGGAGGGTCCCCCAGGCCCAGTATCTTCCAGCATCTCTCAGCATTGCCTTCCACATATCCTCTGTTTGTTCTTGGGACAGAGCCGAGTCATTGCTGTGGATAAGCGGGAAGCTGCTATCTCTCTGACCCATGAGAATGCTCAGAGGTAGGTGGGGGAGTTGCACTTTGGGGCCTAATCTTGACTCCTTTTCAGGTTTCAAACTCACCAATGTCTGATTTCTACTCCCAAGAAGGAGGAAGCAGTGGGGTAGCCTGGCATGGGTCCCATGGGGTTCTGAATGGGTAGTGGGCAGTGAGTATCTTGCCAGTCCAAGAAGGGTTGACTATAAGACCTCATTCTTGTAGTGAAGGGTAGGGGTCTGCCCCCGTGCCTACCCCTTTCTCCCTGTCTGTGTAGGCTTCGGTTGCAGGACAGGATTTGGATCATCCACCTCGACATGACCTCAGGTACCCTCCCCTGCATGTTCCTTGAGAGAGGGAGACTAGATGCAGGTGCTGCTGGGTGGATGAGGCACTCCGTGGAGATGGAGGGAGAGCTCCCCCAACAGCCACACAGCCACACACAACACACACACATACACGTGTGTGTGTGCACGTTTGTGGCAGCTCAAACGAAGCCTTGGCTGAGGACAGACAAGGTGCTTTTGCCTCCTAGGCTGACCTGACCCATAAGGGACCAGCCACAGAGAACTTCCGAATTCCTCACAACCAATGAGTTAAGGGCTTGCTTGTTGGCAACAGATAAGCAAAAGCTTAAAATAATGCCTTCAGGACCAAAATACTTGAGTGCCCCTTTCCCCCTGCCTGGCAGGGGAAGTGGTCCAGGCACTGCACAGCTCAGCTATAGCCTTTACAGTGTCTCCAGGCCTCCAACTCCAGTTCTGGCTCCATTGCCTTACCCGTGGGATCCTTGAGCCTCAGTGCCCCCTCCATGGAATGTGATATACTTGGTGTAGCACCTGGCACAGGGTGAAACCAGTAGTCAGAGCCATCAGGAATTGGCTGATGAGGCCAGGCCTACCCTCCATGTACTCTCAGTCCATGTTGGCTATAAGGCTAGTGGAGCTACAGAAGAGAAAGGCTCTTTTCTGCCTAGGCAATCAGGGAGGACGCCCTGGAAGTGGCACTTGAACAGAGTCTTGCATAATAAGGAGGATTTTTGGCAAGGACACTCTATGCCTTGAAATGAGGGGCTGCCATGTTAAAGCATGCACATTCCCCACCAGGCTGCCAGCTGGGGACCCTGGGCACTAATTTGCAGGTCTGGCTTATCAGATCCAGAGGCAGGCCCAAGGTGTGGCATGGTGAGAGGGACATGGTGGCAGGTGGAGCTATCATCCTTTACCTCCCAATGGGTTAGTCCCTACTGTGTGTCCTCTTCTTTGACGACAGAAAGGAGCTGGACACACCTGCCCTGGGGCCCCATGGACCTGATTGTCAGCAACCCTCCCTACGTCTTCCACCAGGACATGGAGCAGCTGGCCCCTGAGATCCGCAGGTGCTAAGCAGGGTGGGCCAGGGAGGCCAGGCCTGAAAAGGCCTGATGGGATTAGTCTGCCCTCGAGGACCACACCATCTGGAGGGACAGGGGAGTTGGTGCTGAAATGGGCAATGGTGTTAAGTTGACGCACTCGAGAGCCCACAGTCCTACCTAGATTCAGCTTCTACCTTCCTACTTCCTTACTTCCTACTAAAACTACTGGACAGCCACCGAACCTCTCTGGACCTGTTTCCTGCCTCTAGAAAAAGAGAGGTAGTGCTCTGCAGGGCCACGGGAGGACTCAGTGACGACTTGAAAGCATCAAACACAGTGGAGGGCTCATACAGGGTGCTCAGTAGATGGGCGCATCATTTTATAGAATACTGAGGCCCAGAGAGGGAAGGTGTCTTGTCTGTGGTCGCATGGGGGCTCAGTGGGAAAGCCGGGACTAAAAGCTGGCCCCAGGCTAGCTTTGTGCCAGGCCATCCTGCTCTTACACAGGGGCTGAGAACCAGGGGCAGCCCAGGAGTCCTGGATGGGGCAGCAGTCATGTTGGATGGGGCTGGGGTGTTGGCTCTCCCTTTCTGGGCTCTCAGGAGTGGTCAGGGCTAGCCCCAGATCTCCCAGACCAAGAAGAGGAGCAGCCTGTGGGGAGACACTCATGCCCTGACATGAGTCAGTGCATCAAGAGAGGCCATCAGCCAGTGGGATTCAGCAAGCATGCCTGGCGCTGCCTGGTAGGGTGCTGCCCATGGGAGGAAGAGAAGAGGAGCTGCCACCCATTTGGGGCCCTCCTTCTCTGGGTCCTCAGATTTGCCCTTCAGCCCAGAGTGTAAGTTCCACAGGGCCCCATTCATGGAGGCCTTGCCCATGCCCTCCATGCATTTCAGATACCCCTTTCTCAGGCTGTCACCTCCCACTGCTTTGCCTTTCAGCTATGAAGACCCCGCGGCCCTGGATGGTGGGGAGGAGGGCATGGACATCATTACCCACATTCTGGCCTTGGCACCCCGGCTCCTGAAAGACTCTGGGTATGAATGGGATGGGTCTCCTAGGTCTGTCCCCAGCAGGCTCCTCTGCTCCTAATGTGTACTGGGCAGGCCCTGGCAGAGGTCAGCACAGGACCCTCACCTCGCCAGCCCAAGCAGCCCAGAAGGGCAGGCGCCAGACCTGTCCTGCTGAGCCCACCCATTTCTCCCCCATGTAGTAGTATCTTCTTAGAAGTGGACCCAAGGCACCCGGAGCTTGTCAGCAGCTGGCTTCAGAGCCGGCCTGACCTGTACCTTAATCTTGTGGCTGTGCGCAGGGACTTCTGTGGGAGGTAAGATCCTAGCCCCCTTTAGCCCTGTAGCATGCTGGTCTTTCCACTGGGGCCATCCTCAGCCCTGGCTGTCAGGAGAGTGTGCTGTTCCCACTTCCTGTTCATTCCCTGAGGCCCAGGTGGTAACCAGCCCCTGTCCCTGTCTCCTCAGGCCCCGGTTCCTGCATATCCGGAGGTCTGGGCCATAGCATGGCTGCCCTGTGGATGCCTTGTCAGTGCCGCCAGCCTGACCAGAGGGGAGGTGGATGGCACTTTCCAGAGCCCAGGTTCTTATGGCATTTCCCAGGGTTCTGTGATTTCCCCATGCTCTGCATTTCTAGGATATTTCTAGGACACCTGGATTGGCTCCATCACATCAGAGTGGCTGAGGGCAGTTGCTCTGTGTTGGTGAAATTGCTGTGGGGGTATCGGGGGATATGGCCAGTAAAGTATTGAGAGACTAACAAATGGTGACCTAATGTTTTGTCCATGACTTGCAGGTCCCCTGACCCCCTTACTCCCAGGTAGCACTGGGGCAAGGGTTTCCTTCTGCCCCAGCAGGGCTGGCCGTCAGTCCCCTGCTTGGTAGTGGTGTGGGGGTGCAGTGTGGAGGAAGGCACGTGAGTCCTCACTCCTGGCCTTGGATACCATGGGTCCTGGCATAGAGCAGCTCACTCCCAGGGATTGATTAGTCCTCCACTGCCCTGGGTGCATGCGTACACAATTCCCTGGCCAAGCCTGGCTCGAGCACAGGAAGCTCATCTGCGTTTTGGCTCAAGGATGACTGCCTGCTTTCTGGAGGGGAGGGTCTGGAGGTCTTTGCTGCACAGTTCCTGGGTCGCACATCCACGTTCATTTAACTGAAGGCTTGAGCCAGTGAGGGGTGTTTCCTTTTTATCCCCATAGCTTTTAGCTAAAACATCCCTCCCGAGTTGACCCCCTGGGGTTTCAAATAACCCATGTGTCCCTGGTTGGGGCTGGGGAGAGTGAGAAGCTGAGATACTGGGCACAGGGTTGTGGCCTCCACCCCAGCTCTGGTCTGTGCAGACTCATGGCCACCAGGAGGCCTGCAGATCCAGCCTTCCTGTCAACAGCGACAGGAAATCTCTAGGTTGGTGAGTGCTGGTGATGTGAGCCTACATCAGGGTGGGTCCTAAGAAACATGGCAAACCAGGCTGTCTCATTCCACTAGACTGCCCCCTGCCACCCTGGCACTTCCCAGGGCCTGGCAGTATGGTCTGATGGGCAGTATGGTCCAATAGGCAGCATCCTCTGCTGCAGCTGGGAGAGCTGAGTTCCAGGGCTGTGTCCTGCAGTGGGACCTTGGGCAACTCCTTTCCCTATGAGAAGCTGGCTCTTCTGAGTCCAGGGCCAACGCCAACTGGCAACCTCTTTACTCTTAGTCAAGTGGAATGTGCATGCTGGCATCTGAATGTCCATTCGCCAGGCATGGAGAGCAAGAGAAGGTATGTACTGCCTGAGGTCACATGACAGTGACCAAGTGGAGACAGTAAGTTAGATCCCTCCCTTTGGGGAGCCTATATTGCTGGAGTCATACCCAGCCTAAGTGTTGCCCTGCACTATGGCTGGAGGACACATTTGGTAGAGGTCACACTGCAGCTCCCAGTGCCCCAGTGTCCTGCCCTGTGCCCAGCCCCAGCTGCATGGACTCTGAGCTGCCCCTGGCTTCCTTTAAGGAGGCTGCTCCAGAAGGAACCTGGGTGGGGAGGGCGAAGGGGGTGCACAACCAGGGCAAGGCTCCCCACTTCCTTAGTCCCCCATGCTCACAGACCTTTGCCTGCTAAGGTCCTCACCAGTATTGCCCTTTCTGTCTTTCTCCTTGTGCCCTTTGGCTCTTGCTGTCTTCAGCAGCATCTCAGGGTAGCTGCCCTGACCTCGGAGCAGTCTGTCGCCCCCCTACACCTCAGCCAGTCCTGGCTTCCCTGATGGTCTCTCCCTCCTGGCCTCAGGCCCATTCCTGAGGAAGGGCCTTGGCGAGCTTGTGGATGTTGCACCAGAAGAGAGTGCAGTGTTGGAGAGTGACACTGTCGGGGCAGCTGGGGCCACAAGCAGGAGCCGGCCTCGGGCACAACTTTCTGCCCAGAAAAATGTGCAGCTTGACTCTGCTGAGGAAAAGGTCCAAGCCAAGAGGACTGGCAGGCGGGGCCTCAAGCCTGCAGCCACTGGCTTGATTGGGCCCTGGACGTTGAGCCCAGATGTTGGAGCCACACCAGCCTGGATTTCAATCCCAGAATCTGCCCCTCACGAGGATGTGACCTTGGGCAGATGACTTCACCTCACTCAGCCTTGGCTTCTAAGGCTGAGAAATGGGACTTAATGCTTTATTTTATAGGATGCATGTGAGGAGCCCATGGGATGTGCCTGGCTTGGCACATTGTGGCATTTTTCCTTGCCTTCCTCGGAGGGCAGACACAGGGAGGAAGGACCCAGTGCCCTCAGGCGTCCATCTGATGCATGGGACCAACATAAGGCAGGCAGGGATACAAGGCAGTCTGGAAAGAAGGGAAGGCAGGAGTTTCAGTCTTGGGCTCTTGACTCCTCACTGTTGTCTAGAGATGGAGCCAGCAGGCTGGTAGCCTGGCAGCCTACATCTCCCCTCAGCCTCTCCTCACTATGGCCCCAGTGCCTTGAGGCCCAGGCCAGGGCAGCCAGTGGCTCTAGCTCAGGGAAAGCCAGGCCCACCTGCCCTATCCCCTCCCTTGCTCCTGAGGCCAAAGCCAGAGACTCGAACAGCCTCCCCACCACCACCAGCATATGTCAAGGAGCACTTGCAGGCAGAATGGGAGGAGGACATGGAGCTGATGGAGTCCAGGCTGTGCAAGCCCCTGAGGTCTTGAGAGATGTGCCCACTGCCCGTGCAGCCTCCTTCAGCCAGAGCCCAGAGCATAGACAGGAGTGTAGGAGTCCCTGTTTGATGTACTCTGGGAGAGTAATTCTATCTCCTCTTCTGATAGTTGGGGAAACTGAGGCCTTGTCTCACAGTTGGATGCTTTTCCCAGTTGTCAGTGGGTTTCTCCATGGGTCTCATACAGCTGCCTTATTGAAATAGGCCCCGAACCCCCTAAATGCAAAAAATACTCTTTTTTGCTCCTTTACCCCCACCTGGACCCTGGGCTATTGGCTGCTCCCAATCCTTGCCCCAAACACTTAGCTGGCTCCCCATGACTTAAGTGTGTTCTCTTGTGTCCTATGGAATCCAGTTCTGAAGAGGTGGGGGAGGACAACTGTGGGAAAAGCCCTGGGGGCCCCTCCCAAGGCCCCATCAGTGCTCTGAGTAGGCTGTCATCAGAACAAAGGGCTCCACTGCTGACAAGGTTTGAGAACTGCTGGCTTGAGGTGAGAACCCCTTTAACCTCTGCGGGACAGCATGTCTTTCCCTATCCACCTTCGATTCTTTTCTCTTTTTTTTCTTCATTGGCTCCTTCTTAGTGGATTCTCTTCTCTACTGCCCTGGGCTTCAGCCTTTGTGCAGTACTCTCGATGCCCTGAACACACACCTTCCCTTTGCCCAGGCGGTGCAAACAATCCACTTCTTCAAGCTCCAACACAAATGCTGCCTCCTTTAGGATGCCTGCTCTGTGCTCTCCCTGCCTCCCCTAGCCCATACCTCTGCTGGCACCTTCTGTACCATGCCTTCAGAAACCTTCTTATCCCCCTCATCTCTGGGGCCCCCTGTGGATCTGGCATACCCAAGTTCAGTAAATGTCTATCAGTAAGCTGATGGTACATGCATTTTCTAGAATAGAGCTGGGACTTCCCATGTGGCCCACATCTGACCTGGCAGCCCATGTATTCCGGTCATTAGGGATGGGAAGCCATGAGGACCTGGCCTTCTGCCCGACCCAGGCAGCCATTCAAGTTGAGCAATGGCCACTTCGAAGACTCAAGTGCACCTGATCCCTGCGCAACAGCCACACCAGGAGAACAGGCTGTCCTTGGCGGCAGTAGGAGCAGGCGCCAGGTTTCCTGGAGCTCTTGGCTTCAGCCAGCCCCCAGCCAGAGTCCTGGCTAGGACAGTGACCTGATCTCCTCCTCATGACCTTCTGCCCTGGACAAGCCCCCTGAACTGGATTTGGGACTGTCAAAGCAACTCTACCCCTGCTCTGGTAGGCTGAACAGTGACCCCCCAAAATGGCAGTGTCTTAATCACCTAAACCTTAACATGTGACTATATTACCTTCACATAGCAAAATGGACTTTGCAGATGTGATTAAGGATCTTGAGATGGAAGGAGTATCCTGGATTTTTCAGGTAAACTGAGTATAATCACAAGGGCCTCTGTAAAGGAGGCAGGAGTGTCAGAGTGACGGAAGAAAATGTATGTAACAATGGAAGCAGAGGTCAGAGTGATGCAATTGCTGGAGGAAGAGCCATGAGCCGAGGAATGCAGACAGCCTCTTCTCCTCTGGGGCCTCAAGAAGAATGCAGTCCTGCCAATACCTTGATTTTAAGCCCTGTGAAACTGATTTCAGATTGCTGACCTCCAGAACAGTAAGATCATAAATTTGTGTTGTTTTCACATGTGTGAAAACACATGTGTGATAATTTGTTACAGCAGCCACGGGAAACGAATATAGATTGTGGTGCCCAAATTAGAGTGCTGCTGTAACACACGCCTACTGATTGAAGTGGCTTTGGAATTGCAACGTGGAAATGGGCAGAGGCTGGAAGAATTTTGAGAGTCATGATAAATTGCCTTAACCACCTCTCTTCTGATAGGTGATGTGGCCAGGGGAACTCTTCCTCAACCTTCAGACCTAAACTGCCCAGGCCCCCCCTTTTTTTACTCATATTTGGAGAGAGGTGGCCCTTTCCCAGAGTGAGAAGACTGAAAGACTGACCAGCATGGGTCCCAGAAGGGAGTGGGTGAGGAATGGGACTGGGATGTGGGGAGAAAGTGCAAGGCTGGCCTCCATGGCCCATCTCCAGAGACTGGGTCCAGAGAGGACCTCAGAGACTGGGACCAAGCCTGTTCCTGCTCTCCTGTGGAGTTATGTGACTGGCCCAGGACCCCTTGGGTGTGTGAGGATGAGCAGGGGCCCTGTACTCTCTGGGTTGCAGGTACTGCATCTGTGAAATGAGCACAGCAGCCCCTGACTTTGAGCTAATGGGCCTGGCCCCTCCATGTAAGCCATAGGCCTGAGCAGAGCTGTGTCACCATTCTGTTCCTATGGTGGAGTGGGGCTATCCCTGGGGTTCTCAACCTCCTGGTTCCTAAAACTGAATTGGCCAACTGGTGCCCTCAGCCCTGTCCCTGTCCAAGCTGGGACTAGGACCTCCCTTTCCAGGGGTACTAAAGGACTCTGGAGACACCATCCCACCCAGCCAAGGCTTGGGGCTCCTGAAGCCAGTCCTAACCCAGGAGCCACATGGAGAGCTACTGGGAGGCCAGACATGGGCCTCATGCTGGGTTTCAGAGCTGAGAAGCTGGGGGACAGAGAGCATGGACACCTGGGTTCAAGGGTCAGCTTGGCCCCAAATCACCTGGATACGCTTTGGATGAAGCCAGGAGGGCCTGTTTATACTGGAAGGGGTGGATCATGGCAAGACTTATATTCAATCCCTGATCTTTTTTCCCAGAGAGGGATGGGGCTTACTTGAAGTAACACAGCACTTGACTCCTGACTCCCAGTATGATGCTCTCATCTCCTATTGCTTCCAAAGGCCTGGGGTTAGTTAATTAAGTCAATTAGGTGGTGCTCATATGGCTGTCCATGTAGCTACTAAACCCAGGGATTCTGGCCCATAAAGCCCTCTGGGCCAGGTTTATGGGCAGGTAAGAGTCACATTAGGCCAACTGTAGCCCTGGGTGTGCAGACAGATCTGAGTCCCATCTGAAGCTCTGGTAGCTGTGGGAGGAGAGCAGGATTTCCCCCGCTTGCGGAATGAGTGGGTGCCTTCCCCTCTGAGGTAATTGGCTGTACAGCCCCCAGCCTCTGCCCCCCAGGGCCCTCCTGAGGTGTCTGGAAGGACCTTTGGGATCTTTGGCCTCATAACCAGAAATCAGAAGCTTCAAATTCTAGAGGCCCCTTTTCTTCCAAAGACTACCTCTCACACATACAGCAGTCCTGCAGGAAAATGGTCAGGAAAGGCTAATTTTACAGCTCACAAAGTGGGAAAGGCAGGGAAGCCTACCTCAGCTTCATGGAAAGCCCTGAACTGGGCTGACCTCCACCTGCCCCAGCTATGCCTAAAGGGGGAGGGTGAGACAGCTTAGAGTAGCCATGCCCCGTGGCAGGCAGGCCTGGCTAAGTGGCCCCCTTCCCAGGGGCTGGGGTCTTCCCCAAACACTCTACCTCTCAGAGCAGAGGATGTCACCTTATTGCTCCCTCTTGTACTAGGTCTGCGGCCCTCTTCTGGGGCATGTGGCTGGGGAAATGGTGGGATCAGATATCCCCTACTGAGCCCAGGGAGCAGATTGTTGGTGCCTGAAGCGCTCACAGAGATCCCTGTGGTACAGATGAGGAAACTGAGGCTTAGCAGGACAGGAGCAGGGCTGGGGCACGAGCCAGGTCTCTTCTCTGGCTCACAGCTGCCAGTCCTTCCTTTGCCACCTGAAGACCCCCCACCCCACCTGGCTTTCCAGGAACAGGCCTGCCTGCCTGGAGAGGCGTCCAAGTCCCTCTGCTGTTCCTGGAAGTCAGTGTGAGGCTGAGCTACGTGACCAAGCAAAGCAAACTAGGACTACAGGTGTGAACAACCCTGCCTGGCTAATTTTTAATTTTTTTTTTTTTTTAGAAACGGGGTCTTGCTATGTTGCCAGGGCTGGCACATGGGGTTTTTAGTTGTCCCCACATTACAAAGTTGAGGACACCAAGGCTCAGCAGGGTGCAGTTGCAGGTCAGGTTGCATAGCTGGACAGGAAGGGAGGATGAGGCTGCCATTGGTGTCCATTTGACTATCAGAGACGCTGAGGCCAGCATAACTAGGTCCTGGGCTGTCCCCTGCAGAGCTTAGCGCAGAAGTTACCTGGGCTTGTGGACCCTTGGAGCAGGAGCAAGGGTTTCCAGGGCTGTCCCTAGAGGGCTTTCTAGAAGACCTGCAGCTGCTCCTGGGTGCATCTCCTGAGGTATAGGGCCAGGGCCTCAGTCTCTCAAGACCTACTTTGTGTCAGGCACCAGGGAGATGATACCAAGTGGAGGGTCCTATAGAATATGGTGCATCCTGCGCCAAGTACTTCCAGGATTATCTTACTCAACCTTCATGACATCCTCAGAGATGGAGGCTGTGAACCCTCTCGTTATACTGACGAAGAAACAAACTGGGGCTAAGAAACTTGCTCATAGGCTGGCTGAGCTGTGATTCTGGCATAGGCTGAGTGACCTGGAGCTGGAGGCCTTAGTCATCACACCAGGCTTGAGGAGGGGCGGATAGGACAGGAATATACCAGGCAGTAGGGACAGTCTGGACAAAAGCCTGGAGTTCTGCAGACATGCGGGTAGGGATATGTAGGGGTGAGGTGGTGCCGAGAGGTCCCCTTGGCTGAGCTCTGAATGCATTTCTGGGGACCAGGGGCCTAAAGAGCTTTTTGAGCTGAGTTACAGGGTTAGAGAAGCATTGAGGCTGCTCTTTCTGGCTGCCAGGAAAAAGGGGCTGGGGCAGGAGGCTGCAACTTGTCCAGGGTCTGGAGGTGGCTGGGGTCTGTAGCAGTGGCATCAGATATTCTGGAACAGAACTGACTCACAACCATTGCTGAGGGTTTGGATGTGAGATGGCCAGGACCACAGTGGGCCCAGGGATCTGATTGGGACCTGGGGGAAATGGGGCCACCCTGAGTTGGAGACTGGGGTGCTGGGGGGAACAGTCGGGGAGCTTGACAGTGTAGGATGCCTTCAGAATATCCGAGAAGCAGCATTGGGGCGTCTGGAGATGCAAATGTGACCATGTGGGGACACAGTCCAAAGGCAACCCTTGAGGTAGAGTTGTGAAGACCACTCTCCTAGACCTGAGTGCTGGCGACAACAGTACCGGGCATCTGCAGTGTGTAAACTAGTGCCAGGTGCTGCACACACGTGGTCATAAATCCATCTGTTGGCACATCAGGGATCCCTTCCTTGGCCCACTGTATGGATGAAGGGACTGAGGCTTAACATGCCCAAGGTCACACAGCCAGCAGCTGGCCATGCTGGAGTTTGAACCTAGTCCTCTGACATCCCAGTCAGGAGAGGCGTGAGCAGGCTGCCGAGGCCAAATGCAGCCCAGGGCCTCAACCCCCCAGAGGGGCCTCAGGAGCCAGTTAGGTGCCCCACAGCCAACGTGGGCTCCAGGGTGAAGGGGAAAGTGATGAATCAAACAGAAAGCAGCAGACGCAGACTGAGCTCTCTCCCTGTCGGCCCGGGTGCCAGATTTTCACGCCCACAGCAAAGGGGCCAGGCAGAGCGCTAGGTGTGGGGCAGGAGAGGGCAGCGAAAGTGGCTGCCACTGAACCCAGACTCTGATGTACTCCGGATATGGGTGGCGTGGACTGACAGACACCCAGCCCAGTTCCAGACTGAAAGTTGAGTCTGTCTCAGCATGTGAGGATATGAAGTTTGCCTTGTCATGGGGAGCATTTCAGGTCCCTAGGCCTGTGAGGTTCTGGGATGAGGCACCAGATGGATGTGTCTAAAAACCCTTGTTGAAGGCACTCCACAGCTCAATAACTGACCATTGCTCACTACTCTCTTGGCCCGCACTGAAAGCCACTGTTTCTTCATCATTTCACTCAGCCCGCCTGTCTCAGCCCCCCAGAACTTTGGAGCTCATTCTTTCAAAGTACATTTCATGTGCAACTGAAATACATATTTTTAAAAAGATAAAATGAGCATCTAGTTAGCAAAAATGTATTTTGCAAGTGCAAATTCTTTCTTAGCATACAGTCCATCAGGGCGAAGAGCAATGAACACAAATGTTTGAACTGGGGGCTGGGATGGTAGTTGTAGTCTTATGTTGGTCTCAATGTCCATTTTCTTTCAGTGTTTGATTTTGGTAGCACAGGACAAAGTGACCGCTGATTCTCACAGATAATTGTTTACAAATGCTAGCACTGTGTCTGAAGCCCACCTTGCAGTCTCTTTGATTGACAGGGACAGCAAGAGAAGCCTTATCTCAAGCTCAGCACAAACCCTGTTCTCTGAGCACATAGGAAGGATTCTAATGTGTCATAATTTGGTGCTGTGCCCATTTGAGTCTGTGTGTGGTTTTTAAAATTGGGTTTTTTTTTTTTCAATAATTAAAAATATGAGCTGGGCATGGTGGCACATGCCTGTGGTCCCACCTACTCGGGAGGCTGAGGCAGGAGGATTACTTGAGCACAAGAGTTTAAGACAGCAGTGAGCTATAATAGCGCCACTGCACTCCAGCCTGGACATCAGAGTCAGACCCTGTCTCTAAAAAAATAATTTTAGGCCGGGCGCGGTGGCTCACGCCTGTAATCCCAGCACTCTGGGAGGCTGAGGCAGGCAGATCACCTGAGGTCAGGAGTTCGAGGCCAGCTTGGCCAACATGGTGAAAATCCGTCTGTACTAAAAATACAAAAATTAGCCGGGTGTGGTGGCTCACGCCTGTAATCCCAGCTACTTGAGAGGCTGAGGCAGGAGAATCGCTTGAAACCGAGAGGCAGATGTTGCAGTGAGCCAAGATCACGCCATTGTACTCCCACCCAGGCAACAAGAGCAAAACTCTGTCTCAAAAATAATAATAATAGGCCAGGCGCAGTAGCTCACGTTTGTAATCCCAGCACTTTGGGAGGCCAAGGATCACAAGGTTAGGAGTTCAAGACCAGCCTGGCCAACACAGTGAAACCCCGTCTACTAAAAATACAAAAATTAGCTGGGTGTGGTGGTGGACACCTGTAATCCCAGCTACTCGGGAGGCTGAAGCAGGAGAATTGCTTGAACCCGGGAGGCAGAGATTGCAGTGAGCCAAGATCATGCCACTGCACTCCAGCCTGGGCGACAGAGCTAGACTCC
Source organism: Homo sapiens (assembly GCF_000001405.40). Lineage (NCBI taxonomy): Eukaryota > Metazoa > Chordata > Mammalia > Primates > Hominidae > Homo > Homo sapiens. The sequence continues at coordinate 50,590,180 of NC_000003.12, forward strand.
ATCTCAAAAAAAAAAATTTAAAAATAATAATTTTAAAAAAATGTTTTAAAAATGAAAGAAAAGGAAGAAGGGAGGAGGAAGCCAGAAAGAAAGGGGCCGTGCAGGGTGGCTCACACTTGTAATCCCAGCACTTTGGGAGGCTGAAGCAGGCAGATCACCCGAGCTCAGGAGTTCAAGACCAGCCTGGCCAACATGGTGAAACCCTGTCTCTACTAAAAATACAAAAATTAGCTGGGCATGGTGGCTCATGCCTGTAATTCCAGCTACTCGGGAGGCTGAGGCAGGAGAATCGCTTGAACCCGGAAGGCGGAGGTTGCAGTGAGCTGAGATCACCTCACTACCCTCTAGCGTGGGCGACAGCAAGACTGTTTCAAAAAAAAAAAAGAGGAAGAGTGAAAGGATGGACGAAAGGAACTCCTGTGGGGTGGGGCATCTGGGGCACTTGATGCCCCACGTGACCATTCCCTTCCCGGAGGTCTGCCCCAACTGCTCCAGCCCCCATAGCCTGAGGCTCCCGGCACCTCCCACCCAGCATCTGTCACAGCAAATCAATCTGGGCCACATGCTCCTGAAAGGTCCTTGGGAGCCCCACCAGGCTCCAGTGTGGTTGCCCCAAGTACTCCATGAGTAGACATGGGCTAGGGACTTACCCAGGCCCTTGGTGGTGCCTCCAAGGGTGGAAAGACTGGGGGACCCTGTGCCCCTGAAAGCCCAGAGTTTCACTGTTTCTGGGTACCTTCATTTCTGGGAACTAACTGTGCTTTGGAAAGAGAGAAATGAGAAGCAAAACCCTAGGGCCCCAGTATCACCCCTCCTTTCTGTCTTCCTTCCGCTTAGTCACAGCCAAGAGCTCAGTACCTCAGCCTCCCTTAGGGCCACTAGGTGGGGCAGAATACAAGGTCAGGCGAGGACACAGCATCTGGGACGAGTCCTTTCCTGCCAACAGCCTCCGTGAGGGGTCCTAGGATTGCTGAGGGCTGAGACCACCTTCCCAAAGTTGGGGAAGGGGTAACTGAGGCTGTCATCTGGCCTGTCTCACCTGTCTTACCTGCAGGCCCATCATTCCTGCACAGTCATTTATTAGGCACCAACTGTAAGCCAGGCCCAGGAGGTTGGATGGTTCAGGTGGGGCCCTGGCCTTGCAGAACTCATGGACTTGCACATAGACTCCTCCTGACAGGCCCCTCATGAGTAGCTGGGTCCTTACGATTTTTCTGGTCAGCAGTGGGGAGCCGTGGGAGGCATTAGGCTCTGGGGAAGCCAAGCAACATCACATGTACACAGCATAGAGACTCACACACCCTTGCACAGGCACCCACACGTACGTGTATGTTCATGGGCGTGGGCCTTGAGCACCGGGTCCCGTGAGCCACTGCACCTGGCCAACTGGGTCCATGTCCATAATCATAGGTGTCCACGCAGGGCCTCCCTTGGATGGGGGAGCTCCAGGCTCTGGAAACCAAGCCAGGGTTGCATGCATGCACGTGTGTGTGTGTGTGTGTGTGTGTGTGTGTGTGTTTGTGTGTGTGTGGTGTTACTCTGCCTCAGAGGCCCAACCACTGCCTCCAAGTCATGGGAGCGCAGAGCCCATGTAAGCTCAAACACTGCCCCATGTCATAGAAAAGAGGGCCAAAGATGGGGCTGGGCGTGGTGGCTCACTCCTGTAATCCTAGCACTTTGGGAGGCTGAGTCGGGTGGATCACGAGGTCAGGAGATCGAGACCATCCTGACTAACACGGTGAAACCCTGTCTCTACTAAAAATACAAAAAAATTAGCTGGGCGTAGTGGCGGGTGCCTATAATCCCAGCTACTCAGGAGGCTGAGGCAGGAGAATGGCCTGAACCCGGGAGGCGGAGCTTGCCGTGAGCGGAGATTGCACCACTGCACTCCAGCCTGGACGACAGAGTGAGACTCCGCATCAGAAAAAAAAAAAAAAGAAAGAAAAGAGAGCCAAAGCTCAGAGAGGGCCCATGACTTGCCCAGTGTCACACAGCAAGGTGAGGCAGGTCTGGGAGGGAAATGAACCAGACCTTATCCACATCCCTGACCTTTTTGGCTTCATGCTTGGAGCTTGGCACCCCCTGAGAACCACACTCCGTTGACCTCTGGGAAATGGAGGCTGGTGATTCTCCCAGCAAACCCGCCTGGGAACTAACCACAGGCTCCTCCCAGCTTTCACTAACCAACCCCAGGATTTCCAATACCGGTGCTTTGCTTAGCTGTACTGGGCACCTGGAACTCATTCTCCCTGCCACCCTCCCTCCCTGATTCCTTGAATAAAATTCAGCCTTCCAAATTTTACTCAAATGCTTCTACTTTCTCTGACCCTCTGGAACTTTCCCCTGTTGCCAGCCTCCCTCCAGCATCTGTCCCCTCATTCCCACCTCCTGTTTACTTCCCTACAAAAGCCAAAAATTGACCCCTAGAGCCTGAGACTCTGGATGGAGGATCTTCGTAGCTGGGGCCACACCCAGGCCAGCCCAGCCCTTCAGACTCTGCCAGTCACAGTGGGGTGGGCCCTGGAGCTGGAAGAGGAAACAGAGCCTCTGCCAGAGTCACCACCTGCCCCCAACCCTACTTCTCCTCCGAAGGCCCAACAAGGTCCTGTGCGCCCTCCAAGGGCAGAGGAGGCTGCTGGCTGTGGCTGTGGGAGGAGACCTGGAGCACTGTGCCCGAGGCAAAGCTGGCCCCGTGGAGTTTGCTATTCCAGCTTTTATTTACTCCTCTGTACCCTGAGCACCATCAACTGGGTGCCAGGCCTGTGCCTATATTTGGCAGGGTGAGGGGTGGGGGCCAGACAAATTGTAGAGGAGCCTCAGGTCTTTGGGGTGTTGCCCCTCCACTACATGGCCCCAGACCAAGTTCTCTGCCAGTTTGCAGAGCTCTTCCCTTCCACTTGGTCTTGAGGAGGGGCCAGAGAGGCTGCCTTTACCCCATGAGCTCTGAACCCTCTCACTATCTGGCTGTCCCCTCATTCTCTCACCACCCACTCCCACTCCCGATGGGAGCCTCAGGCCTGGCTTAGGAACCCTGCCCACAGCTGTACTAATGCCCTTGGCTTTGCTATAGGGAAAGAACACAGCCACTCCACACTCTGGGACAGCCAGCTTGCGTCCATCCCCTAGTGCAGAGGGCTAGTTTAGGGAAGGACATTAGGACCCTGACTGTGCACCTGACTCAGGGGCCCCGGAGAAGATTTGGTGGGCTAAGGGTGGGCAGGAGAATACAACTCACAGCCAAGCGGAAGGTGGCTTTCAGCTCCCCCCTTCTCATTTTTTCTTACTGTGGCTGCACCAGGGCTGTGCCCCTCATGGAAGGTTCACTTTCCTGCTTATCTAGTCTCAGATGTTACAGTTTTTCTTGTTATGTATTATACAGAGAGATGGCCTAACTGGTTCTTGCTGCTGCATGGGCAAGCCATTAATTTACAGGGGTTTATCTTATAACTGGACACCTTTTTGTTTTCTCTTACAAGATGTGCTTGTTGTTGCTTCTCTTGGATTTTCTACATTGACATTTTACCACTGAAAATAATGACAATGACAAATTTGTCTTTTCCTTTCTTTCTTTTTTTTTTTTTTGAGACAAAGTGCCACTCTGTTGCCCAGACTGGAGTGCAGTGGCGCGATCTCCCAGGTTCAAGCGATTCTCTTGGCTCAGCCTCCCGAGTAGCTGGGATTACAGGCGTCCACCACCATGCCAGGCTAATTTTTTTTTTGTATTTTCAGTAGAGACGGGGTTTTGCCATGTTGGCCAGGCTGGTCTCGAACTCCTGACCTCAAGTGATCTGCCACCTCGGCCTCCCAAAATGCTGGGATTACAGGCCTGAGCCACCACACCCGGCCTGTCTTTTCCTTTTTAATACTTATGGCTCTTATTTATTTTCCTTGTTTAATAGCTTGGCTGAGACCTTCAATACAATATTGAAAAACTGTAACGACTAGAGCATTTGTATATTGTTTCTCACTTGGGGTGCCTCTGGTCCCTCCCTGTCAAGTGCACTTGCTATTGATTTTGGATAGATGGCCCTTTTCTACTTAAAAATGGTTCAGTCTAGTTCTGGCTGACTCTGATTTTTTGTTTATTTTAGAGGCTTTTTTTTTCATCTTTCATTCATGCAACAGACCTTCAGTGAGCTGATTGCCAGGACTACACTGTCATACTGTGGTACCAAAGAAAAATTGACACGGTCCCTACTCATAAGGAGTTCATGGCCTGGTGGAGGATACAGGCAGGCAAATAGATCCTTATCCTTAGGCCATGGGGCATGCATTCAGTCACCATCTGCTGGCACTGTGCCAGGCACAAGGAATGGGCACTATTCAGGCAGGCCCCCATCACAGTCTGGTGGGGTCCAAGCAGTTCACATCCCCTCTCACTCAAGTTCCCACAGAGTAGTTGCAATGGTGAGCTGAGGTTTTCTCTGCTGCAGAGGCCAGGTGGGTAAGTAACCAAAAGTGCCTGAGAGCTAATCCCCTGGAGCAGCCTGAAACCAAGGAAGACAGAGAGTTGGTAGACACATGCCCAGCTCCCTCACCCCTTGGGTGGGACAACCGTGGCTTGTGTTTTCTGCCAGCTCCCAACTGAAGACTGAGCCTCAGTTGCCTACAGAAGGAACCCACTCATAAACCCACCTACCTCCTTTGGCTTCCTTTCCTTCCCTGTCTCACCCCCTCTCCCATTTTATATCAATAAGTGTGAAGGCTGAGATTTTATCCGACTTTCTTTTTTTTTTTTTGAGACAGAGTCTCATTCTGTTGCCAGGCTGGAGTGCAGTGGCGTGATCTTGGCTTACTGCAACCTCTGCCTCCCAGGTTCAAACGATTCTCCTGCCTCAGGCTCCCGAGTACTGGGACTACAGGTGCGCACCACCACACCCAGCTATTTTGTATTTTTAGTAGAAACAGGGTTTCACCATGTTGGCCAGGATGGTCTCAATCTCTTGACCTCATGGTCTGCCCACCTCGGCCTCCCAAAGTGCTGGGATTACAGGAGTGAGCCACCGCGCCCGGCTTATCCGACTTTGAAGCAAACAAGTTAGTCTATCATAGTCTATCATATTCTCAAGGATCATGGCAGAAGGCACAGAACTCTGGGTTCAGAAACAGACAACAGATTATTGTTTACAGTAACGGCAGTAGACAGAGTAAAAGCATTTTCTTGCACCACTTCCCTGAACCGCAGTTCCTACAGAGTGATGTGATGATGGCCCGGTGATGCCTGCATATGCATTGGGTTGCACTACGGTGGAGAAACTGCATGCTGAATTTAGGGGACCCACGTCTTTTATAATAAGCTGCAAGCAAACCTGCCCAGGTGGGAGATGTTATCTTTAGTATACGGGACAATAAAATCTGCCTTTTGCTCTGGAGGGAGATACTACCTCTATCTTCTAAGGTTACTCACTATAATAATCACCCTTGTAAAGATTATTTAGAACAAGGGCAACCAGTGCCTCTACTGGCAAGTGTGCAGAAATAGGAGAGAACCATGGGGAATTGTCTCTCAATACCTTACTGGTGCTTCTTGGCATTACTTCCCAAATAATCTATTTGCATTTGGATGCTTGTCTCAGAGTGGTTTCTGCAGGAAAAAACCCAAGATAGAGAGACAACACTATATAGGCATCGATGTATTTCTGGGGTGACTCTCTTTCCTCCAGACCTCTCCTGCAAACAACGCAGGGGAGCCACGCAAAGGAAGAGGTTTCCACACCTGGGATTGATACTGCTGGGACTCCAGGGCAGGTGCTCTAAAGGACTCTTAGAATTTCATTTTTAATGTTTAATATTTGGTCCATCTAGAATTTATGGTGGAAGGTGTGAGGTAGACGTTGCACTTTTTTTTCCTTCCAAATTGCTCCAATATCACTTACTGGAAATTGTGCTTTGTCTGTTACCACTCTCTTCTAATCTGCCTGTGGCCTGTTCCTTAGAGTGTATCACAAACATACAAGTGATCAATTTCCAATAAATTGATTAAAGAATTCATGTGCATTCCCATTTTGTCAAACCACTGATTTGACACTCAGTGCTGATGCAGTGTGAGACAAACCCAAACACCCACTGTCATGATAGCACCGTTCAGGTTCTAGGGCAATGCATGGAGGTTGTGCTTTTGCTAACTGCAGAGCAAACACTACTTCAGCCTTCACAGAGAATTTAACTGTGAATAGTGAAGATTTCTTTTCTTCTCTCTGTTTCTTTTTGAGAAGAGTTTTGCTCTGTCACCCAGGCTGGAGTGTAGTGGCACAATCATGGCTCACTGCAGCCTCGAAATCCTGGGCTTAAGTGATCCTTTGGCCTCAGCCTCCCAAGTAGCTGAACTACAGACATGCACTGCCATGTGTGGCTAATTTTTAAAATATTTTTTGTAGAGAAAGGGTCTCACTATGTTGCCCAGATTGGTCTCAAACTCATGGACTCAAGCGATCCTCCCACTTTGGCCTCCCAAAGTGCTGGGATTACAAGTGTGAGCCACCACACTCTGCTAAGATTTCTTTTCATAAAAACATTTAGCAATATTTAATAACAATTTCAAAAAGTTAAGTAAAATTTTAGTTTTAAATCTTAATTTAAATTTTAATACAAGTATAACTTATAGTTTGTTTTGCCTCAATTTTACTAAGTGATTTTGATTATTTTAAAAATAACTTTTTAGGCTGGGTGTGGTGGCTAACGCCTGTAATCTCAGCACTTTGGGAGGCTGAAATGGGTGGATCGCTTGAGCTCAGGAGTTCAAGACCAGCCTGAGCAATGTGGTGAAACCCTATCTCTATAAAAAATACAAAAATTAGCCAGGTGTGCTGGTGGGTGCCTGTCGTCCCAGCTACTTGGGGAGGCCGAGGTGGGAGGATCCCTTGAGCCCAGGAGTTTGAGGTGTCACTGAGCTATGATCACACCACTGCGCTCTAGCCTGGGTGACACAGCAAGACCCCCCCGCCAAAAAAAATAATTAAAATTAAGGCCAGGCACAGTGGCTTACATCTGAAGTCCCAGCGCATTGAGAAGCTGAGGCAGGAGAATCCCTTGAGCCCAGGAGTTTGAGAGTAGCCTGGGAAACATGGCAAAACTCCATCTGTACAAAAAATACAAAAAAATTAGTGGAGTGTGGTGGCACACATCTGTAGTACCAGCTACTTGGGAGGCTAAGGTGGGAGGATCACTTAAGCCCAGGAGGTCAAGGCTACAGAGAGCCAAGATTACACCACTGCACTTCAGCCTGGGCAAAAGAGTGAGACCCTGTCTCAAAAAATAATAATAATAATTAAATTAATTTTAAAATAACAATAACTTTTTGGACTATATCATCTTTTGAAATTTTGACATATCTCATTTAATTTAACATATTTTTGTGTTCTTTGAATGTAATATTTTATTTCATTATTTAATTAATTAATTTATTTTTTTGAGATGGAGTTTCACTCTTGTCACCCAGGCTGGAGTGCAATGGTGTGGATCTCGGCTCACTGCAACCTCTGCCTCCTGGGTTCAAGAAATTCTCCTGCCTCAGCCTCCCAAGTAGCTGGGATTACAGGTGTGTGCCACCATGCCTGGCTAATTTTTGTATTTTTAGTAGAGATGAGGTTTCACCATGTTGGCCAGGCTGGTCTTGAACTCCTGACCTCAGGTGATCCACCTGCCTTGGCCTCCCAAAGTGCTGGGATTACAGGTGTGAGCCACCACACCTGGCCAATATTTTATTTTAGTCTTTTTAAAAATTATTATTTTTTTTATAGACAGGGTCTTGCTCTGTTGCCCAGTCTGGAGTACAGTAGTATAGTCATAGCTTACTGTAAACTTGAACTCCTGCCTCAAGCAATCCTGTCACTTTGGTTTCTCAAAGCTCTGGGATTACATGTGTGAGCCACCATGCCCAGCCTTATTTTAATCTTTTTAATCATTACTATGAAAAGAACAGTAATAGTGTAGAAGTCTTGACTGTAACAACATAATCAATCATTTTACTAGACTAAAGACGAGGAGAATCAATGTTACAGAATAAATACAGAATATCTTAGGCATCAGGCAAGTCTTCATTCTCTCACTTAAACCTCAGGTCACTGAACACCTGGACATGAGTGATAATTACTAAGTTTCATCATTTTGGATATCTGCTGACTTTCAGATATATAAAAACTGTAGATTTACAGATGTTTTTACTCCTATGAAAGCTTATTTGTTCAGTAGGAGGATAGAACACATTTCATTAGCAGCTTGATTTATGGTTGTTTAATATTTAGATTCTGGTATGTGAGCCTCCACTTGTCCTTTTGCCTGGAGCACTGCAAACATCAAGGCCTATGCTCCAGTGTGCCCACAGGTACTTCTTGCTGCAATAGAGACCAGAGAAAGAGCTCTTCTGGGGCTCATGTCTCCATGGGCTCATGGTGAAGTGGGAGCTGGAGGGGTGAGTTGGGATCCAGGGGAAGACTCCGAGGAGAAACAAAAATCACCAAGTCTACACATTTCCTCCTTACAACGATTCCATAAGGCAAGTGATAACATTGTCCCCAAAGTAGAGGTGGAGGCCCGGTGCAGTGGCTCACGCCTGTAATCCCAGTGCTTTGGGAGGCCGAGGGAGGAGAATTGCTTGAGCCCAGGAGTTCAGACCAGCCTGGGCAACATGGTGAAACTAGATCTGTACAAAAAATTAGTGGGGTGTGGTGGCACACACCTGTAGTCTCAGCTACTTGGGAGACTGAGGTGGGAGGATCGCTTGAGCTCAGGAGGTAGAGGCTGCAGTGAGCCGAGATTGTGCCACTGGACTCCAGCCTGGGCAACAGGGTGAGACCCTGTCTCAAAACCAAACCAAACCAAACACCAAAAACAGAGTGGGAAACTGAGGCTCAGAGTGGGTTCATGACTTGCTCAAGTCACGATGCAGGATACCTAGCTCTAGAACCACCTGCAGCAGGGCACCGGTGTCCCCTGCAAACCCATAGCTCTTTTCACTCAGGTCACGTGGGTCCCAGGTCAACTTCATCCACAGCAGGTTCTTTCCAGCCACAGCCAGCCTGACCTGGGTGCAGGCATCAAGGCCTCTAAGTGACAGAGAATGCAGCACTCCCACCCACTGCCAGCTGCCCCAGGTAGCTTCTGAGAACTGGCCACTGCAGAGTACAAGCACAGCAATGACCTGTGTCCTTGGGCTGCCCCACTGCCCTCCTACAGGGGAGGGAGGACCTCTCTGCCATAGCCCCACCTCACAGCTGCCACCCACCCACTGGGTCCTAGCCCTTCTTAACGCCAGCATTGTCCCCATCTTCTCTGTGACATTGGGGTGGATGGGTAGCACGCTTGGCGCTGTGCTCAGTGAGGGCCAAGGAGTGACCTGAGGGTGGGAGGAGAGAGGCAAGTTCTTGCCGACACCCCGTCCAGCCTTGGCCAGGGGAGGTTCTCCATTCTGAAGGTAAAGGGGTCATGAGTGGTTAAAAGGTTGTCCTAGTGCCTCCCAGCTATGTGACCCTGACCTGCTCACTCAGCACCCTCAGCCATACTTCCAGGCCCCTGCTCTAACAATGCTGCTCCTGGGATCCTGTGATGGGAACACTCATGGCCATTCCCTTGAAATGTGGCCAGACTTCAACCCAGTCCCAGACAGTTGTCAGTGCCCACTCACTGCAGCCTCTCCTCTGCATTCTCCAGGCTATTTTCCAAAAGGCCAGATGCATGTCCTGGGTGGCTTGATGCTGAAGCTGGGGCCTGGGCCCCCTGCTGTGGGACAGGGAAGTGTGGGTGAGACAAGGCTGTCCTGAAGGAGTGACTAGAGCCAGAGGCTGCCCACCAGCAAAGGGGGCTCAGTGAGCAGGGCCTGGCACTGCTGACCCCACCTTGTTTTCCCTCCTACTCTCCCTTGGTGCTTCACACCCCCGGCTGCTCACTGGCCTAGGCAGGACACTCCTGTCTAACCTCCTGCTTTCACTGTGGACCCACACCCACACGCTGCCTCCATAGGTACACATGCCCTTTTTTTCTCTACTAACACCTGTTTCTCGTCGTCCACTCTGCCAGGCTGGACACCGGGCACTTCAGAGGTCATGCCAGATCCAGCACCGGGATGGAGGAGTCTAAGGAGGCACCTGCAGTCAGGGAGGGCTTCCTGGAGGCAGAGACCGAAGCTAAGGGCTCAGTACCCTCTCCCCCCACTTACCCCAGGTCACTGGCTGTCCTCTGAGCCTCACTCCCTGGAAGGGCCAGCAGGTTCCAGGAAGTGTCCCCTCGCCCTGCAGTGCTGGTTCCAAGAACTGCAGCTCTTGGCAGCATTTGCTTAGGATCCTTTCCTAGAACTTGAGACCTGCTCTGCCCAGACTGCTGGGGTCTCAGAGGGCAGCCAGTGGGGGTAGTGGGGGAAGGGGGTGCACTGGGAGGTGCCTCTGCAGGTAGAACATTCCATGGACCAAACATTGGGAGGTGGGCCTAGGCTGTCAGCCGGGAGTGGTTGGCCACACTAGGGTGGTCAACACCTCCAACAGGAGGTCGGTGAAATGCAGGTGCTTTGACTGCAGTCAACCATGGGGTGCGGGCCCATGAGTTCTCCCTGCACAAGAAGGAGGCTCATTCCCTTGGTCCAGAACTTCCACCAGCTTGCCACATGCCACCCTCCACCCCCCGACTCTACTCCCCCCACTAGCCTGGCACCAGGGTCCCATCCCATAGAGAATCAGCACAGGCCTTACCCTCAGAATAGGCCCTCATCAGATAACCTCCAGAGGACAGGCCAGGGTGCAGGACAGGCAGGTTCTGAGCAGGGAAGGGGGATGGGATCGTCTTGGGGCCCTTGGAAGGCCATGACACTTGTGTTATTAATCCTGTTATAATTTTACCTTTCCTGGTTAGAACTGAATAAATTACCCCACCTCACACCCCCCAGCAAAGTTGGGTCGGGTGAATGAGGGACAGGCCCTGGTAAGTGGTCAAGGACAGGGCCCTACTTCCCTCAAGGTCACCAGGCCTCCCCCTGGGGCGTGTCCTCCACCCGCCACTTCTGAGCTGGCACCAGGCCTGCCCAGCCGCCTGGGACCTGCCAGATCACGTTGAGCAACCAGTTCCTGAGAAGCGTTGAAGGCAGTGTGGTTTAAAATTAACTCCCCCGCTCCCCCTCCCGCCTGCGGCCTCCTCTGAGTTCTTGGAAGCGGCGCTCTGCTCTTCCTGGGAAGAGGCCTCCAGCCCCAGCTGCTGCAATTCTGGCGAAAACACCTCACCCAGGCTGGGGGTGGGGGGTGCCCACGCCAGGCCTTCTCTGCCCTACACAAGGCCCAGGGATCCTCTGGAAGCTAGCACCCACCCTAGTTACTCACTGAGACCCAGAAGAGAAAGGGGGTGATTGTCAAGGTGCTGGGAGGAGGTGCTCCTGCCCCCAAAGCCCACAGCTCCCAACCAGGCACCTCTGGGTAGGAGAGAAAGTGAATTGATCCCACAACAGCAAACCCAGGACCCTGGCCTACTTTGAGCCATATATGTCCTGGCGAGATGCAGCAACTTCCTAGGGCCACCCAGCTTTGCCTGCCCTTATAAGCTCAGCTTGCCCACTAGGTGCCAGGCTGATGGTGCTGATCTGGCAAGGATGCCCGGGAGCACGCCCCCGCAGGCATGCACACACCTGGGTTAACAGTGATCTCTGCCAGGATCTCTCCTTTTCTCTCACCCACACCCCTCAAACTGCCCTTGGAACACCTCTCCTCCTGGTTAAGCCTCATTTTCTCATGTCTCGTGGGCTCCGTGTCCCTGGGGCTTTGGGGGAAATGTTTCCTGAGAACCTACTCTCCCAGCAGCTCCTCCTCCCACAGCCATCCACTGGAAGGAGCTGAGAAAAACAAAGGAATGTTGGCCAAGTGGAAAGGTCAGCACAAGCATGCGTGCGCGCGTGCGCGCGCACACACACACACACACACACACACACACACACACACACACACACACACACACACACACAAGTGATGTCACTGATGTGGGGCTGGTGGGGGTGGGAGCAGTGAAGTGCTTCCTGGGAGGAGGCTGAGGGCTGAGAGGCACTTTGAAGAACAGAGCTTTGGCCCAGTCTGGACTATGAGTGCAATCCCCACCTCTGGTGGAGGAGCCCAGCTCTGGTGACAGGAAGGGCCCCATCTGGCTCATGGGTGCTGGGTGTGGGGAGAGTCCCTGGAGCAGGACTCTGCCTGAGGAGCATTTGCTGGATACCACCCTCCCCACCAGGCATGTCATCAGGGCATCATCGGTGCCAGCGCAAGCATCTCACTAGTAGGGTCTGTGTGGGTGAGACAGTCCTGGAGGGCTGCCTGGAGGAGTCATGGCAATCCTAGGTTCCCATAGCCCTCAGAGGCCCTGCCTGTTTTAATGAGGCCCGGGCCATGGAAGCAACTCTCTTTCCACTGAGCAGGAAGCTTTGACCACATCAGAAAAGCTCCCCTTCCCTGGGCCTGCTGTGTCTCCTCCTGCTCAGAGATGAGCATCGGTTTCCATTCACTCCCCATTCCCCAGCATCCAGGCCCAGCCACTCTCCAACCACTCTGAGGTCTGCATTCTGACCAAAATCAAACCTCCAGGGACCTCCTCTAGCTTGAGTCTCAGACGTGGGAACTCCAGCCTGCTGCCCCAGAGTGACTCTTGGAGTGACCCCTTGGGTGGTCCACGGGAGCCAGGGAGGGATAGGGAGGACACATCCACCATGAGAGGCTGTTGAATTTCCGGCAAAGCTCAAGTCTACTTTATCTTAAAACTGGTCTAGCAGGTTGGTGTCAAAGGCTGCCCAGGCTTGCACAGGGCCTACTTCTCCTGGAGGAAGAGGGCCTTTATGAGAGCTGGAGAAGTCTGGGATGTCCTATGCACAGACCCTGAGTCTTCCTGCCTTCGTAGTCAGGCCTCTAGGCCTTTAGGCCCCCGGCCCCTCGCCTTCCACTTCACTGTGGGCAACCGTGCAGGACGGGAGGGTCCCCATCTGAGAGTGAGGTGGGCCTAGTCATGGACCCCAGCCCCACTCAGCTGTGTGTCCAGCCTTGGCCAGGAGAGATTTGCTCAGTCAGTAGATTAAAAGTCCAGCCTAGGTGCAGGGACCTAGTGAGATGTACACACTGGCACCAATGATACCCCAGTGGTATGTCTGGAAGGGGGGTGGTATCCAGCAAACACTCCTTGGGGGCAACAAGAAATACCTAGATGGCTTAGCAGCATTTCTGTCCGAAGGTTGTTCCAGAGGGAGGCTTGTGAATCCAGGGAGGGACGCCACACAGGATCAATCTCCAAACCCATTTCCCACCTGGAGGCAGAATCCTCTAGGGCCCAGCCCCCAGACCCCCTCCTCCAGAAAGCCCTCCTGAATCTCCCCATCCTCCTGCATGCCTTCTGAACCTGTGGGTGCCTAGGCTTTAGCAAGCCAGACCCTTGGAGGCAGAATAGAGCAGTGGTTATTCCAAACAATGTCTGGAATCAGGATGTGAACTCTGGCTCTGCCTCTCACCACCCCTCTCTGAGGCCTTCCCTCTTCAGCTGTAGATGAGGACAACCTCTGCTAGTGGGGTAGGAACCCAACCCAGAGTCACAGAGTTGCTGCCCTCACCTCTTTCTGCCCCCGCTCCCACACTCTACCCTCCAGATCCTTCTTTCTGGCCTCTTGCCTCCAGGCCCTCATGAGTACAGATACCTCCCTTAGAAATGAGGGTCAGATCACAGCACTCCCCTGCTAGGCTCTGAAGAGGTGCTTTGCCATCCTCAAATAAAATCCACCTGCTTCCTTTGCCCTTCCCACCCCTCCTGGGCAGCCATTCTGGGCTCTAGGTCTCTGCCTCAGGGCCACTGCACTTGTAGTTCCTTTCACCTGGGACATCCCTTCTGCAAGTTGTCTGCATGGCCAGCTCCTGCTCATTGCCTGGGTCTCCAGGCTCAGTGCCACCCAAAGCTGCAGAGCTATCCCCAACGCCCTCCCAGCTGCAGGGTGTCCCCATTCCCAAAGTTACTCTTCCCACCCCCACTGCTTTTCTTTCTTTACACTCTCAAAGCTTGTCCTATGCACCCATTTGTTCACTAGTTCACTCTCTGTCTCTCCCGCTAGCCCACGAGCCCAATGAGTATGGGGACCGTGTCTGTCTTGTTCCCTGCTGTCTCCAGGACCTAGATGGAGTCTGGCCCAGTTGGTGCCTTTGGAGCACATGTGCTGGTGGAGGACTTAATGATAAAGTGTGACCTTCGTTACTGTTTGTATGTTGTGCAGGGTCCTTGCACCCACCAGAAGGCTCATCCCTTTGTTCCTGGCTAGTGTCAACATGTGTGCCCCTTTTACTAGGCCAGGACCACACAGTGGTGATCACGTTGGCCAGAGGATCTTCAGCATCTGTTAGGCTGAGTCTCTGATTGGGGTCTGGGCAGGCATCATTCACTGCCCTGGCAGGGAAACAAGAAAAGAAGATGGAACCTGGAACCTGTTGGGGGTCAGAAGTAGCTGGCAGCCCCTCCCCAGACAGGAGCCGGGCCCTGGCTTGAGCTGAGGCCAGGGTGAAGAGAACAGGACCTTGGTGGCCAGGCCAGTGGCCAAGAGCTCTCAGCAGGCAGGGATACCAGGAGATAGAAAACAGCATCCAAGAGCAACTTGCCTGGAAGCCACCATCCCTGTCCTCCCCATCTCATGTAGTAATCCGGGGGACAAAAGGTCAGTCAGGACCCCCCAGGGTTAGCTCTGCCCTGAGCCCCACTTGTTGAGTGGCCGTGGTCAGCCCCTTCCCTGCTCTGAGCCTCGGTTTCCTCATCTGTGTAGCGTGGGTAATATTTGGACTTCACTCCCAAAGTTGTGGTGAGTGCTACATGAGGTGCAAGCCCTCGCCCCATGCCCAGCACCTGGCAGGCACCTTGAGACATTTCTCTCTGTGTACAAAGCAGTTTTCTGTGCTTCCTCTAGCCACAGCAGCTTTCTGTCCAGGCTGCAGCACCAGGTGAGGAACAGCTTGACACTGGCCCCTCTGTATCCACTACCCATCCGCTAGGTGACTCAAATCTAGGGGTGAAGCAGACAGAGGGGTTACCTCAGGCATTCTGGAAGCAATGAAGCAGCTGAAATTCAGACTGAAGGAATGAGGAACTGTAAATACCCCTGGCTGGGTCATGGTGACCTGGAGGAAGCGTGCCATCTGGCCCTACAGACAGCCAAGCGCTCAGGCCGCCGCCAGTAACAGGGAAGGCACGTGGCTGGCCACCTGGGTCTGGGCACCACATCCAGGAAAGACAGCCCTCCCTCCATCACCCACCTCTTGCTCACTCTCACCTAACGTCAGACCTATTCTTTGCCATGACTGCCTCCATGTCCCCAGGGTCCTGTGTGAACTCCATGGTTCTTGCTGTCTATCCTCGTCCTTACCCCTCCCTGTAATCAGCCTGTCACTCCTCACCCCTCCTTGCTCTCAACCTGCCAACAAGTGTCTCTTCTACTCTAAGACTTCTAATTGCTTGAGGGCTAAGACAACAGGAAGGTTAGGATTGTTTCCAGAATAAAGGTTAGAAAGCTTTAGAGAAGCTTTCCTGTGGGGCCCTCAAGCAAAGGTGCGGAAAACTTCGGGACACAGGAAGATCTCAACAGATAGTGTTCCAAAGTCAGACTGTCCGGTAATGGAGGGTGTTTTCATTGAAATTGCTCTTCCACACACTTTTGGTGTGCTGAACCCTGAGAGAGAAGAAAGGATCCCCCAATCCCAACCAGTCTGGACTAGAACCCGGACACCTCCGCCCCAGGTCAGACTCTGCCAGCTCACTGGCCCCTACCCCGATTCAATTGCCCTGCCCCACTGCACAGAGCAAGCCCTCTTCAGTTCTGTGTGTCAGGAACACGTGCCTCCCAGTCATGCCTTGGTGCCTTTGCACTCACTGTACCTTCTTCCTGGGAGAACCAGCCCTGACTTCTCTGACTACTAGTTTCCTCATCTCAAGACACTGACCCCAGGAGTAGTCCACAGCTCTCTCTCCCTGGGTATTCTCCACTTGCGATTTGGAGTTGGCATTTCTTGTTTACACATCTCTCAGGGCTGATGCACCTCTGCCACCCTCCCCCGAGCCCTCGCCTGGCAGTGGCCAGGGCAGTCACCCTGCAGGCAGTCTAACTGGCCTTTGTCTCCTAGCTCCCATTTCCCAAGGGGACCCAGGGGAGATGAGAGGAGAGGCTGCTCCCTGTCTCCTCCACTCCTTAATGAGTCCCCAGCAGGGACTGCTCAGCCACATAGAATTTCTGGGCCTCTCCGCTAGCCCAAATATCAAATGGGGGCTAATGATAACAAGATCAAAGGGGACACACTGTGTACACAACTGAAAATCGGCCCCATTGAGGGCTCTGTACATGAAAGGTATCATTTTATTATAGAGGTAATAAAATAAAGAGGTAATAAAGGTATAATGTCATTACAGAAAAATCAGTGGAAGAGAAAAGACCACCAAACTGTTCTTTGCTATAATTATTATTTCATGAAGTCTTATCAGACGTGTATTTCTCTCCTCTCATGTGCAGGCACCTTCCTGGGCAGGAAGCAGACCTAGCAGAACTGCAGTGGCGGCCCTCAAACCAGCACCCCCTCTTCCTGACAGCACAGGCACTCCCCCCGGGGCCTGCGCCACAGTGAGACCAGCTCTATGCAGATACAGCTCTGTCCTGTGAGGGGGTGAGACACAGGCTCTGCTGGGGACTGAGGCTCCGGCTGCATTTTCTTACCTATTGTAGTTGTCCATCCTCCCCAAATATGGCTGGGGGCAGAAGAGAGTGGACACATTCACAGACGGGTGGGTCAGTACCAGGACATCCAGGATTGCCTTGGTTCCAGCAAGATGTCTCAGGATGGGCTTTCCACAGGGAAGAACCAGAGAAGCCAGGGCAGAGTTGGGGTCTCTGGACTACCAGGGCTCAGGGCATAGAGGTGGGGTTGGCTCGCCCCTGACACCAACCCCAAGGAGAATAAATAAATAAATAGTGTATAATTGTGCAGTCCCCTAGCCTGGCTTACCCCTCAACAAGGGGTCACTAGTCACTGTCGATCTCAGTTCCTCTGCATGTCATCCTCCCAGAAACAGAGGCTGGCTGCCAGTAGGGGTCCTACCCGACCCTGGGGATTGAAAAACCAGGGCTGAGAGTGCCCATACAGTTCAGGTGGCCAGGGCAGGCAAGCGAGTGGAGGTCTGGGCCCAGCCCACAGGTGAGACAAGGTCCTGCCTGTCTCCCCATCCTCTGACACATGGCTCAGTATAATGAAGCCACATGCGGCCTGGGGGCATTTACCTCCAAGTTGTGTGACACCTCCCCTCTCCCATGCCTTGCTCTTGCTGGCTCTTCCTGGGCCAGCTGCCAGAGGTATGCAGGCACCAGGATGCCTGGAGGAGGGACAGTGGGGGCCCAAGTCCAGCTGGGGCTGATGTCCCCTCCAGGGTGCGACTGGGTGAGGGTGGGCAGATTGCCCCGTACAGTCAGAGCTGGAAGGGGTACTGTCGGAGGTAGTCGGCCATGCGCCGGGGCAGTGGCAGGCAGTCCACGTCGGCCACCAGACGGTTGATGACAAGGCGGCACAGGTGTTGCAGGCTGCGGGCACTGCTTCTGCGTACAAAGGGCTGCACCAGTTTTAGGTGTACAGCAGTGGCTGGTGGAGGAGCAGGCAGTGCTGGGTCACTAGGCGCATCCTCCTTAGGCATAGGCAGGGCCGGGGTGGGAGCAGGATCGGGGCTGTCGCTTCGGGTATCAGCAGTGCAGGAGGCCACATAGTGCTGCACAAGGCTGACCACATCCGGAAAGGCCAGGATGCGTGGCCTGGACAAGCAGTTGGAGTCCAGACGGAAGCTGGAGTCGGCATACTCAATGCGTACATTGGTGGGGCCACGAGTGGTTTTCACTGACAGCGTGAACAGGTAGCTGGGGTGCGTGCTGTCACGTACTAAGAACGTGCCTTCTGGCATCTTCTGCAGGTGTTGTCGGGCCTCGCTGGCCGTAATGGAACCCCAATACCAGCCTAGGCAAGTGCAGAGGGGGCCAAGGGACATAGTGGAAATTAGCTGGGGTAACCAATCCAGTGCAAGTCAAGGCAGTGCCTCCAGCTTCACGCTTCCCTAGAGAGGGCTGTGCCTCTCCCATCAGACTCTCCTGGGCCGGGCTATGCCTCCCAAATCAGACTCAAAGGCAGAACTAAGCTTCTCCCACCAGACTACTCAGGAAAAGGCCTGCCTCCCCCCTCAGACTCACCAGATTCCCGAAGGTAGGAGAAGGTCTTGGCTATGCACAGCAGATCCTCCTCTGGGTCCAGCACCTTTGGCTCACTCTCTGTCTGGGCTGGGGTACCCTCTGCCACCTCCTCGAGGAAGGCCCCAGCAGGCAAGGGCTGCATGACTGGCTTGGGCAGTTCCAGGGACGGGGCCCACAGGGGCCGCTGCCCAGTCCGCTCCACAGCCAGCAAAGGACGAGGTCTAGAAGGCAGTGGATGAGCAGTGAGTGGAGGACCCATGCTTCCCCCATCTCCAGAGACCCCCCTATGCCCCAGACTAGTTTCATGACCTCTGGCTGGCCCATCTCACTATGAGCCTCAGCTTCCCCTCTACCCAGCCATGGGCTCAGTTAGTCCAGTATCTCGTTCCCCACTTGTCATCACAAAAGCCACCTTGATTGTTTCCATGTGGGGATCCTCTTTTGAAAGATTCTTTTCCACTGCCCTGCATTTACTAAACAGTAATTAATTGCTCTCTATTTTATATCAACCAAAAACACAGATCATTCCCTATAGGCATGTCTAATGTTCTCACCACACTGATAGGATTCAGTGCAAAGTAGCTTCATGTTTGTGCCCTCCTGGCTGAAGTGGGCTGATTAAATGGCCCACTGATGAATGGTCCTAGTTGAGATAGATCTACGACAGACAAGTAGATTTATCCTATGATAGATCTGTGTGGGGTCCTCCAGAGAAGCCCCAGGATTATGGTAGGCTGCCTGAGGTCACACGCTACCTCCCCATGGATAGGAGTGTCTCTCAGAGGGACCTAGGTCCACACTGGCCAGGACTTAGAGACTGAAATAATCCCCTACCCATACAAGTCAGCCTATCCTGGCCTCTGCTTCTCCCAGTGGAGGGTCTGGGGTGGACAGTGGCCTCTAAAGGCACTGGCAAGTCTCACCTCCTGTCAGTATGAGCTCCCACCAAGGGCAGGGACCTAATCCACACTCCAGTTCCCACCCTGGCAAGCCAGCCCTACCAGGCTCTACGATCTTGTACAAAGCTTGCTCTTCACTGGGCTTCAGTTTCCCTTTTCCGCAATAAAGGGTCCCACCAACCCATGCACTGAGAGGTTCAGTAACACCATATTCTTGGATGGCTGGGGTTGGGGGAACTGAGCCGACCAAAATCTGAGTAGCAGCTTTCTCCTAGGGGAAGCCCACCCAGCAGGGTGATACTAGGGCTTCCTCCTTGGGAGGGCAGCAGGGACTGGCTCTACTTCCCCAGGAAGACAGCTGCTCCTCCCTCACTCCTTGCAAAATACATCTCCAAGCCTTAGTTCTGGGTCTAGTCCCTGGCTGGGCCTCAGGACACCGCCATAATGAAACCATGGCCTTGCCCTCAAGGAGAACCAGACTGGCTGGGGAAGATGACACTAAGAGTAATTATAATGCAAAGTCATAAAACTGCAGGTGTCACGGGGGAGTCAGGGTCTGCTTGCTCCTGAGCTGTGTCTTCCAGGCCAAAGGAAGGAGCTGGGGGAAGGGACCCCAGGTAGAGAGGACAGCATGGGCAAACAGCGCCAGTATTGCTTGTGAGGCAGGAAGGCGCAGGCAGGAGCTGGTGGCAGGAGCCAGACCTGACTCCTGTGTAGGTTATAGGTGACCCTCTAGGTTCTAACAAATCATGGCCCTATGACCACTCACAGTGAGAAAGGGCCACACAACTCTGGCACACCACAGCCTGACAAAAACTTTTCCACACCTACCCTGGCTGTACTGTGGGATCTTGGAAATCCCTCTTGGAGAGCTGGAGGCCAAATTTTGAGATGACCTGCTTGCTGGGGCCCAGAGCTACCTTCCCAGGAGCATGGTTGGTGGCTAGCCAGTCAGGCTGGAACCTCTGTGGGTGGCCACGTCCAGATAGCTTAGCCGGTCCTCAGATCCCACATGTAGGTGTGGGCACCTTTGGGGCTGATGTGGTAGCTGGGTGTATGAATAGCTGTGTTGATCACCACAAGCTCCTGGTGAGTGTGTACCTGGGCAGGGGTGTGTCCATGGCTGTGTCATCATCATGGTGGGGACAGTGGCTGGTGTGTTCTAGGTACATGTGTGTGCCCGCTTTGGAGCGCAGCAGTCTAAAACTTTGTTCCCTGACACCCAACAGTAGCCCTGAGCTTACAAGGGGGTGCTCACCTAGGGTAAAAAGTGAAAGAGGCTATGGGACCCCGGAATGCAGGGGGAGGCTCCTGGGGTGGAAGGCAGTGGTGGGGCAGGTATTCAGGAGTCCCAGAATGCAGACAGGAGGAAGGAACTTGCTGGAGACAGCAAGGGAGAAGTAGTCTTCCCAGCACCTCCATGTCCTCTTCCTTGGCCTCACCTTCCACCCTCCCTCACTTGGCACCAGGCCAGTTGCGATAAGCACAGCCACCCAGTCCTCCCTGAGTGCAGAACACCCATTTATACCTTCTTCCTCTCTCCTTGGAGCTTCCTGAGCTCCTGTCACATCACCATGGCCAGCATCAGACCCTTTGGTTGAAGGGGTTGCTGAGGTTCAGGACAGAGTGGATGGCCAGGAATGCTCAGCTCAGGTCAAGACTCTGTCTTATCAGCATCCCCTCTCCACTGTCCCTTACCTCAAGTCTGGGAAATTTGAAGATGAGAGGCAGGAGCCAAGGTCCTTCTCACATTGGGATCCCAGACTGGGCTGAGACAGGGTTGTGAGACGATTGTGGGGGTACCCCAAGCAGGACCAGGCCAAACCCAGGGCCTCCCGAGAGTTGCAGACCATCAGGTGCCAGCCTGAGGAAAGGCAAGGATCTGCGGCTGGCTTCCCAAGAAGAGCCTACTTGCTAGCCTGGGGCAGGAGAGGGGACACCAGGACAGAGGGGGCCAGGGGCTGGTCCAAGGTTACTAGCAGGCAGGGCAGCAGGCAGGCTAGCGTAGAGTGCTCTGGGCCCAGAAGAATATCTGGGATTGTTGGCCACATCTTGGGGGACGCCGTGCCGTTAGCATCCATCTGCTCCAATGAGAACCCAGGCTGAGCCCACCCTGTGAGTTCCTCCTTTAGCCGGCCAGCCCCCGGTTTCCCAATCCACAGTGGGAATTGAGGTAAGTGTGTGGGGGCGGGGAGTGGGAGTGTCACAGCCCCACACAGAGCCTTGCTCCTGAGGTCCGTCTGCGCTCAGTCACCTCTGGCCCGTCAAGCCCTCCCAATGCCCGGCAGCTAGCACGAAGCCCCTGTTCTCCCGTGCGCCCCTCGTGGTGGCCGGGAAGGGGGCAGAGAGCCGCGCTTACCCCTGAACGCAGAGGACCATGTCCCCGCGGCAGCGGCGACTCCGGAGTGGGGACTCGGCTGGACGGCGGCGGCTGGAGGGAACCAGTGGGCGCGGAGCGCGTGCTGGGTAGGCTCCCGGGGCGCGCGGGCGCAGGACAGGGACTGAGAGGCAGTGGCGCGGACCGCCTGCGAGGGCGAGGGGGGCGGGCCAGACGAGCGGGGCGGGGCGAGCTGCTGCCTAATCCTTTGTCTGCCGCGTTCCAGCCCTTCCCGGAAGCAGCGTCTTCCTAGAACCGCGGGCTGAGCGGTGGGGCCCGGGCGGGGTGCGCGGGCCCCGTCGCCGGGTCTGGGGCCCTGAGCAGTGAAAGGAAATACTTTGACAGATTTCCAAGAACTTTCCAGGAAAACGGGGCGGGGCCCCGCGAGCTGACCAATCGCGACGCTGAAGGTGGAGCCGAGCGGTCGGGGAGGGCCAATAGCAGCGCGTGGACCCGGGGCTGAAGCTACCCAGAGGGGCAGGTCGGAGAGATCAGTGGGGAAAGACCGGGTCGGGGAAGTTAAGGAGGGGCCCGGGCTCAGCAACCCGCGCCCAGATTGCCTTCTGGCATTCTGCGTCGTTGGGGAAGGGCCCTCTTATCTCGCGGTGGAACTCGTGGCAGGGCGGGGGGCGGAGTCCCGGGCTTGTCCTCCCTGCGAGCGGCTCCTCCAAGGAGGTCTGTCGGCGTGTGCAAGCGCCCCGTGTTGGGACGGCCGCTCCTGGACCCTAGGACTCTGTGTGTCGGGTGTCGGATTGGGTGGCATGGGGTGAGATCTGGAGCGGGACTTAGGGCAGGGCGGGGTGCAGAGGACAGTTCCAGAAATGAGTGGGTCCACTGAGGTCAAGCCGGCGGTCACCACAGCCAGAAAGATCCAGACAAGAACGTTTTCTTTGAAAGAGTTGAAGGAGAAAGCACGCCCCAACTTTTCGAATCAGGCAGACCATCCAGTCTTGGCTGGCACTGGTTTCTGGCCGGCCCTGCCAGTCAGGGGAGAAGAGACTACAGATTTGAGAAAGCAAGCAGAGACAGCCCCAGATGGCCCGGACTCTGGGTTGGTACCACCCCCACCCCCCGCCAGAAAAAAAATGCTGAGAGAGAGTCCTGCAACTCAAAACATAGGGAGATAATCTGGGAGTAGGGTGATAGAGGTTGGGGCGGGATGGCGGGGGCAGAGTAGTAACACTCGCTCTTATCTACAGGGAGTACTTGCTGCATTTGATCCTCTACAACTGGTGTTGCTCCCGTTATGCGGACAGAAGACAGCCCCAGGGAACAAATGCTAGGAAATGGCAGGGTAAGAGCTTGGTCCCAGCTCTGAATCAGAAGCCCACGCTCCTACCAGGACCCTCTCCACCTTTTTTCAGTTCACTGGATTCACTATGGAGCATCTTGAAGGACTGTAGGGTCTGTGAATCTCCTCCAAACCCTTGGGCCAGAAGAACTGTGGGATTTGGAGAGGTTGCAGGGTCCACTCCCCACCCCCATCCCCCTCCCAGTGTGTGCCCCCAGGGTCCCCAGAAAGGAGTCTAGCTCTGAGATCCTGGGCAGGGATGACAGACCCCTGGCCTTGTTGAAGGGCCTGAACGATAGCATCCAGGGAAGACAGGGCTCAGTTTGCTCTGCCCAGAATGGCAGAGGGCAAAAGAAACCTGAAAGCAAAACCCTGTGAAACTGGGGAAAAAACGTTAAGTTTCAGATTTCAGGGCAGTCACTTCTCTGTAGCTTTCCTGAAGGGAAGCCGGGCTTCATGAGTGCAACTCTGCCAGCCCCCTCCTGAGTTGGCCAGAAGCCACTTTCTTGGAATGGGGGTAGGGGGGATGGATACCTTATAACCCACTTTGAGGGCTGGGATACCTGGATAGCCTGATATGCGGCCCCTGTGTGGACCACTGACTTGCCAGTAGGAACTGTCCACTGTCTCATTACTATGAAGACAAAAGGACTTTGCCGCTGCCAGGCAACAGAGTTACAATTTTGAACTTGGGTCTCTTATGGGGCCAAATCCCAAGCTCTCTACCAAAACTATACTTCTTCCCCCTCACCATGACTATTCAACTGAACACTTACTATGTGTCAAGCACTCTCAGCAATTTGCAGCCTCATGTCATTGTCACAACTACCACATATTATCTCCTCTTTACAGGTGAGAAAACTGAGGCATGGAGAGGTTACAATATAACTTAGATCTCCCAGCTGGCAAGTAATGGTTTAAGCCAGGAGCCTACACACTTCCTCCTACTTCCTCTATGGGTGCTGGTGATCTGCCGACTCCTAGACATCCAGCTTTAAGGTCCTCAGTGAAGCTTCTCTGCCCCCAGGCCTGTCCATGTCAGAGCACCATGGGTGTCCCTTTGAAAGTATCTCCTACAGGTCAGTGATTATGCAGTCTATGTGTAAACCAAAGGGTTCCAAGGGTTTTGGCCTTCCAACTATTTTTGTGTGTGTGTGAATATGACAGCACTGTGCACCTCACCTGCATGCTGGGAACAGTGATGTGCCCCTGTTCTGCCCCAAGTACTAAGTTGGGTCCCTCTGGCCAACTTAGTACTTAATTCTCCTGCCCTGGCTGCTCCCTAGAAACCCTGGCTCTGATTGCTGGGCCCACACTGCCACCTAGCGGTGCCCCCTCTCATGCCCTCACTAGCCAAATTTCCATAGATTCTTCTCTTCTAGGATAATCCCTCTCCTGCACCCCAGGGATTGAACTTACTGCAAGATTCCCCTGCCACTCCCTACCCAGAACAATCACAAGATGAATCACAAGAATACACAGCAGTGCCTTCCCAAAAGTCTCGCTCATTTGGCCTCCATCCTCTCACCATGTACAGCCTCCCCTCTCCAGTAAGGACAGAGTGTGTGTGTGTGTGTGTGTGTGTGTGTGTGTGTGTGTGTGTAGGATTTAGCCCCCCTCACTTTAAGCTATTCCAAAGTCTCTGTCCCCTTGGACACACAGCTACATGAAGGGCTGTGTGGCAGAGTCTGCCATCATGAACCCACTCCTGACCAGACCTAGCCATCCTGCATGCCAAATCCTCCCATCATTGTGGAGGGGATGCTGCAGGTGGTTGCTGGAACATGAGCACTAAGGGAAACCACATATTCTGACTTTCCTGGGCTAAGTGAGTAGTTTCAAGGCATCTCTCCGATGGACCCATGTGGGGAATGCGTGTGCCTGTGGAAGCATGGACACTGGTTATAGGGACTGGGAGGGGAGAAGCAGCACCTTTGCCTTACTTTTCATACTTCTGTATAATTTGAATTAATTACAATGAGGAAGTTTTACTTATGCAACTTAAAATTTTAATAAAAGAGACCAGCTTAAAAAATACAATTATAAAATTTGTAGAGCAATTATAATCTAATTCCATTTTAAAGAAAGAAGACATCTTCACAGAACATTCAGTGGGATGCCTTTGGCTGGGGCAAGGAGCCAGCCTCCACCCTCAGCTGCCTAGCCTTCTGCTCACCAGAATGACATCTTGCTCAGCCTCAGGTTCACCAGGCTCAAACTAGTTGCCTTCAGAGAGCAGAGAGCCTTCTTTGGCTCCCCCCAGCAGTAGAAGATTCCAGATCATAGGGCTTTCAAAGAGGCTCTGAGATCTTGAATCAGATTCTCAGGTTGGGCTCAGGGACATCAATCCTGGGTCCAGCTGGGCATAAATGCATGTGTGTGTGCACATGTGCATGTGTATCTGTGTGCATGTGTGTTATATGCATGTGTGTTTATACGTGTTATATGCATGTGTGTGCACATGTGTAAAGGTGTGACTGCATGTGTACATGTGTGAGAGTATGTTTGCACATGTGGCTGTGTGAGGAGCCAGAAAGGACTAGGAGAGGAGGCCATGGTTTGAGGATAAGAGCCCAGCCCTGAGGTTGTGCTTTGGAGTTGGAATGGGGGCTCTGTCATGACAGCTGCTGACCTCAGACAGGTCACTTAACCTCTCTGGGCTTTTCTGTCCTGTGTGTCTGTAGTGTGGGGCAGAAGGGATAGTGTGACCTCCTCTAGGCTCTGTAAGGTCAGGGGGTTGCAGGGAGAGCACATTCCCAGCATCTGGTCTGCAAGAAGTGTTCACTATGGCCAGCTGAGGCTATTGTCTGGAGCCTCCTGCTTCACTGAACACTGCTAGCTTGAAGGTTGCCTGAAAGAAATAGGGGCAGAGCCCCAACCCCATCTCCACTCAACATCTGCACACAGTGGGTACCCACTAATAAGTTGTAGCACCCTTTCAGTCACTCATTCACTCATTCATTGACAGAAGATCATCTTTCCAAGAGCTACTTCTCTGATGAGCCTGCACATGCAGCCCAGGGGTCCGTGAGTGTGCGTGTGTTAACCAGAGGGGCTGAGGGGGAGGCGCTCACTGGGCCTAAATTCCGGAGCCAAGAGTAGGATGGCTGGAAGACGCCTC